>NC_000002.12:7888787-8191818 GCF_000001405.40 Homo sapiens | reverse complement strand
AAAGACGATGATTGGTGTAAATGGATGGAAGGGAAGTGCACCTAATGGTCTTGAGAGCTGAAAATAAAGTTGATCTAAAGCCTGAGACATGTGGGCCACAGAAGGGCCAGGTCTCTGGTGGAGTGAGTTGTTGAGAAAGAGCTCAGAGGTGATGAACTGAGGTTTAGAGTTCCAACTCTTGAGGCTCAATCTGCTTCCCCTCTCCAACACGATCCTGCAAGTAGATGATTCATTCAAAGATAAATATTCATTAAAAGGCATGAGACCTATGCAAACTTACTCCTATCATGAATAGAGAATTAGAATACGAAAAGTAAAGGATATATATATATATATATATATATAATAGGTATGCGTGTGTGTATATAGGTATATATATGTGTATATGTGTATGTATGCACAATATATGTGTATGTGTGTATAGATAGATATCTCAGGAAAAAATGGTGCCTTAAAGACTAAGAAATATATGAACACATAGTTCTCTGTGGATTCAAACATATTAATGAAAATGTGATCTTTCTGAGATAAGGACTCAAGGAGAAACATAGGGCCTTTAAGTAGAGATAAAGAAACAAAGAAATTAAATGAGAAATAATCATTACAGAAATTAGAAAGTTATTATAAGAAGTTAAAAAAACATACCTGGCTAAAATACATGCTGGGATATAAGGAGCAAGTTGGAAAGACTGGACAAAATGCAGCAGAAAAAGAAGCGCATTGCAAAGGGTTATAGTAGAAAGCATTGGTAGTTAAGGCAGATCTGGGATATCTCATATAATCACAATCCTACCTGGAAAAGAGAAGGAAAAAATCATGCAAGGTAAAAATCTTAAATGCTGATTTTAAATTTTTGAAAATTTCTTAAAAGATCAGAGTCCACACATGGAAAGGCGACATGCTCCAGATAAAACAAATTCAGAACAAAACTACTCTAACATATTTTACTAAAACTAGCAGAAATATTTCTATGGCACACAGGGAAGAATCAAATTTTCCTTAAGGAGAACAAGGCTGGTTAGCCTCAGACCTTTATAGCACTCAAATGTGGAAGAAAGTGGAATAGTATTTACAAAATTCTTAGAGGATGGAAGTACAACTAAAAATGTTTATATGCAACCTTCCTGCTATCCAAGTATACAAAAAACAGACCTGTCTCTTGAGGCGTTTATACTCTGAATACTCTCCAGAGTATATACTCTCAATAGCCCTGCCAGAAAAAAAAAAAAAGCCAAAAGTATGAGAGAACAAACTGTAGACAAACAGAAGATGAAGAGATATGTTAAGGTGAAGGAGGAGAAGGAGTAACAGGAAGAGGGTAAAGAAGAAGGAAAAGAATGAAGGAGGGAAGGGAGGAGAGAAGAGGGGAAGGAGGGAAGAGAAAGGAAAAGGGAGGGAGGATGGAAGAAAGAAAAAAAGAAAAAGACTAGTGGTAACATTGAATTCACTGAAATGAAACATGAGGTTTTATGACCATGGAGAGTATGATTACAGAGTAGGATGCAAATATTACAAAATATTATAATAAGAAATTAAAAGAACATTGAGCTTGGGCAAGGAGAGAAGATGGAGAGATCTGAGGAATAAATAGATGCAAACGACGAGACATAACTGCAACAGAAAGGGTGGTGATGTGCGCAGGAAATGCAAATAAAAATACAATAGAATTGTAAAATTAGTATCTAGCAAGTTTTAACGATAAGCAAAAAACGTGAAGCAAAGATAAATACTATATTATGAAAAAAGTTTACAATTTGTAATGAAGATTAATCATGAACATTAAGGCACCGAATGTGAAAAAAGTCATATGGGAAACTCAACAAAACAAGTAAACTTTAATGTATCTTTGTTAGCTTATGCTGTACCAAATAAATGAAAAAAAGCAAAAATATAGAAGACCAAATAATAATTATAAGGTACATAAAATACATTTGTATTGATGGATCAAATGTCAGGCCACAAAGAAGAAACATTCTGAATGTAGAAACAGTTCGGGTGTTGGCTGAAGACAGTGCTGTGGAAGCTGGAAGTGAGCAGCTGTGGTAGATGCTACTCAGGACCTCTCCATAGTCATTTTTTCTGCTGGCCTTTTTGGTGGAACCTCTGTTTTATTTGGGTGGCAACAGTTGCAGCTGGGCCGCCATCTGACACAATTCTGACCAGTAAGAAACTTCTGGAAAGCTTTTGCGTTCTTGATGCAGGGCTAGCCCTTAATGCTCTCTCCACTTTTGGTTTCTTCCTGCTTGGAAAGCAAATGTGACACCTGGAGGGGGCAGCCACCTTGTGACTACAAAATGAAAGACATGAGGAAAAGTGGCTGCACGCCCACATCTCCAGCACAGCCCAGGGAAGTGATGGGGAGGGGCTTTGTCCCGGGCAAGGCGGCCCAGTCCTCACATGAGTTTAAGGCAACACTGAACTGTGGTTTTCTGTATTGCAGTCGAATGATAACTGGCAGAATAATCCAATGAAAAACAAATCCCTTACAACCTAGAAATAAAACAAAACCTAAAATGGCAGAATATTTAAAAAATAATTATTATGGAAATACTGTATTTCAGAATTCTGATAAAATGGTGAATGAGGTACTCAGACCAACCTTCTTTTTAAAAGTGACTAAATATCCTAACTAAAAATATATTTTTCTAAAAAAACTGCTGCTTCTTAAGTATATAGATGAGCTGGTAGAAAATTTTTTTTTTAGGCTAGAAAAATAAGCAGGGAGAAAACCTAGGTAAGCCAAGTCAAGCAGTTAGATTTTACCCTGAGAGTGTCTGCTGAACCTGGAGAATTTGAACTTTAGTTTTCATGGCATGGGGTACTAAGAATAGGAGACAAGACCTGGACTCACCCAAGACAGGCCATGTAATAGGAATTTCCTCTCTCATAAACCTAGGACCATTAAAGGAAGATCTTTCAAATGTGTGAGGACAAAAAAATAGAGATCCCCCTGCCCAGTTGTATAATTATTTCATTATATATTACAATGTAATAATAATAAAAATAAAGTGCAGTTTATTTCTAATAAATGTATATATATACACATTTATTTCTAAATGTAAATAATAAATGTAATGCACTTGAATCATCCCAAAACCATTCCCCCTCCTCCTGGTCTGTAGAAAAATTGTCTTCCACAAAACTGGTCCCTGATGCCAAAAATGCTGGGGACCACTGCCTTAAAGGATATAATTCTAAAAATGAAAATTAACAAAATGTGAGCAAAGGTAGGAGCCACAACTTCGAACTATGTTTGGAAGATTTAAAAAAAACCAATTTAATTAAAATATAATTATTATCGAAAAACTATGAAAAGAGAAATAATTCATTATGGTACAAAACTTTGAAACAATCAAACAAATGTGGGAACTTTTTTTTAACTTGGAGGTATATGAGAGAAAGAACTAATTTCTTATCTAATGTAACAGATCATTTTAATAAAAGTGTCAATCATTGAATCAATGTTGGTCTTGCAAGATATCTAATGCAATAAATTCAAATATAAACCTTAATTAATATGCCAAATTTGGATAGTCACTCAGTGTAATTTAGCAAGGTTGTCAATCAGGAGAGCTGCAGCTTGACTGAGATCTTAAGCCAACAAGAGAAGCTTTGCAGAACCTTCTGGGCTGTTGTCAGAAGATGGAACCTCTAGCATATGAAAGCCCCTGGTCCAGGCTTCCCATCTCCTGCCATTTCATACCATTGCAGTATAATTTAATAGATCTGAGAGATAAAGACTGAAATTATACTTTATCGAATACCTTCCTTGTGTAAGAAACTTGCATCAAGCATTTACATGTCACATCACGTCATTTTCACACCAAAACTATGAGGTAGTGTTATTATCCTCATTGCATAGTTGAAGAAAAGAGGTTCAGGTAAGTTATCTGCCTAACATGACCCGGTTAGTGGTGAGGCTGGAATTGAAAATGAGATATTTTTTCACTTAGAAATTCATTTACAAACATCATATAGCTGTCCTCCTGATATCATGGAACTTTGATTTTGAGCAAAATCAGGAACAATCTCATATTATTCTGCAATCAATTATTGCCAATGGGCTTATTCAAGTTTTAGAGTGAATTATCCCATCATTGGCCTTACGTTAGGCAAAGAATTTTGCATCCTATCACATGTTTATTAACACTGTCTTTTCTCTCCCTCTCCACTTACCTCCCCTTATCTCATCAAAGTGGTTAATCGTCAGTGACCAAGACCCAGGCTGTATGTTCCTAGATGCCTTTCCCTCCCAAGTTTCTCCCACTATACTTAGTATTCCCATTGGCTTACTGTTCTCATACCATCTATTCGTTAATGCCATTCCCCTTCTTCAAAATCTTCTAGTGGTTCCTTGTGGACTGACAAATACATTATCATTTTATTCAATGTCCTTCATAATCCACCACAATCCATATTTTTAGTTTTCAAGCCCACAACTCACAATCTATTAATCCCTTAGTATATATCAAATACTTTGTAACCACTTTGTAAATTAATGTATTTAATTATTATAGTAGGCCTATATTACGGATATTATTATCTCCATTTTATAGATGAGGAAACTGAGACCAAGAATAAGTCACTTGCCCAAGGTCAGACAGCGAGTACGTGTCAAAGCCAGGGCGTGAACTATGGAACTATTATCCCCAAGCCCCTATTCTTAAATATTATTTATACTACTTTTATGTGTATAAAATAATACAACAATTCTTTGCATTTGTACATTATTTTACCATTCACAAAACCATCTTTATACATTAAAAAAAATCTCATCTTCCCAGCACTTTGGGAGGCCGAGGTGGGCGGATCATGAGGTCAGGAGACTGAGACCATCCTGGCCAACATGGTGAAACCCCGTCTCTACTAAAAATACAAAAATTAGCTGGGTGTGGTGGCACGTGTCTGTAGTTCTAGCTACTAGGGAGGCTGAGGCAGGAGAATCGCTTGAACCCGGGAAGCAGAGGTTGCAGTGAACCGAGATCGAGCCACTGCACTCCAGCCTTGGCGACAAAGCGAGACTCTGAATAAAAAAAAAAAAAAAAAAAATCTCATTTGGTCTCTTAAAAGTCCTTTTTTAAAATTTGATCTCTCAATAACCCTTCAAGGAAATTATTAGCTCCATTTTTCCCCCAGGTCAGAAACTGAGTCTTAGACCTGAACTTAGAGCAACACTAAGAGGTGTCAGAGGTCAGAATATTGAGGTGTCAGAGGTCAGAATATTATCATTTCCTCTAATGAAAACTTTTAACTTTCTACCATTCAGATTTCAGCATATCTTGGAAGAACTGACCTAAAATGAAAGCCTATATAAAATATATATATATAGAAGAAGACAGCCTTAAAATGTGAAAATCAGTGCTGAATTGAAGGAAGGTGAAATCAGCATTGAAGTTGGAGGAATATTTAACACAAAACAATAAAGCAAAAAAATTAATTGTTCTTTAGTGACAGGGATAAAATGGTAACCTAAGGAACCAATGTATTACTTCTATTAAATTCAAAAGTTAGATTCTTTGGAATCATTGCTAGACGATTTTGTGTGTCTGTGTGTGTGCATGTGTGTGCATGAGTGTGAAAGAGAGAGTGATGGCAAGAAAGGTAACAAAAGAGATTATTTCCAGGTGTAATTTAATTTTGGGATGTGCATCAAAAGAATGCAGACTTACCGGCATTGTGACATGCAAGGACTATGGAAACTATCCTGTAATCCTCTGACAAGGGCAGGTGTGTGAACAACAGCTTATAATAATACATCACAGAAAGGTGTAAATGCAGCTAGGAGAAAATGATTAAGTCTAGGAAAACTTTGGAATGCTGCATGGAAGAGAGGCTTTTTTTTTGTCTATATTCATGAGGGATGTTGGTGTGTAGTTTTTTTTTAATGCCTTTTTCTAGTTTTGGTATCAAAGCAATGCAAGCCTCAGAAAATGAGTTGGGATGTGCTCCTTCCTTTTTATATTTTGTAAGAGTTTGTGTAGAATTGATATTATTTTTTCTATACATGTTTGATGGAATTCTTGAATAAAACCATCTGAGCCTGGAGTTTCATTGGTGGGAAAGTATTTTTATTGTAAATTTAAAGTCAACTACATTGAATATAAGACTTCAAATACAGGGTTTTAGAAATATAAAGTTCAAATATTATTCTCCTTTCAGGACTGGTCATTTGTAATTTTCCAGAAATTTGTCCATTTCATCTAAGCTGTCAAATTTATTGTCATGAAGTTATTCACAATATTTTCTTATTATCTTTTCTATGTCTGGAGTATCTGTAGTGATGTCTCCTCTTTCATTGCTGATATTGATATTCTGTGCATTTTCTGTTTTTTTATTAGTCTGGCTAGAGATTTATCAAGTTTAATGATATTTTCATAAAACCAGTTTGTAATTTTACTGATTTTTTTGGTCACCAATTTTTAATTTTATTGACTCCTGCATTATAATATTTTCTTATTTATTTAGGTTAAATTGGCTCTTTTTTTCTAGTTTCTTGAGGTAGAAGATGATATCATTTATTTTATTTAAGATCTTCCTTCCTTTCTAATATAAGCATTTGATGCTATAAAGTGTTCTTTAAATATTGTTTAAGTTGTAAGCTGAAATCTAGAAATCTTAATATGTTGGGTTTTTCTTTCAGTTCAAAATATTTCCTAATTTCTTTTTAATTTCTCCTTTGATTCATGGCTTATTTACAAGTGTGTAATATGATTTCCAAATGTTTTGGAGTCTTTCAGTTGCCTTTCTGTTACTGATTTCTACTTAAGTTAATTATGATCAGAGAAGTTATTCTGTATAATTTTAATTATCTTCAATTTGATGAGATTTATTTTATGGCTCATCATCTTATCTATCTTTTGAATGTTTTATGTGTACCTCAAGAGACTGGAATACGCTGTTGTTTGGTGAATGTTCTATGAATATCAATTAGGTCAACTTGGTTGACAGTTTTGTTTAGTATTCTATATTTTTATTGATTTCCTTTTAATCTATAACTTACTGGAAAAGGAGTATTGAAATCTCCACCTATAATTGTAGATTTGTTTATTTCTCATTCTGGCTCTATACATTTTGGCTTCATGCACATTGATACATTTTTTAAAAATTTTATTATTATTATACTTTAAGTTTTAGGGTACATGTGCACAATGTGCAGGTTTGTTACATATGTACACATGTGCCATGTTGGTGTGCTGCACCCATTAACTCGTCATTTAGCATTAGGTATATCTCCTAATGCTATCCCTCCCAACTCCCCACACCACACAACAGTCCCCAGAGTGTGATGTTCCCCTTCCTGTGTCCATGTGTTCTCATTGTTCAGTTCCCATCCATGAGTGAGAACATGCGGTGTTTGGTTTTTTGTCCTTGCGATAGTATGCTGAGAATGGTGGTTTCCGGTTTCATCCATGTCCCTACAAAGGACACGAACTCATCATTTTTTATGGCTGCATAGTATTCCATGGTGTATATGTGCCACATTTTCTTAATCCAGACTATCCTTGTTGGACATTTAGGTTGGTTCCAAGTCTTTGCTATTGGGAATAGTGCCGCTATAAACATATGTGTGCATGTGTCTTTATAGCAGCATGATTTATAATCCTTTGGGTATATACCCAGTAATGGGATGGCTGGGTCAAATGGTATTTCTAGTTCGAGATCCCTGAGGAATTGCCACACTGACTTCCACAATGGTTGAACTAGTTTACAGTCCCACCAACAGTGTAAAAGTGTTCCTGTTTCTCCACATCCTCTCCAGCACCTGTTGTTTCCTGACTTTTTAATGATCACCATTCTAACTGGTGTGAGATGGTATCTCATTGTGGTTTTGATTTGCATTTCTCTGATGGTCAGTGATGATAAGCATTTTTTCATGTGTTTTTTTGGCTGCCTAAATGCCTTCTTTTGAGAAGTGTCTGCTCATATCCTTCGCCCACTTTTTGATGGGGTTGTTTGTTTTTTTCTTGTAAATTTGTCTGAGTGCATTGTAGATTCTGGATATTAGCCCTTTGTCAGATGAGTAGGTTGCAAAAATTTTCTCCCATTGTGTAGGTTGCCTGTTCACTCTGATGGTAGTTTCTTTTGCTGTGCAGAAGCTCTTTAGTTTAATTAGATCCCATTTGTCAATTTTGGCTTTTGTTGCCATTGCTTTTGGTGTTTTAGACATGAAGTCCTTGTCCATGCCTATGTCCTGAATGGTATTGCCCAGGTTTTCTTCTAGGGTTTTTATGGCTTTAGGTCTAACATTTAAGTCTTTAATCCATCTTGAATTAATTTTTGTATAAGGTGTAAGGAAGGGATCCAGTTTCAGCTTTCTACATATGGCTAGCCAGTTTTCCCAGCACCATTTATTAAATAGGGAAACCTTTCCCCATTGCTTGTTTTTCTCAGGTTTGTCACAGATCAGATAGTTGTAGATATGAGGTGTTATTTCTGAGGGCTCTGTTCTGTTGCATTGATCTATATCTCTGTTTTGGTACCAGTCCCATGCTGTTTTGGTGACTGTAGCCTTGTAGTATAGTTTGAAGTCAGGTAGCGTGATGCCTCCAGCTTTGTTCTTTTGGCTTAGGATTGACTTGGCGATGCGGGCTCTTTTTTGGTTCCATATGAACTTTAAAGTAGTTTTTTTCAATTCTGTGAAGAAAGTCATTGGTAGCTTGATGGGGACGGCATTGAATCTATAAATTACCTTGGGCAGTATGGCCATTTTCACGATATTGATTCTTCCTACCCATGAGCATGGAATGTTCTTCCATTTCTTTGTATCCTCTTTTATTTCGTTGAGCAGTGGTTTGTAGTTCTCCTTGAAGAGGTCCTTCACATCCCTTGTAAGTTGGATTCCTAGGTATTTTATTCTCTTTGAAGCAATTGTGAATGGGAGTTCACTCATGATTTGGCTCTCTGTTTGTCTGTTATTGGTGTATAAGAATGCCTGTGATTTTTGTACATTGATTTTGTATCCTGAGACTTTGCTGAAGCTGCCTATCAGTTTGAGGAGATTTTGGGCTGAGACGATGGGGTTTTCTAGATATACAATCATGTCATCTGCAAACAGGGACAATTTGACTTACTCTTTTCCTAATTGAATACCCTTTATTTCCTTCTCCTGCCTGATTGCCCAGGCCAGAACTTCCAACACTATGTTGAATATGAGTGGTGAGAGAGGGCATCCCTGTCTTGTGCCCGTTTTCAAAGGGAATGCTTCCAGTTTTTGCCCATTCAGTATGATATTGGCTGTGGGTTTGTCATAGATAGCTCTTATTATTTTGAGATACATCCCATCAATACCTAATTTATTGAGAGGTTTTAGCATGAAGGGTTGTTGAATTTTGTCAAAGGCCTTTTCTGCATCTATCGAGATAATCATGTGGTTTTTGTCTTTGGTTCTGTTTATACGCTGGATTACATTTATTGATTTGCGTATGTTGAACCAGCCTTGCATCCCAGGGATGAAGCCCAAGTAATCATGGTGGATAAGCTTTTTGATGTGCTGCTGGATTCGGTTTGCCAGTATTTTATTGAGGATTTTTGCATTGATGTTCATCAGGGATGTTGGTCTAAAATTCTCTTTTTTGGTTGTGTCTCTGCCCGGCTTTGGTATCAGGATGATGCTGGCCTCATAAAATGAGTTAGGGAGGATTCCCTCTTTTTCTATTGATTGGAATAGTTTCAGAAGGAATGGTACCAGTTCCTCTTTGTACCTCTGGTAGAATTCGGCTTTGAATCCATCTAGGCCTGGACTTTTTTTGGTTGGTAAGCTATTGATTATTGCCTCAATTTCAGAACCTGTTATTGGTCTATTCAGAGATTCAACTTCTTCCTGGTTTAGTCTTGGGAGGGTGTAGTGTCGAGGAATTTATCCATTTTTTCTAGATTTTCTAGTTTATTTGCGTAGAGTTGTTTATAGTATTCTCTGATGGTAGTTTGTATTTCTGTGGGATCGGTGGTGATATCCCCTTTATCATTTTTTATTGTGTCTATTTGATTCTTCTCTCTTTTCTTCTTTATTAGTCTTGCTAGTGGTCTATCAATTTTGTTGATCTTTTCAAAAAACCAGCTCCTGGATTCATTAATTCTTTGAAGGGTTTTTTGTGTCCCTATTTCCTTCAGTTCTGCTCTGATCTTAGTTATTTCTTGCCTTCTGCTAGCTTTTGAATGTGTTTGCTCTTGCTTTTCTAGTTATTTTAATTGTGATGTTAGAGTGTCAATTTTAGATCTTTCCTGCTTTCTCTTGTGGGCATTTAGTGCTATAAACTTCCCTCTACACACTGCTTTGAATGTGTCCCAGAGATTCTGGTATGTTGTGTCTTTGTTCTCATTGGTTTCAAAGAACATCTTTATTTCTGCCTTGATTTCATTATTTACCCAGTAGTCATTCAGGAACAGGTTGTTCAGTTTCCATGTAGTTGAGCGGTTTTGAGTGAGTTTCTTAATCCTGAGTTCTAGTTTGATTGCACTGTGGTCTGAGAGACAGTTTGTTATAATTTCTATTCTTTTACATTTGCTGAGGAGTGCTTTACTTCCAACTATGTGGTCAGTTTTGGAGTAGGTGTGGTGTGGTGCTGAAAAGAATGTATATTCTGTTGATTTGGGGTGGAGAGTTCTGTAGATGTCTATTAGGTCTGCTTGGTGCAGAGCTGAGTTCAATTCCTAGGTATCCTTGTTAACTTTCTGTCTCGTTCATCTGTCTAATGTTGACAGTGGGGTGTTAAAATCACCCATTATCATTGTGTGGGAGTCTAAGTCTCTTTGTAGGTCACTAAGGACTTGCTTTATGAATCTGGGTGCTCCTGTATTGGGTGCATATATATATTTAGGATAGTTAGCTTTTCTTGTTGAATTGATCCCTTTACCATTATGTAATGGCCTTCTTTGTCTCTTTTGATCTTTGTTGGTTTAAAGTCTGTTTTATCAGAGACTAGGATTGCAACCCCTGCCTTTTTTTTGTTTTCCATTTCCTTGATAGATCTTCCTCCATCCCTTTATTTTGAGCCTATGTGTGTCTCTGCACGTGAGATGGCTTTCCTGAATACAGCACACTGATGGGTCTTGGCTCTTTATCCAATTTGCCAGTCTGTGTCTTTTAATTGGAGCATTTAGCCCATTTACATTTAAAGTTAATATTGTTATGTGTGAATTTGATCCTGTCATTATGATGCTAGCTGGTTATTTTGCTCGTTAGTTGATGCAGTTTCTTCCTAGCCTTGATGGTCTTTGCAATTTGGCATGTTTTTGCAGTGGCTGGTACCAGTTGTTCCTTTCCATGTTTAGTGCTTCCTTCAGGAGCTCTTTTAGGGCAGGCCTGGTGATGACAAAATCTCTCAGCATTTGTTTGTCTGTAAAGTATTTTATTTCTCCTTCACTTATGAAGCTTAGTTTGGCTGGATATGAAATTCTGGGTTGAAAATTCTTTTCTTTAAGAATGTTGAATATTGGTCGCCACTCTCTTCTGGCTTGTAGAGTTTCTGCTGAGAGATCAGCTGTGCATTTTTATTATATGGCTACACATTTAGGATTTTTGTAGGTTCTTTATCATTGTGATATATTCCTGTCTATCCCTGGAATTATCATTATGATATATCTCTTGTTTTGAAATATTACTTTAATAATAACACAGCCACTCCAGTTTCTTCTGATTAGTGTTTGTAGTATATACTTTTTTTTCACCCTTTTATCTTTGGTTTTGTGTTTAGTTTAGATTTACTGTAGAATAGAATATGGTTGAATCTTTTTTTGTGGTTGTTTTAATCCAATCTAACAATCTCTGCCTTTAATTGGGGAGTGTTTTTTTTTAATCTACATTTACTGAACTAATGAATATGATTGTGTTTTAAATTACTCTCTTGCTATTTGTTGACTATTTTTTCATCTATTCTTTACTATCCTTTGCATTTTATTAATTGAGCTTTTTAAAAAATTATTCCATTTATCTCTACTGTTAGATTAATAGTTGCACCTTTTTATTGTTCTTTTGTTTTGTTTTGTATGTTCTTTGTTTTAGTGGTTTTTCTAGGATTAACATTATGCAATTTTAATTTATCAAAGCCCATACTCAAATAATAATTTTCCACTTCAGTTTAGGGTGAGAACCTTGCCACAGTATGCATTCAATAATCCCCTTCTTGTGACATCATATTTATACCTTTTATTTATATGTATACCATAAACCTCACAATACATTATTATTATTGCTTTAAACAATTATGTTTCCTAGATATTAAAAGTGGTTAAATGTATTTTTATGACTATCCATGTTTTTCATTCTTAACATTCTTCATTCCATTTTTTTACATCCACATTTTCATTTTGGTATTATTTTCTTTCTTTTTGAAGAAACAGATTTTTTTTTTTCTTTTTCTTGTAGAGCAGGTCTGATGGTAGGGAATTAGCTCAGATTTTGTCTCAAAAATATATCCATTTAATGTTCACTTTTGAAATATGTTTTTGCTGGTTAAGGAATTTTAGGTGAATACATGTTCAGTATTTTAAATGTGTTTCTTCATTGTATTCTGGCTTGTGTAGTCTCTGGTGAGACGCCTACTATATTTGGTATCCTTGCTCTTTTTTACTTATTGTATCTTTCTTATCTTGCTGTTTTTAAGATTTTCTTTTCTTTTTTTTTAGACAGAGTTTCACTCCGGTCTCCCAGGCTGGAGTGCAAATGGCATGACCCTTTGGCTCACTGGCTCACTGCCACTTCTGCTATTCTGCCGCCTCAGCCTCCAGGGTAACTGGGATTACAGGCGTTCACCACCACGCCCAGCTAATTTTTGCATTTTTAGTAGAAATGGGGTTTCACCATGTTGGGCACGCTGGTCTTCAACTCCTGATCTCAGGTGACCCAACTGCCTCGGTCTCCCAAAGTGCTGGGATTAAAGATTTCCTTTTCTTACTAGTTTGTAGTTTTCAGAAATATGTGACTTTGCATGCCTTTTTTTTTGTGCTTTTTGCTTGAGCTAGTTTAGCTTTTAAGAACTTCAGATTTCTAGTTTTCATCAAATTTGGTAACAAAAAAGCCTTGTCACTGTCCCGTAAGTCACTTACAACCAGTTTTTCACTTTTTATTCCCTCTTTTTTTCTTTTTAATTTTGGATAGTTTCTACTGCTATTTCCTTAAATTCACCTATCTCTCCTTATTCGTGTTTAATCTGCTTTTAATCAGGTGTGCTTATATTTTATTTAGGTTTTCTTTCTTTCTTCCTTTCTTTTTTTTTTTTTGACAGTCTCACTCTCTGTTGCCCAGGCTGGAGTGCTGTGCTACCATCATGGCTCTCGGACCTTCAGGGCTCAAGTGATTTTCTTGCCGAGCCTCCCGAGTAGCTGTGACTACTGGCGTGTGCCACCACACCCGGCTAATGTTTGTGTTTTTTTAAAGATGGGGTTTTGCCATGTTGCTCAGGCTGAAGTTTTTAAAACATTTCTCCAAGTTTCATTTGGATTTTAAAAATATATATTTTATTTCCCTCCTCATAATGGTCATATTTTCTTCTACCTTCTTGAACATATGGCATAAAGTTATATTCGCTTTTTAACATTTTAGCTAGTTCTTTCTTATCTGTCATGTCTGTGTCTGTTTCTATTATTTTTGCTTTTGGTTATGGAAAAACTTAAGCTTTTTTGCAGGCCTGGTAAGTTTTTATTGGATGCTAGATATTGTGAATGTCATGTTGTTGTTTGCTACAATTTGGGGTGTGTGTGTGTGTGTTTAATAGTGATGAATTTTTGTTTTTATATGCCATTAAGTTAGTTGATATCGGTATCATTTTGTGGCTTGCTGTTTCTTTTTTTTAACTTGAACCATATGTTATATTTTGTTTAGTGATTTGCCATTGTAAACTCATGCAGATTTCTTTGTCTACTTTTATATAAGTGTAGTATGCACTAGAGTTTTATATAAAGCAAGTTAGTTTTGTATTTTGAAAAAAATCTTTCATTTAAGTGTATTTCAAATGTTCTTTAAATTTTACTTCAGTTTCAATTCTTAAAACTTGTAAAAATTTTGAAATAATCGTAGTTTCACATGCAGTTGCAGGAAGTAGTGTGAAGGGATTCCATGTGTTCTTTACACAGTTTCTCTTAAAGGTTGCAAAACCTCAGTACAATATCACAAATGGAATATTGACATCATCATAGTAATATACAGACTATTCCCAACACATCTTCTTCGGGCTATTTTAAATTGCCTCCTTGGTTTCCTTATTAGCTATAGGGCTATCCAAATTATGCATTTCACTTTTGGTCAGTTGTGGTCATATATGCTTTTTGAGAAATTTGTTTATTTAACCTAAATTGTCAAATTTATGAATAAAGGATTGTTTTTAGTACTCACTTATATTTGACGTCTGTGGTAACAGACCCTCTATTATTTCTGATGTTGGTAATTTATGACTTCTCTTTTTTCTTTGTCAGACTGGCTAGAGATTTGCCAATTTTATCAATCTTTTCAAAGAAGCAGCTCTTTTACTGATTTTTCTCTGTTGTATTTCTAATTTCAATTTCACTGGATTCAGCTACTATCTTTAGTATTTTACTTCTGCTTGCTTTGAGCATATTTTGCTCTTCTTTATCTGGGTTGAGGTAGGAGTTTGGATTATTGGTAAGTAAAGACACTTCTCTTTTCTAAAGCAAACGCCTAGTAATATAAATTCCTCTCTCAGCACTGCTTTAGTTGTTTGTCACAAAATTGTTACATTGCAACATTTTCATTAAGTTCAAAATATTTTAATTATTTCCTTTAAGACTTCCTCTTTGACCTATGAACTATGTAGAAATGTGTTGTTTAGTTTCTAAGTCTGCCAAGACGTTACTGTCATCTTTTTGTTCCTGATTTCTGGTTTGATGCTATTGTGGGTAATTAACACACTATGTGTGATTTCACTTTTTAAAGTTTGGTGAGTTTCTTTTCCCTCCCTCCCTCCTTTCTTCCCTTCTTTCCTCCCTTCTTTTTTCTTTCTTTCCTTCCTTTTCTTTCTTCAGTCCAGGATATAGTCTATCTTGGTTTAGTTTATGTTCTATGGATATTTAAAAACAATATGTGTGCTGTTAGAAAGAACGTATATGGGCTGGGCGTGGTGGCTCATGCCTGTAATCCCAGCACTTTGAGAGGCCGAGGCGGGAAGATCACCTGAGGTCAGGAGTTCCAGACCAGCCTGGCCAACATGGTGAAACCCTGTCTCTACTAAAAATACAAAAATTAGCTGGGCATGGTGGCAGGCGCTTGTAATCCCAGCTACTCGGGAGGCTGAGGCAGGAGAATTGATTGAGCTCGGGAGGCGGAAGTTGTAGTGAGCCGAGATTGCGCCATTGCACTCCAGCCTGGGTGATAACAGGGAAACTCCGTCTGAAAAAAAAAAAAAAAAAAAAAAAAAAAAAAGTGTATGCTTTTTTTTTTTTGTCGGGGGGCAGGAAAGAGTGTTTTTGAAGTGTCAACTAGATTCTGTTAGTTGGTGACTTTGTTGAGTTCATCTACATCCTTGCTGATATTCTATCTGCTTGTTCTAACAATCATTTATATTTGTTTACATATGTCTATATCAAGTGCCAGGATTTTACCAGTTTGAGTGAAGTGAAGAAATCTTATCTTCCTTTACATCTCTTTACTATTCCCTATAATAATATAATTGCCTTAAATATTTCTTCCACATAAATTTAGAACGGCATCAAACATTTTTTATACGTATATATTTTGTTTCAATTATCAAACATGATTGAAGAAACTCAAGAGGAGAAGACAAATGTATTTACCCATATTTCTACTCTTCCTGCATTCTTCCTGATGATACAAGATTCATTCTTCTATCATTTCCTTTCCATTTGAGAACTTCCTTTGGCCATTCTTTTATGATAGTTTTCCTGACAAGTTCTCTTCTTCGTCGTCTTTTTTTTTTTAAATTTAAATCTACAATGTTCTAACGTCCCACTCCTTTCTTAGGAATGTTTTTGCTGTATATAGAATTCTGTGTTTACATTTTTTTCCCAGAACTTAAAAATGTTGTATCACCTCTCTTAGCTGTCCTTTTCTTTAAAAAAAAAAAAAAAAGGAGAGACAGATAGAAATTGCTGTCATTCATATTGTTTTTCTCCTGTAGGTGAGGTGTACTTTGTATCTTGTTGTTTTTAAGATCTTTCTTCGACTGTGGTTTTCAGAAGTTAGATTGTGATGTGTCTTTGGATTTTTGTTTGCATTTATTCCATTTGGGGTTTGCTCAGCTAACTTGATATACAGGTTTGTCTCTTTTGCCAAATTTGAGTGTTTTTGCCTTTATTTCTTCAAGTACTTTTTCAGCTCCACACTGCTGCTTCACCCTGGGATGTTGATATTGGGAGTGCTAGATCTTATGTTATAGTCACTTAGGTCCCAGAAGGTATGTTCATTTTTCAATTTTCGGTCTATTTGCTCTCTTGTTCAGATTGTGTAGTTTCTATTTTTCTACCTTCAAGTTCACTGATTTTTTTTTTCTATTTTCCCTCTATTCTGCAGTTGAGAAAATCCACTGACTTTTATTTGGTTGTTATTGTATTTTTTAGTTCAAGCATTTTCATTAGGTTCCTTTTTATGTCTTCTGTGTGTTTGCTGAGGCTTTCTATTTTTAATTTGTTCCAAGCATGCTCATAACTGCTTTTTAAGTTGTTTTTATAACGGCTGCTATAAAATCTTTGTCAGATAATTCTAATTTTTCTGTTGGAGTCTATTGACTTTTTTTCTCACTCAGTTTGAAATCTTCCTGCTTCTTAGTATGATGAGTCATTTCTGATGAAAACCTGGACATTTGGAATATTATGGCATGAGGTTCTGGATCTTCTCTAAATCTTCTATTTTATCTGGCTTCCTCTAACATACTCCTCCAGGAAAAGAGGTGGAGGGTGGCACCATCTCATTCCTGGCAAGGGAGGAATAGAAGTCAAGGATCCCCACTCAGCCTCCAGTGACACATGCATGAGGGAGGGGCTTTCCCCTCCCGAGAGTGTGGGTGGACTTTCTGGCTGTCCAGCAAGCCGCCCTGATGCCACCTGGGATGGGAGTGCTTCATGACTGCTCCTCATGTGGCCTCCACTGATGTCAAGCATGGATGGCTTTTTAACCACTGGGCATTGCTAAGATTTCTGATTCATCTCTAGGCCAACGTTGATCCAACCCCCGGTGGGAAAGGGGAGACGCACCCAGTTATGGTGGGGTGGGGGTGGAAGTCCTGGCTCCCCATGTGGTCTCCACTGATGCTGAGGGAGTTGAGGTAGGGTGCACAGAGCTCATTACCACCTGGCAGGATGAAAGTCCCTACTCTCCTCCTCAAGACAACCCCAGTCAGGGTTTGTAGGTGCTTGGTCACAGCCTGGAAAGGGTGCCAGTCTAGAGCCTACTCTTGGCCTTTGCTGTTGTGAGTAGGGGTGGGACCCCATTTTTTCTGTGGTGTTTGGCTAGAATAGAGCAGACAGTGTCTAAAAGTTTCTGTCTTTCTAGGCTTCCTCTTTCTCGAACCTCTGGAACTGTCTGATGTGAAAGCCTTGGTCTTTGTATAGCGCAGACATCAATTCTTTGTTAGCATATGCCTTGAAAACACTTTTTCTACTTTGCCATTTGTCTTAAAATGTTTGTTGTTTTACTGTTGTGTAAACATATTTATATACATAAAACCTGTATTTGAAGCTAAATATGTCATTCTTCCTTTATGTGTGCATCTTATTATTCAGGCATTTTTAGAAAGTCTTTCTGTGCCTAAAGGTTATAAAATATCACTCACATTTTCTTCTAGTGTGTTTCTTTTGTTTTATGATTTTTATGTTTTAATCTGTGATCCTGCTAGAAAAATGCTGGCATAAGAAAGGGGCTAAAGATCTTGACTTCCTCTCCCATTTCCCAAATACTTGTCTGACATCATTTACTGAAGAATTATTTTCCGTTGATTTGGAAAGCCACATTTTTCACTATTAAATTTCTATTTATGCTTGAGACTATGTCTGGGTTCAAGTTTCATATTAAATTCCTCCCTGAACCCTGCCCCTCCTGGTTCTGTGTCTTTACACAATGCCAGTGGCATCCTTCATTAACACCACAATGTCAGCATCCTTCAAAACATCTCTTTGCCATGAAATGAGACTATCCCACCCCATCCACCCCACATGTGATTCACGTTATCTTACTTGAGGCCTCAAGGTCCTGCACTGCCAGAGCTATATTGGATCTGAGAGTCGTCCCTGTCATGCCACTGATGGGGAAACTGAGGATATAAAATTAAACAACTTGCCTGGCAGCACACAACACATCAACAGCAGAACACAGGCTAGGTAGTTTATGCTTCCCCACAATACGCTTGGCCTCTGCTCCGTCTCCGTTTCTGCAGCGTCACCCATATCCGGGTCCTTGTCCTTCCCTTTGCTGTTTGTGCTGGTCTCCTGTCCTCATCCCACTGCCTTCTAGGATGGTCTTGGTAAAGCAGGAACTGTGCAAGAGAGAAGAGGGGACGGCGTGTTGCCTGTGTGGGAAGTTCTCCCATGCTGCAGCCTCTAGGCCTTTCCTGCACCACGTGGTGGGTAGTCAGGGCCTCCCCAGCCCCAGCAGCCAGGCTCCGGAGGCTCTGCTGAAGAGCAACTTCAGGTGGGCCAGGGGCATTCTCCCACTCACGGTGTGGGTCCCCAGGGATGCCAACTGCCTCAGAACCCCTTGTGAGAATGCATGGAGCAATGCTGGCCTCAAGAAGCAGTGTCCAGTACTAAGGGCGGTGGGAATGCTGGAGCGGAAGTGAACTGACCCGCATGGTGGCATGGAAAACGGGCGAGGGCAGATGAGGAGCAACGTGTGCACGTGTTGTGGTGTGTTTCAGAGATCAGAGACACAGACTGTGTGCACGAAGGAGCTGCTGGAGGTGGGGATGTCTGTGCCTGCTGGAGACGACGTGGGAGAATGGATTTGCAGTGGAGACTAATGAGCATGAAATGTTCCTTTCTGGGTGGGGCCGGCGCACGGGGCGGGATGGCGGTGGCTCTGTTACTGGAGAAATGCTTAGCGCCAAAGTCGGATGTGAAGGAGTTTGGAAACTGTGTCTTTCCATGTATTACCCGTAATGCCCTGACTGCTGGGCTGTAGCTGGGGTAGACTTCGGGACTCACTGACCCCAGAGGCCGTGACATGGGGCTTTTAGGCCATTTTTGAGCAGGTTCCCACAGTGTTACCATAAGGGGTGTTTGGTTCTGGAGAGGAAGACAGTGGTGGCTAAACATGGTTGACAGGATTTTCTCATGAAAGCTCATATAAGATCTCCCCTGAGATCTTCTGGTAAGAAGAGAATTTTTCAGGGGGATATAATTCTAGCTTTGTGGAATCGAAGCAATCACTGGAGCAGCAACTTTTCCTGATGATGTGACCTCATGTTTCTTCTTCCAGACCCCATTTCTAATACCAAGTTGGCATGGCCTGAGAAACTTTAGGTGATGTGAATTACTCCAGGTGGCCTTGAA
The DNA here is from genome assembly GCF_000001405.40 of Homo sapiens. Classification (NCBI taxonomy): domain Eukaryota; kingdom Metazoa; phylum Chordata; class Mammalia; order Primates; family Hominidae; genus Homo; species Homo sapiens. The sequence continues at coordinate 8,172,366 of NC_000002.12, read as the reverse complement.
TCCTCGTGCATGCAACTCGTGTGACTCCGGCTGTGACTGGAGATGGGCACTATTCCAAATATGCTTCCTTTGCCTCCAAAGATCTGGCCTTTAGTTTTTCTAGGCTGAGGCCTGTCGGGAAAGGGAGTCGAGGAAAGTTGTGAGAAAGCTCGATAACCATGGGCAGAGAAGAGAGCATTCTTCCCAAACATGCTGTTCAGGCAGAGTCCCATGGAACTCATGCTAAGTCTGTCACAAAAACAGGAGCAGGTCTTTAGAGTGCTCCCGATTCTGGGGGAAAATGAGAAAATGAAAATTCCCAGTGATTCTGTTTTGAGAGTATGTATTTCTTTAAGTGTTAACACAGGGGGATATTGACCAGAAATGGCTGCTTCTTGTAGTAAGTGGTTCCCCTACAGAAACCTTAGAATTCCTAGCTTGGAGTGAGGAAAACAGAAGAAGTTCACCCCTCCCCAGGTGCTTAGAGGGGGGAGGTGGCCTGTTGCCTTGGCTGGTTTACCATTTTTGTTTTCAGAGCACCATCATTTTAGTCATTAATCAGTAACGCTGGCAGGAAGTCACCAGTTGGAGTGAGTTCATGCATCATCTTGGAAAATACTTGCTGTTTTATCTACACTGGAGAAATCTCACAGAAGCAGGCTGTTGCAGTGTCAGAGAAAGCTAGGTCCCGAGCTTGGCTTCCTCACCTAGCTAAGTGGGTGACCTTGATTCTCTCTGAACTTTTATTTTATCATCTCTAAATATATAGAGATGATAATACTGTCATCGTAGAACCTTTGTTCAGATTAGAACACACACACACACACACACACACACACACACACATACCCCTAATGCATCCAGCTCCATATAATTGGTACATAGTTGAACCTCAACATATAATTCTTATTATTTATTGCTTTACAAAAATAGAAGGTATTTTGCATAGCTGCAAACTATGTGGTGGATATGCTATTTGAAAGGAGACATTTAGAAACGGCTTCAATTTGCTGGTACTAGATTTTGAATGGATTGAATTTGGAGGTAGTAGGATTTGACGTAGTTTTAGAATATTTGAATCTGGAAGCTAAAATGATAACACCCATTCTACTCTAGAGGTAACCTCTCTATAAAAAGCTACCATGAATAATAAAGAAACATTGCTGCATATATCTTTTTCATTTTTTTGATGAACAGGATGTGATGCCACTGTAATGGTATTTAGTAAATTATTATGCTCCCATTAAATTATAGTCCTGTAGCAAATAGTTGCAAATTCAATTACGCTGCTTAGCTTCCAGCAATCCTGCATATTCATCAAAAGCTTCTAAAGATGGCAGTAGCTCTAAATTTCAACGAGGAAAAAGACATATTAGGTAAAACATGGGTCAAAAGTCAATCAGTTAATGCTCGGCTCATCATAGTCTCAGATCAGCTTGGTCACTGCCGTCATCTTTCACTGCCATGAGCCTGCTCTGAGGTGTTTTGTCCTAAGGAGACCAACTACCTTCTGTCCTGTTCTTGCCAACCCATCCCACTTTCCAGCTGCCAATGGAGAAGAAGCATGGCTGATCCTCCTCTCTTCCCATGTGGAAGGTGCTGCTGAGGGCAGACCTCCCTTGGGAAAAGGCAGGCTTTTATCTGCTGAGCTCAAGGTTAAGCCTGCTACGAAATCTCAAGGGCAAATAATCACTTGGGGATTATAGAACTCAGTAACAGGAAATCTGAGTGTCGGCTTTCAGGGATTCGTGTTTCTTTAGGGGAGAAGGTCTGAATTAAATAGCTTCCCCAAGGAGAGCTAAACATCCACTGTAGACAAAGAAGTCTTCAAAGCAAGGTCAAAGGCAATAAGCAATATTTGCATGATCCAAGGAAGCCACTGTCTGGAGATTGCAAGCTCTTTATAAGAGGGCTGAAGAGTGACATCAAATGAAATGAAAGAGGCTGTGGGAGAAGAAATGAAGTGTGTCTACTGACAGAAATGTAACCAGAAAAAAGGACTTGGTCTGATGTCTTAGGGTAGTAATGCTAGCAGCAGCTTGGCAGAGTGGAAACACCCTTGGCTGTGGAGTTGCATTCACCCCAGGTTCAAATCCTGCTTTGGTGCTTACAAGTGGTGACCTTGGGCTAGGTCTGCATCTGTAGATGGAAACAGTGTCCCTTCTGTGTTTCTCTTGAGAGGTATCAACAACCTGCTGAAGGCATCCTGGTACAGTGAAAGAGATCAGAGTCTCTGAAGCCAAATGGCTATGGTCTGAATCTTGTCTCCCCTACTTTCTAGCTGTGTGGTTTTGGGCACGTTCATTTACTTCCCTGTGCCTCAGTTTCCTTATCTGCAATGGAGCACACAATAGTACTTATCTCAAAATGTTGATCAATATATGGAGGATTGATTTTGGGATTCTCTGAAGATACCCAAATCCTCAGATGCTCAAGTCTGTGATTTAAAATGGTATAGTATTTGCATATAACCTACGCACATCCTCCCGTATACTTTAAATCATCTCTAGATTGCTTATAATACCTAATGCAATGTAAATGCTATGTAAATAGTTGTTATACTGTACAGTTTAGGGAATAATGGCAAGTAAAAGAAAGTCTGTACACATTCAGTACAGATTTTTTTTTTCCTGAATATTTTCAACCCACAGTTGGTTGAATCACAGATGTGGAACCCACGGATGCAGAGAGTCTATGTATGTGCAATGTACTTGGAACAGTGCCTGGCATCTAATAATATGACTATATAAGTCTTTGTTTTTATTGTGATTAGGAATATTATTATTATGACTCCTTGAGGAAGTCATATAGTCCTCAGAGAATATTACTTAGGGGAATTACAGAGAAGGAAAGCATGCTTTCAGATAATCAACAGCTGTTCTTCATTTCACCGTACACGGTGACCTGTAGTCCTTTTCTACCTGACAGAGGTGATATTTTCCAACACCATCCATCTAATTGTGATGCACAGCTGGGGACTGAGTTCCATTATGCTCCAGAACCCCTTCCTAAAACATCCATTGCTCTGCAACCAAGATAAAGGGTAACTCATGAACTCATTCCTTGTCTCCAAAAGTTGATTTATTACTGTCAAGGTCAATACAATACTAAAATACCTGGCCTTGAACCACCATTGGGAGTATTTGAGCAACCATGTAGCTGAGACCACACCAGCACAGGGGAGCCAACTGCTCCTTTATTGAGTAGAAAAAAAGAAATCTGAGTGTCTGTAGACAGGAAGAGGCACTGCTGATTCTACAGCTGTATGGTAGGCATGAGCTTTTCGCCAATATCTGGTTCTGTCAACAATCAGAGTCATGGGAGAAGTGTGTTCTGCCTTCTTCAAAGTTCACTGTGGGCCTGTGATTTGCTTTGGTAATAACCCAGAGAGTAGAGCCAGGAGATGCATGTCAGTCCTGGGTGAAATCCCTCACTTGCTGGGGTGGGGGCGGTGACTCTGAGCCCACTCTTCCCTGCTTCTTGTGCAGAAGCACTTATAGGCAAGGTGGGGACATAAGGGCAGGGCATCCTGAAATTCTGAGCTAACCAAAGAGGATTGTTAGCCTGCAGGGGAGATAAACTTCTCTTTGATAGGCCACTGTTATTTTGGTCTTGTACTTCTTTTCTTTTCTTTTCTTTTTTCCCTTTTCCAAGCGGAAGCATAAAGTGATCTATGTTGGCTGACGGCTTATAAATGAGCACGTGTAAATAAAAAGGTGATCATTAGGAATTGAAAGACATTTCCTCCATGCTGAATATAGGTCATTTTTTTTGATCATTGTGAAAGTGATGTTCACACCATTACCTAGCTTTCCATCAGCTTTTTGAGAAAATGTTTATTACGTGCTCATGTACAGGAAGGGAAAGTATGAGCTGGTTGTTACAAGAGGAAGGCGGGTTTTTGACACGTTGGTTAATGTATTTAAATGAATCTGGTGAAACCCTGGTGAAGTGTCATGGTCCATTCTTTGCTTTCTACCTTCCAGCAACTTGATCAGTGACATCAGGGAAGACATTCAAAGCCACACTTATTACATTTTTGGATCATGAAAAATTGAATGCATGCACCCAGGATTTGTAATAATCTTGCCGTCTAAAATCAATTAGATTCAGATTGAATTGTGCCTGGTTGCATGTCGTGCTGTGCTTTTAATTTGATGGTGTAATATAACATTTCTGTTATCATTCACCGTAATGCTATTTATTATCTCAAAAGATTGATAACCACTTAAGTGTCCAAGGGTAGGGGAATAGTTATATGCATTGTGATTTATGTCCACAGAGGACATTTAATATCATAAGGAATGCTAAAGATATAATGTTAAATTAAAAGATCAACTAAATATGAAATTGTATACAGTATGATTCCAATGTGGTTTTAAAAGGAAAGGACCTGAGTACTAAAGGCAAGGTTTTCTTCTTTCTGTCTCTTTTTTATTTTCCAATAAATTTTTACATGAGTAGGTATAATTTTTATAATAAGGATAACATGCTTTGTACAAGATAGCAAACTTTACATAAGGATTTAAAGGTTAGGGAGAGGGTCCTCTTTCCCACATTTAGTTAGGATCTGCACCAACCTCACTACCTCAACTGGGTTTATCATGCCCAGGATGAGGCAACAAATTTGCGATATTTGCAGTGTTCTCAGTGCTACTGCTGGAGTTATGCCAGCTCTGATATATGAGTTACTATTCTGACATGGTTTAAGGTATTTTCCAGAAAACTGTATAATAAAATATAAGTGCCAGGCTGAACTGACATGGCAGTAGTTGGGGAAGACTTAGCATTCAATTATGTTTTCTATCTAAATATAACCAATGTTTTCCTGACTTAAGGTATTCTTGAATATGCATTAAGAAAGAACACTTGGCCGCGTGTCGTGGCTCATGCTTGTAATCCCAGCACTTTGGGAGGCTGAGGCAGGCAGAACAGCTGAGGTCGGGAGTTTGAGACCAGCCTAAACAACATGGAAAAAACCCCGTCTCTACTAAAAATACAAAATTAGCTGTGCATGGTGGTGTGTGCCTGTAATCCCAGCTACTGAGGAGGCTGAGGCAGGAGAATCGCTTGAACCCCGGAGGCAGAGGTTGCAGTGAGACGAGATGGCGCCATTGCACTCCAGCCTGGGCAACAAAAGTGAAACTCCGTCTCAAAAAAAAAAAAGAAAGAACACTTAAGCATTTGTATTGTTTTAGATAAAATTAATAAGGACCTAAATTTTAAGTGTATTTAGAAAGTATTTTTCAATCTAGACAAAAGAGCGTTTTCAGTAGTTTTTGTTGTTGTGTTGTTGATTCTAATACTGCATCTAATTTATCTTTTTCTACCTTTATATACCTTTATAGGAAAATTAACATATAAATACTTCAAATGATATTTAACAATATAGTTCAGAGCTCGTTTGAAGATTGCCTACTCTATAGCTTACGTGGTACAATGCTTGATTTAGCTCTTGCTATTGAATGTTCTTTACTTTAAAAACAGCATTAAATGCAAAAAATTCCACAATTATTCTATTTTTTTCATATAGCATTATAACTGCCATTCTAAATGCAGTCTTCACTGGGCTATGTTGTACTGGAAAATACATATTGTAAAAGGTGGGTGAGTTAGCAGTATACTTTTGTTTCTGAGGAACTTGCTTGCATTTTAAATTTGGAATCTTCTAACAACCTTATTCATGGTTTACTCCATTCTCTTTAATAAAATGTATTTGGGAAAATTTACTTTGATTTTTAAAGGGACTCTTCTGATTTAACCTGATTGCTGTGTCATGTATATACTCTGGTCCACTTGATTTTTTTTTTGTTTTTTTGGTAGAGATGGGATCTCACTATGATGTCCAGGCTGGTCTCAAATTCCTGGCCTCAAGCAACCCTCCTGCCTTAGCCTCCCAAAGTGCTGGGGTTATAGGTGTGAACCACTGCACCAGAAATTTCTTTGTAACTCATGATTTGAAATAAATATGATTGATTAAAGAAAAGGACATTTCACAACAGGTATATAACGAGCTTTATTGAAAAACATATTAGAGATAATTCCCTGAATACACAATTATTGAGCACCTAGAGTGCTCGAGGCCTGGGATGCCCTAAATCATTTTGTTAGCTCTTGAAGAAATGCAGATCTTATTCTCAACTATACTTGAGTGTTTGGAGGCACTGAATTACAGCACTGAACTGTTTGTCACAATATTACTGTTAGTGTATTGTAACAATTACAGTGTGTTCATTCTTCTCTCTCCCCGTACTAATTTCCTTCCTTACAGCTGATGGTGGATTAAAGCAGACGCAGAGAGGAGAGGGCAGGATTGTAACCTCAGCCACTACGGGCAGGGATGAAGGGAGTGCTGGGTCAGATTCTATGGGGGCATATTTGAAAGACTTTCCATCATGCACCTCTATCATGCATTTTCTGTCATGCACAAGAGTACAGTTTTTCAAAAATGAAAAGCAAAGCAAAACAACATACACAGGTCAAGGATACAGGGTTTGTTTGATTTGGGTAGCTATCTGGGAAACAGAGAAAGCAAGTTAGAGGAACTTGGCTTGTTAAGGTGAGATGTGCATATTCATGCAACTGTTAGGTTGGTGCAAAGTAATTGCACTAAAAGCAATGGCAAAAGCCGCAATGACTTTTGCACCAGGCTAATAGTTAATCGGTTCAAATCCTTAGGAAACCAATGTCTACCTTCAAAAGGAAATAATTATGGTTGTGAAAGTCTTAGGCAAACATGCTTCGGTGCAATGCAGTGAGATGGTTCTCGGGCCGTCTGGTGGGTACAATGAAGTTTCCCTGCACCTTCCTTTCTCCTCATGCAGGGCTCCTGAGTGGCATCCAAGGTCTTGCGTACTGAACTGACTGAGCCTTTCACTTTTTGACTAATTGTTGTGGCAACAAGACAGAACATCAATTCATTCATCGTAGCTGCTTATAATATGCCAAAGTATAGTAGAGTGTGAAGCAGGAACATCTTTATGGCAATGGGAGCTTCCATTCTTCCCTCTGCTCTGCGTTTTGTAGATAATTTGGAAAGTCACAAGTCATGGGAAAAAAAGGCTTTCCTAAACCTGTTGGGAAATATCTCTCCCTTGTATTACACATGAATTATTATTTGGGAAAACTGAAAGGCTAAAATATCTTCAGAATTAGAAAACTAGGCAATATTGCTTTTTTCCTTTATTGCCCATGGGGCTGCTGAAATAAATATATTTTATTGGAAATAAAATTTTGAAGAATATTTTGCTTTTAAAAATAAGACGCCTCACCAAAATTCAGAAACTATAGAACACATTTTTTAAAGTAAAAGTTACCCTGATCTTCCTACTAGAAACAATCACTGTTTATAAATGGAGACAACGAGAAAGATATACATGCACATTTATAATCTCATATAAACATTATGTAATTCTGTATGATATCTCAACTAGGGATAGTTACAGAACATTTTGTATTTTTACTGTTCAAATAATTTTAGAAGTAAGAATATTTTCTATTATTTTAAATGCAAATGTACATACCTTATTTTATAAACCTCATTTTACTGGCTGTATAATATTCCATTCTATATTCACAACGGTGCTTTTTTAAAATGTAAAAATTCCCTTTTGGTATAAAATGATAGGTTGTTACTCTTTCTACCTACCAAAGCATTGTACAACTGTAAGAAGATATTTGTTAGATCAATGCACTGTGCTAAAAAAAATCCACAGAATTTGGCCAGCAATACGTATCATATTCACCCACTCTCGTCCAAAACTAGAAAGAGTTAACATATGTGCTGCCTCCATGGGCACAGTGTGGGAAGGAACACAGTCTCCTAGTTAACTGTTTTGTTTTTTTTTCTTAAATCACACCCATAATGCAGCTAGAAGTGAATGTCAGGCCAAGATAGAAGCATTTCTATATTCTAATGAAGACAGCAATAGGATTACAAACAAGAAAACTCGGAATACAGAGAACCAAAAGTGAAGGAAAGGATTCCGTTAGACGATCTGTGTTGACTGTTCACCACCACCAAAATGCTGTCATTTTCTAATTAAATACAAAGAAACTATTCTCACTTGGTAAACTATATTTCATTCATATACATGATAGGAAACCTTGTAACTTAAAAGGAGAAACCATATGAATAGTTCCGGTTTGGATTTTCAACTCCGATTTTAAAGAATGACGAAGCTGTTTTGAATTCATAAATATATCTCACTTACTTAATTGTGTCCACAATAGATGAAGCTAAAGTCATCCCCGCTTGCTGGCTTTACGGATCGCCTGCACTTCCAAAATTAGAGCAGTTGCTGTCTAGACCGACTGACAGGTGTTCAGTTCAAGCTGTGATCTCCTTGGCCTGCAGGACCACTCTTTGTGAAAAATGCCATCCCCATTCAGGCTGGGGAGATGCATTTAATCTTGGTGCTGCTTGCAGACAGACTTTAAAAAGCTGTCCCAAGAATACATCTTTGCCAGTAGTTTAGTATGTCAAACTGAGGACGAGAACCGTGCTCTATTCTTAAGATGCAACGATTTGTGGATTGGGAAGATTAGCCAAAAAGAAAGCTGGAGGTCAGGAAGGCGGCCAGGCCTTGGTGTGGGAGCCCAGCCACCCCTGTGAGATTGGGGAAGGGCACGGTGGCCATGGAAAAGCACCATGGGCCTGGTGTGGTGGCGCACACCTATAATCCCAGCACTTTGGGAGGCCGAGGTGGGTGGATCACTTGAGGTCGGGAGTTTGAGACCAGCCTGACCAACATGGAGAAACCTTGTCTCTACTAAAAATACAAAATTAGCCGGGCATGGTGGCATGTGCCTGTAATCCCAGCCACTTGGGAGGCAGAGGCAGGAGAGTCGCTTGAATCCGGGAGGCAGAGGCTGTGGTGCACCAAGATCGCACCATTGCACTCCAGCCTGGGAAACAAGAGCAAAACTCCATCTCAAAACAAGAAAGAAAAAAAAAGAAAAGCACTGTGAGGAAGGGCACACCCCAGGGTGGCCGTTTTGTGGCTTAGTGAGATGTGACTGTCCAGAATCCTTTGTTTATTTAATAATTGTATACAATATTTTTTTGTGGAAAATAACATCCTTATCAGGAGTTGGGGAGGGAGTCCTTGTGGAAAGGAGAGGCCTGAAGAATGAAGTTACAATATTCTTCCCCGAGAGGCTGGGTCCGGTGAGATGAGCGTGTCAGGTATAATGTGGTATCTTGGAAACTTGGAAACTCTAAGTATGCTGTTACTTTTTTAAAAAGGCATTCAGGCCAGGCGCAGTGGCACACACCTGTAGTCCCAGCTACTCGGGAGGCTGAGGCAGGGGAATCGCTTGAACCCGGGAGACAGAGGTTGCAGTGAGCTGAGATTGTGCCATTGCACTCCAGCCTGGGTAACAGAGTGAGACTCAGTCTCGGGGAAAAAAAAAAAAGAAAAAGGCATTCACCATCATCGCCTTCCATTGCCCAGACAATGGAGCAGAGCATGGAGGGTGGGGGCCAGCCCTGGGTGGTGGAATGACCCCGTGCGTGTCTGGCTGTGACACGTGCGGCAGCTCAGTAGTCCACAAGCAATGCCGCCACAGGACCAAGCCTGAAGGTTGACTCAGGACTCGTCATGTGCGTCAAGAAAACTGAGGAGAGGATAATTTATGGCATGTGCTCTGAGATTCCCTTAAATAGAAAAGACCAGCCGTTCAGCCTTTCTCAGTGTGTCCGCTCTCTCCCGTGCCTCTCACTGAATGGCTGGGAAACACAGACCTACAAAAACCAGCAGGAAGAAATTCCGGTGCAAGCGCAATGTCCAGATTATCACACGGTCCCACGTTCCTTCCTACAGACGCCCACCCCGCAGAATGACTGCAAGGCTCAGGGAGGCGAGGGGCATGGAAACACCTGGCTCACTGTCTGGTGCCTGGCTGGGCCTCAGTCAATCTTCCTTTCCTTCCCCAGAGTGAAATGTGACCACTGATACCTCCCTTCATATACCAAAGAAGGAGCTTATTTAATAAACCCCAGGTAATAATTCACTTTAGAATGCACGCTAAATTATAATTTATACATATCTTATTTTTAAACTGAGCACTGCATTAAATTTTAACTTTGAACAAAATGAAAATTAATTAAATTCCTCAGTGTATACTGAGTAGATATTGAAAATGTTCAGAGTAAGGTTCTGGAAATTACGACATTTACAAAGGATAAAACACAACTGGAAGATGGCGAATGGGCTGTTACCAGGTGGGCTGACTAAATTCCCTGCAGTAACTCACTGGTTTAAAAGTGACACTTGTAGCCTCAGAAGATGCTGGAGTTAGAATCACAGAGAATTGTTAGGTATGTTGGAGATAACACATATACAAATGTTTTAAAAAATCAAAATTGTACTGGATTTTCATTAAATCAGCTTAATTAAAACTATTTGCTGAAGTTATCACAGCTATGCATCTACTTTCCTTAAAATAATAAATATTTTAAGGGCTGTATTGAACAACTTGCTGTCAACCCCAAAAAAGTAAACTTAAAGAGGCTTTGTGGCCGGGCACGGTGGCTCACGCCTGTAATCCCAACACTTTGGGAGGCCCAGGCGGGCGGATCACGAGGTCAGGAGATTGAGACCATTCTGGCTAACACGGTGAAACCCCGTCTGTACTAAAAAATACAAAAAAAAAATTAGCCGGGCGTGGTGGCGGGCGCCTGTAGTCCCAGCTACTCGGGAGGCTGAGGCAGGAGAATGGCGTGAACCCGGGAGGTGGAGCTTGCAGTGAACCAAGATTACGCCACTGCAGTCCAGCTTGGGGGACAGAGCCAGACTCCGTCTCAAAAAGAAAAAAAAAAAGCCTTTGTGTTTGGATGGAGAGGACAGATTGTGTGTGTGTGTGTGTGTGTGTGTGTGTGTGTGTGTGTGCGCGCGCCTATAAGAGCCGTAAGATGATATGCCAGAAAGCAGGGAGATTTAGGACCTAGGACCAAACTGTCTATGGAACTCACTTCGAGACAGAGCTCGGAAACGATGTTCCACCCAGGTCGGACCTGGCAACTGAGAGCCCACTGAGCACGCAGGGCCTGGAGACGAGGGTGTGGCGCACAGCAGATGCGTTCCCCAACCACCCCGGTATCCCTCCCAGAGGGCAGAGTCATTTACCGGCTCCCACCAGGCCTCCTGCCCCCTTGCCGTAATAGACTGTGGACAGCGTCCATCTGATGGCCTGTTGTGGTACAAGCAGCCCTGGACAGAAACAGGAACTGTGATCAGGGCTCTCGCTGTCACTCTGCACATGTCACTTGTAGTTTTCTGGATACATGGGTCTCTTCATTCACACAGGTGGGGGCTGGGCTGGTGCTCTCACGGACAGGTCCTCTTGGAGCCGTGAATTGGGGGCGCTGACATTTGGCCGAAGAGCAAAAAAGTCAAGAATGCAATGAAACCTGTGTCTTTAGCATCATTTAGTGGCTCATGTTGCCAGTTGAGTTAGAGAATACACAGAGAAAGTCCGGAGAGTTTTTACTGCAGCGTTTTCCAGGCCTTTTCCAAGGCTCAGCTCTTAGCAACATCGCTCTCATTTGAATATCTACTTGAGCTGGAAATATTTTATTATCATTTAAAATACTTGGGAATTCATCATGTTAGGATTCGTATTTCCTGCAATGAGAAAGAAGGGAAGCCATTAGCCTCATTTAAGCACCTACTGTTTTCCAGATCTTGTTCTCAGCAATTTTGCATGTATTTCTTTTTACAGCAGAGGGATGGGTGGTGGGGTGAGGGTGATTTCACAGCTCCAACTTGCTCTTTCATTGACTCCCAGATTTGCACTGAGAATTCAAGTTGGGTGTCTGAGAAACTCAAGGACAAAGGGTGAGAGGTTGTGGTGTAAGAGGAATTCTTAGGAGGAAGCAAAATGGTGAATCTTAGCTTCAGTGTAGAGAGAGGTGCAACAGCAAGACAAGCAGACAAACAAAAAAAACAGAAGTGAAAACCGAGTTCAAAGGGCTGCAGGAGTATGCAGGAGGTGAGGGTAGCTCATGCTTCATTTGGGGAGAGGAGAGAAGTCTTCCTAGAGAGGTGAACATTGAACTGGGCCTTATAACACAAATGAAGGGCATTCCAGCAGACAGACCATGACAGAAAGGGGTGTAGAGGTCAAAGTGAAGCCAGCGTTAGGGCATGAGGTGTTTGGGGAGGGAGGTGGAGCCCCCTGGGCCTAGAGCCTAGAGTTGGGGTAGGCCATGCTTGGGAGAGTCCTGTGTCCTCCTGTGACTTGACCCTAACATAATGCAGCCGATTCTGCTGGCAGAGGGAGGGGCCTAGAGAATTAGCAACCTGTTTCCCACTCCTGCTCAGTCAGTGCCCTGGGAGCACCCTGCAAGCTTCTCTGGACTTTGTAAGTGCACCCGAGGGAGCTTGAATCCTAGGAAGTTAAAGAGAAGAGAAGCTTCATTTTGTGTTGGGAAAAAAACTTTTAGAGCAGAATACTTCGTATCTATGTAACTAGTGTCTTCTTTATACAGATTTTAAAGCATTTGAAAGCCCTTTCTGAGCAGTACCAGCGACATATTTAGTGCTCTGTAGCGGAAAGCAGGAAAGTGTGTGCAGCCAGCCAGTAAAGAGCTTTCCCTGGAGTTAGATTGACTCAGCCTGTCCCAGGCAGCCCAGCAGCTGCCCAGGACTGCCTCGGGGGCAAACTGCTATGGGGTAGAAGGCAGGGAGGGCTTCAAGCAGGAAACAGGAACTTGAACTGGGATTGGAGTGTGACAAAGTTTAGGTGGGTGAAGGCGAGGAGCAAAAGCATCCTATGCAAGATGCTGCTGGAATTGAGGTTGTGAAACTGGAGACCAGCCCCCCAGCAAGGCTGGGAGGGAGTTGGAACCGGAGAGGACACTGGGCTTAGATGATGGGAGAGTCAGATGGGTGAGCCTAAGTTTGCTGCATTGGCAGCAGTGATGAGTGCAAGTGCCATGATGAGTGTGGCTGCGCCGATGTTTTCAGGGCCGGGCGGCCCTCAGAAATTGGGCAGCACCTTGTGCAGGGCAACAGGGAGTGGTGAAGCCTCCGGAGAACCAGCGTGCAGGGGGTGCGCACAGACACCAGATGCACAGATTTTCACCTTGTGCTGGGAAAACAGGGCTTTGCAGGTGGTTGTGGTCATTGGACTATTAATTTTTCAACTTTTTTTTTCTAGGAAGAAATCATTTTAATATTGCAGACTCTCTCCAGAAATTAAATATAAGTGGTTTTAGGAAGTTACCTGATTTGAAATCAGGAGGCAGGCAGAGAGAAGTGGTCAGAGAAGAGGTGATTTCCAAATCCAGACACGAAGTGATAAGGTCTGGATGGGGAAGAGGTGTTCTGTAGGAAGGTGGCAGAAAGGTAAATTGAGAAACATAGGGAAGACATGAATGGAAGGGATAAGTTGAGGCAGGATCTGAAGAAGAGAGAATCTACCAGCACCCAGGTGGTATTCACATGCACAGCGAAGAGCCGGTGTTGAGAAGGAGGTTCTCGGTGATGTTAGTCCATTGAGTGGAGCTGTTTTCTTAGCTTTCAGTGACGTGGGCCCAGAGAGCAGGCGACAGTCAAGGTTGTTCACACTCAGATTTTAAAGTCTTACAATTTCCCATCAACTAAGCCAGCAATTATAAAGCCAGAAGAGTGTTTTACAATTAAATGCTGGAATGTCAGAAAAATCAAAACAAAAGCCCAAAGCCCACCGTTTCTTATTATTGCATTTTCTTTATTATTTAAAACATAATTGTGTGCATAGCCACACAGTGTGATATTAGCATATCTCCAGGAACTGTGAATGAGGTAAGTGAGAAATAAATAAATAAAAGAAGAAAAGTGGAATTCCAGTGAAGAAAAGTGAAGCATCTCTAGCTTCAAAACAAACAAAACGTTTCTCATGATGATTAAAAATAGAAACCTGCGATAAAAATCCAAGAATTTTACCAACCCATGTACTTTTTATTAAGTCCTCAAATAAAAACTTCCGCAAGCTCACAAAAGATTTCCCAAATGCTGGGAAGAGGGGTAAGGTATAAATAGACGTACGGGAGACGCGGATTCTGAGATGGCTCTGAGCATGTTGACAGTATGGTAAACAAACGAGCAGTTGCCTTCATGACACAAACACTGGGACTCGGCTAGTTTTGATTTCTAGCTCTGATTCTGTGTGACTGTGCCACCAAAATTAAGATTTCTCACTTTACATCTCACCATTCTTGATGGGGCCAGAGCTGGTACAACATTACATTCCGTCTAGAACGATTTCACCCTCGAAGCAAAACTGCAACATCTCATATGGCAACATAGCGTTGTTGTATTCATGACTGCCTTTTCTTTCTTCCTTTCTTCTTCTTTTTTTCTTTCGGTAGCAGGAAGATAATGTGGTTTGATGCAATGGCCCAACACAATAGAAGCTAATGAATAGAGCGTGTTGCACTCGAGAGACTGCAGTTCAATTACTGGTGGTGCCAATCAAGTCAGGAATATTAACCATGGTAACCGCAGATTTTCAGCTCTATAGATGTGTCGGGAAGGCAGTTGCCCTGGGAATCACTGGGGTCCTGGAAGGGAGAGGGGCTTGGAGGGACACAGCACCACTGAGCTGTGAATGGCGCCTTCACAGAGGTGGGCACTGAGGGGTGACTGCTCTGAGAAGTCCAGGGCTGTGTTCCCAGAGGACTTGTGGGAGTCCAGGAGCAAAGGCACAATGGTAGATAAATCTGTATTGAGAAGGAGCTGAATTGCATCCTCCTAAAATTCATATGTTGAGGTTCTAACAATGAGCGCTTTGGAATGGGACTGTTTTTGGAGATAGGCTGTTGCTGATGTAATTCCTGTAAATGAGATCATACTGGAGCTGGTGTGCCCCAAATCCAATATGACTGGTGTTCTTATAAGAAGGGGACATTCAGACGCACACACACACACACACACACACACACACACACACACAACACCATGTGAACATGAAGGCAGAGACTGGGGTGATGTCTCTACAAACCAAGACCACCAAAGATGACCAGCAAACTACCAGAGGCTAGAAGAGAGGAAGAGAGGCCTGAGACAGAGTCTTTCTCACAGCCCCAGAAGAAACCAACCCTGCTGACACCTTAATCTTGGACTTTCAGCTTCTAGAGCTGTGAGAAAATGAAACCCTGTAGTTTAACAGCTCTCTGTGTGTGGTACTTTGTTACATGAGTTCTAGCAAACTAATACCACCCAGAGCCACTGAATCAGGAGCTCTGGAAGAAGGCCTGAGACCCCGTGTCCAAATTACCCTCAGGGAAGACCTGGTGCCCTCTCACATTTGAGAACTGACACTCTAAGCCACCCATCCCCTTTGGAACGACCTGGGGATGTCCTAAAAACACAGACTTTTATAATCTTCTCGTCATCCTCAGCCTCTGGCCCCAGACACACATGCCTAGGGTGATCCATTCTGCTCCCTCTTGGAATAGCATTCTGAATCCCAGGGCCCAGGTTCCCCTACACTGGGAAGGCAATTGCTCTCTCAGTCACGAATCCTTACTTTTGTGTAGTGTTTCCCAGTTCCTAGCACACTTTGCCATGAATTTCTTATTTGATTCGTTTTGGGTCCTGACCCCATGGTGGGGAAGAGTGAGAAGGAGCAACTTGATTGTTCAGCGGTTCCTTGGGAGCCAGGCCTGGAGCACACAGGCCCGCATCCCTCTGTCACCTTTGGGATGCCTGATTTCCTGAGCCAAGCCCTTCACAGTCTACCTCCAACTTACTTTACCTGGTTCACTTTCCAGTCTTCCCTGCTCCCTGCCCACACTCAGGCCTCGGCTGTGATGATAACACAGATATTTGCGAATGGAGGGCTTGCTCTATACTGTTCACAGCTCTTCTCAAAAGTCCACATGCACACAAATTACACATCCCCTGAGGTCAGGTTCAGAGTCAGTGACTGCATCGGGCAGGGATTCTGCCTTTCTAACAAGCCTCCAGGTGCTGCTGATGGTGGGGGGATCATACACTGAGTAGCAGGTACTTAGTATCTATTAACTGTTTCATCCTCACAGCAGATCATGAGGTTGTTATTATTATTATTATTATTCTAAATTCTGGGGTACATGTGAGGATGTGTAGGGAGGTTGGTACTATTATTCCAATTATACCGATGGGGAAACTGAGGCACGGGAAGGTGAAGTGACTTGCCTAAGGTCACACAGGAAGTGAGTGATGGAGTTGGAAATTGAACCCAGGAAGTCTGGCTGTAAGATTCAATCTCTTGTTTAACACAAATAGGCGTAATAAACTATTTGTGATTCCCAACACCCCATCAGTTTTCTCTCCTCCATACCTCTAGTGCAAGTTAATCAGCCTCTTGGGCCCTCAATGTCTTCACCTGTGAAACGGGGCTACACCAATCCCTACCTCATAGTGTAGTTGTGAGGATCGAACAATACAATCAGTGAAACTTACTTTTCCTCTTCCTCCTCCTTATTTCTCTTGTTCTGTGGTTAATGATGGGGACTTCTATCCCACTGCCTGTGTTTGGGCTGCCTCTGTGGCACTCCTTAGCTGTGTGATCTTTGGCATGTTACTAAATTTCTCTACAAGGAAATTTCTCTAAATTTCTCATCTATAAAATGGGGATAATAAAATTTCCTTCCTCATAGATTTATTTTGTGAAGGGGGAAGTAGAGAATACGTGTAAAGCTCTTTAGGTAAGCCAAACACCTAGTCAGGTGTTCAAAAATGTGGATTATTATTATTTTCATTCAATAAACACACCTCTTTCAGCCACATCCACACATACTGTATTAGTCTGTTCTCAAGCTCCTAATAAAGACACACCTGAGACTGGGCAATCTATAAAGGAAAGAGGTTTAATGGACTCACAGTTCAGCATGTCTGGGGAGGCCTCACAATCATGGCAGAAGACTAAGGAAGAGCAAAGAGATATCATACATGGTGATAGGCAAGAGAGAACTGTGCAGGGGAACTCGCCTTTATAAAACCATCAGATCTTGTGAGACTTATTCATTACCATGAGAACAGAATGGGAGAAACCGTCACCATGATTCAATTATCTCCAGCTGGCCCCACCCTTGACATATGGGGATTATTACAATTTGAGGTGAGATTTGGGTGGGGACATAGCCAAACCATATCACATTCTCATTCAACTAGTATTCTGAGCACTGTTACGTGTATCATTTTGTTTCAGTCTTACAAGACTCCTGTGATATAGTCATTGTTTCCACTGTAAAGCTGAGGAACTGAGTCACAGAACCGATATGACTCGCTTGGTGCCTTGCAGTCTGTTGATTTTTGGGATAGACTTGAAAACCCCAATGTGTGCATCTGTTCCTGTTTGCATGACACAATCAGTGGTGTGACCTTCATGATGAACGACCCGCCAAGTGCAGGACAAGAAGAGCACTGGTGTGTGTGAACTTCATCAAGGCTCTTGGCAACTCGTCTACTTACCTCCACCTACAGCTACTTATCTGGGAACTCATTTGTGGCTTCCTAAATCCCTTTCCTTTAATTTTGTCTTACATTGCTTGCTTGCTTTCACATACCTCTCTCCTCCTCCAACTCCAACTGTGGCCCCCTTCATGATACCAGCCATGGTGGTGTGGGCTGGATAGGGCATGTCCAGCTTTGATAACCAATCTCTCCTTGGCCCACATGGACAAATACTCTAGCTCATCCCTGTGAGTCCCCAGAGACAAGATGTTAGGGTGGAAGGGATGAATGGTTCAGCAACCCTGGCTCCTAACAGACCTTACTTCCCCTTTGTCTTCTATGAAAACGGGAGTTGGAGCAGTTGATACGACGTTTGAAAACGAACTGCAATTGACTTCCATTCAGTGTGCACTCATGTTCCACAGGAACTCAGTTGATCTCAGTTCATCACCCAGGTTGGGGGTGAGTCATTTCCCTAAGCGAACCTTTCCTTTCCTGAGGATGGCTACTAGCTTATAGACACTCATTCATTTTGGAGTTACGAGGTTTGGCTCTCCCCAAAGCGTTAAATGGCCTGTAGAAGTGTTATTTGTGAAATTTAAGTGAACTCAGATGAATTTTATTTTCACTGCAACAAGCATTTATCACAGGCCTACAATGTGTTTATCAACAGGACACATATTTAGGGGATTAAAGGGACCAGGACACACACACTTCTACACATATTTGTGCATATATATATATATATATATATATATATATATATATGCAATATCTTATAATGTAGTCCCTGAACTCAAGAAGATTTGCTTCTAGCTTGGAGACCTTACAAAAGAAATAATTGGGGAACAGTCTGTGACATTTTCCAATTAAGGACCTAATGGAATGTATGGCCAAATGCTAGATGATTTGTTAAGAGCTGGAAGGACTGCTTTTCATGAATATATTTTGGAGCACTTTGTCCCTCTGACTGAAGGGAGATTTTATTGGGAAGAGGATGGAGATGTGGAGAGCTATTTTTCTAGAATGGAAGTGGTGGTATTAGGGAAACAATATTGGACTTTCAGGCCAAAGACTTGCATTTCAAATTTTGGTCTGATATTTGTTCACAGTTGGATCTTAAGCAAATTAATTAACCTCTCTGAACCCAATTTTCTCATCTGTGAGATGGAGTTAATAATATCCACTTTAAGGATTGCTGAGTAGAAGAAATGCAGTAATATATTGTGAGTGGATTCCGTAAACATTGAAGTGCAGTATTCACAGACGGGCAACTCTTACAACAATGACACCAACACGGCTCACCGGGATGTCCAGATGTGGGGATGGTAGGGAGCAAGGGAGGCCAGAGAATAGGTGTCCCTGGCTTTCTCACTGCTGTGCCTCTGGGACACGCCAGGCCTGACCTAGACCGGGGAGGATCAGAGAGGTTGCAGTGTGGACACAGAGCCTGGGGCATGTTGGAGCAGGAGTGGACAAGCGGCGTAACTGCACAGTGCTTTTCTAAGGAGCTTGATTTCCACCTGCAAAGGGAGTGGACGTCTTAATCAGGGAGTGACATTGTCTCACTGTGCTTGAGAAGATGGTTCTGAGAGGGTGTACTGTAAGGCCTAAATGTCTTAGTGCTGCCCTGACATATTTGAACCTCAGAGGACCCCAAAGTCCTAGCTCTGACTTCCCCTGCTTTTGCCAGAAACTCTCCCAATGGATGGGAGGGCCTCCCAACCCAGCTAGAGGCAGTATCGGATGGACTGGCTGCACTCACCCCATCCTCAGCCTAACAGGTTTCACTTCCTGCTAGCTCACCACATCATTCAAACAAGCCGATCTCACCCTCCCCTGAGGACCAGGGGGACCCCACACTCTTGGTACTATAAAGCCTGCCTCCCGCTTCCTCTGGTTGCTCACTGGGCTCCCAAATGCCGGCCCTGTATGGCCTGCAGTGTCCTCCTCCCCAGGCAGTGAGTAAACATGGCCAGTAAACAACTGTATGCCTCATCTTTCCTGGGTCATGTGTCTTGTGTTTGATGATTCTCGGAACCCTAGGGCAGGATCCCCTCCCGCACCCGTGGGGTGAAGACGGGGCAAGCAGAAGAGAGGGGTTCATCCTTGGGCTGCCCCGGCTACTCTGACCTGGTTTCAGTCACTCATTTCTTGCCTTGTTCCTTGGGGTCAATCCTTGTATGCCCATCCCAGACCCTGGGTCTCTGTCTCATGCCTTGCATGAGAGTTTCTGCCTTGGTTCTCTCCTTGTATACGCCCCTCCTTGTATGCAACCCAGGTTTCTGTGTCTGTGTTTGCATGGGTGTGCTTGCTCCTTTGACTTACACCATCTCTCTCTCTCTCTGGGAAGCTTCTGCTGTCCTTGATCCTTTGTCAACTCTCTAGTCTCTCCTCCCTTGGCATGTAGCATACAAAGCACAGGCTCGACCCACTCATCTGACACTGATCCCTATGGCCTTGTTTGCCATGTATCTTCTTATTTTAGATAAATTGCTTATCTGCCAAATTAAATGGTAAACTTCTTGGAGGTCAGCAGCCTGGTTTGATGCCATGTTTAAGAGTGTGTTAAGTTACAGCTTGCAAACTGGCAGTCCCAGTAAGATATGTTTTATATGGTCTACACATGTTTCAAAGTTTTTGAATGAGTTGCTACCTTTAATGGTTGGGAAATTTCATATAAAAATCTTTATTTTGAGCTTCTCAGGAGATCTGGTGATATGAGGATGCATTCTGACATAGCAAGCATCATCTGAGATTGCACAGCTTGGCCCCTTGCTTTGGCCAGGATTCCACTCAGCCCCTCTGCATTCTGCACTTGCCTGAGTTTCCTGTCCTGACAGGAAACCTGCTCTCCTCCTGTTGCTGACCTTCTGAGGCTGGCTGTCCAGCTTCCTGGGCTTCCTGCTATTGTATGTTGTAGCCGCAACTTGACAAAAACCCAGCCTTCCAAGTTGATACCTGGTCCATCTCCCAGTGGTTAAGACTACCCCTGCTAACATCCTCAGCTTAGCTGCATTCAACTTTTGCCTATATCACTACAATAACCTTCTCATTGCTCTTTTCTTATTCGCTCTTTTTTCTTATTGCAGTAAAATATACATAACGTAAAGATTACCGTTTTGTTTTGTTTTGTTTTGTTTTGTTTTAAGTTGGATTCTCGCTCTGTTGCCCAGCCTGGAGTGCAGTGGCGTGATCTTGGCTTACTGCATCCTCCACCTCCTGGGTTCAGGCCATTCTCCTGCCTCAGCCTCCCAAGTAGCTGGGACTACAGGCACCCACCACCATGCCTGGCTAATTTTTTTTGTATTTTCAGTAGAGACAGGGTTTCACCGTGTTAGCCAGGATGGTCTCAATCTCCTGACCTCATGATCTGCCTGCCTCGGCCTCCCAAAGTGCTGGGATTACAGGCATGAGCCACTGCGCCCGGCCAAGGTTACTGTTTTAACTGTGTTGAAGTGTAGAGTTCAGTGATGCCTTAAGCGCACTCACAGTGTTGTATAACCATCACCGTTCTCTAGTTTCCGAATTTTCATCATCCTATATTTCAAGCCCATACTCATTAAGTCACCACTCACCATTCTTCTGTCTCCTCGGCCTCTGGCAATCACAAATCGGCTTTCTGTCTGTGGATTTGCCTGTTCCGGGTGTGGCATGTAAATGGAGTGATATGATATGTGGGCTTTCATATCTGGCTTCTTTCATTGAACATAATAGTCTCAAGGTTCATGCAGCATGTATTAGTGCTGTATTTCTTTTTATGTCTGAGTAATATTCCATTGCATGGATATGCCACATTTTGTTTGTCCATTCATGGATTGATGAACATTTGGGTTTTTCCCACCTTCTGGCTGTTGTGAGTAGGACTGCTATGAACGTGGGTGGATAAGGTTTTGTTTGAATCTCATCTGCTTCTGCCTCCCACAACTCTCTTTTCCATAGGGCAAAATAGCCTTTTAGAAGAGATACCTGCTCTTTTCACCCCTTTGCCTAAACTTCAGTGGCTTCCCTTGTCTTACAGGATAAAATTGAAACTTATGCATGTGTTCTGCAGGGCCTTGCCAGTGCTGGCTTTTGCCCGGCGCCCCAGCCTGAGCCTCTCTCCTCCCTGCTTTGCGTATCTCGGCCACTGGGCACTTTTTTCAGTTTCTGGACTACAGTGGGCTTCCACTGCCTCTGGCCTGCCCCACATCTTTTTCAACTCAGCCTATAAAGTTCTCTGGATTCTTTTCCACCAAACTCAATCTTAATCACTCTTTAGATTTCAACTAAAAATTTCACTTTCTAGGGCAGCGTTTAACGACCTCCTGACTACATCCAGTCCCCCTGTTTTGCGTTTGCTCACAGCCTGCCCTTCTCCTTTGTAGCAAGTGTCACAATTGCGATGTAAGTGATTAATTGTGCATTCCCCAAAAAGTAAGACCAGGAGGGCTGATACTTGTCTTGTACACAGCTATAAATCCAGCATGCAGCTGGATTTCCTTAGACTTAGTACGTGCTCAACGTCAATTCGTCCAGTGTTGAGGGAGGCCAGCCCCTAGCCACACAGCCACCTTTGCTGGTCTCTGGCCTGGCTAGTCTTCCACACCTCCGCACGGATGTGCTCTGCACAGTGTGGGGCAGGAGCAGGGAGGCCCTGGGTCCTGTGGGGAATTTGGGGAATGTGCATGATTTCCTGTGAGAGGCATGCAGACGGCAATGTTCCCATGTTCTGTGATAGCTGCAAGGTGAGAGGTGCGGTCTTTTACTCAGAGACTGGAAAATAAGATGAAGGTGCCATGTGGGAAAATTGCTTTCATCTGGCTCATGACTGTTTTTTGTTAAGCAGAGGAACGCCAGCCCAAGCAAAAGCTAAGAATATACGATGGCTGAAATTTATTAAGCTTCAGGCCAATGTTCATACATTTGAAATGATGTCAGAGCTCAGAAGACAGAATCACTTAATCTCCTACAGAAGACTGAGAAAAGTTAGTACCCCATAGAAGATCAGTTCCAGGATTTTCCTCCTGGAACAAACACGGGGTGATTAAGGTATAGTTGTCTCTAGCAGAACGAGGGCAGTGGTAACCAGATTTGACACAGTCCCACAGACACCACGGTGGAGACTCCAGCTGGGCCACACTTTCATATGGAAAGAATGGATCTCCACAGGTGACTGAGCACTGTACGGAGACAGCATGTGGAGGGCTTCACTCAGGGGTGGTGTCCTGGGGCAAAGTGGGCTGCTGAACACCGGGCATGGGGTGAGCAAGGAAGGTCCAGCTAGACAGGTTCCCACTGGAGCCAGCCTTTGGGATTCCTGACTCTTCTGCAGCCCACAGGTATATATAGACTATTTTTTTTTTGACAGAGTCTCTTTCTGCTGCCACCCAGGCTGAAGTGCAGTGGCAAAATCTCGGCTCACTGCAACCTCCACCTCCCAGGTGTGAGTGATTCTTCACCTCAGCCACCCAAGTAGCTGAGATTACAGGCATGTGCCAGCATACCTGGTTAATTTTTGTGTTTTTAGTAGAGATGGGGTTTTGCCATGTTGGCCAGGCTGGTCCCGAACTCCTGACCTCAAGTGATCTGCCTGCCTCTGCCTCTCAAAGTGCTGGGATTACAGGTGTGTGTCACCATGCCCGGCCAGGTATATATAAACTCAGAAGGAGGAGCTTGCCTTGGTTAGGCATGTTTCCTAGAAAAGGTTTTGGTGAGGAGACGTTAATGATGAAGCAGTAATTGTCTTTTGGAATGGTGTTTGTCATCTGCTGTGTATGCCCCATGCCAGGTGCTGGGCTGCATTCCACACGTGCATCATTCCTGAGTCCCCACGGTGACCATCCCAGGTCAGTGCTCTGATCAGCCCCATTGTAGGGATGGAACCAAACTTGGAGAGAGTAAAGAACTTGTCCAAGAATATTGACTTAATAAGTGACAGAGGTAGGATTCAAACCTAGGTTTGTTAACCATACGGTGAGTTGGTGCTCTTTTGGAAGCTTGGGAACAGGCTTAGGAGCCCTTAGGATTCTGTCCTGTGCAGCAGGAAGGAATTATATATGGTGAAATAGAGAAATCCATCATCATCAGTGTCCCCAAAGAACCAGAAGCAGATTCCTTAAGATGCATGCACATACGCACACACGCATACACATACACGTCTACACACCCACATCTACACACACGCCCAAGCCAAAAACCAAAACAGACGAGCTAGAACTCTTGACAGCCATGCCTTCCTCTCAGCCACAAAGGGCTTGGTGAATTGGTTTGAGTTGATGTTCAGGCTGGTATTATGTGGCCAAACTAAGTATATAGTCATCCTTTTGGGTTCTGTTTCCTGGAAATACATTTCTGGTTCAGTGTTATAACATCACCCACTTGATAATATCAGAAAGAGATGGTTCGTTTTCAGCAGTTCCCTTTATACAGCCTCATGCCAAAATAAGGAATACCATGCTGAAATTCACAGGAAGGTGGCATAGCTCAGGGTTTATGAACACAAGTTCCTGGAATGACTGCCCAGGCCAAATTCCAATTGCACTACGTATTGCTGTGTGACTCAGGGCTAGTGACTTAAACAATCTGTGTTTTCCTTTCTGCTTCTGTAAGTCAGGGTAAAGATGGTACCTTCCTGTGATCATTAATTTTATGTGTCCACTTGGCTAGGCTATGATACCCAGATATTTGGTTAAATACAAGTCTGGATGTTTCCGTGAAGGTAGTTTAAGATGAGATTAACATTTAAATCAGTGGACTTTTGGTAAAGCAGATGACCCTCCATAGTGTGGGTGGGACTCATCCAGTAAGCTGAAAACCTTAAGAGAAAAAGACTGACGTGCCCCGAGGAAGAGGGGATTCTGCCTCCAGACTGCTTTTGGACTCAAGCTGCAACATCAACTTCTCCCTGAGTCTTCAGCCTGCATGCCTGCCCTGCAGGTTATGGACTTGCAGCCCCTAAAATCACATAAGTCAATTTTTTAAGACCAATCTCTATCTCTCTCTGATATTATACATATATATGTATATGTATGCAGACTGCACGTCCTGAGTTTAATATAATTACTAACGCGATGGACACTGCTCTAGGGCCTTCACATGTAGCAACTCATTTAACCCTCAAAATAACACAATAAGGGAGTGTTGTGGTCAGACTTCCCCAAAAACAGAACCAATAGGAAATATATATACATATATGTATATTTTTATATACACACACACATATATATGCATGTATATGTATGCATATCTATGTACACACATAATATACATACATGTATGTGTGTATATGTATGTGTGTGTGTGTGTGTGTGCATATGTATATGAATGCACCTAGCTAGAAAGACCTAGCTAAAGGCAGGAACCTTGGGCAGCATGTCAGGAATCTGACAGAAACATGCAGAAAGCCAGGAGAATCTCAACCTCTTCTCTATGACTCTGCCTTTTCTCTATCTCTTTCTCCTTGGCATATTACAAAGGCTGTGTGATATAATACCCAATAGGAAAGTGTAGTGGTCAGGCTCCCTCAGAAACAGAACCAACAGGAGATACATATATAGACACACACACACACACACACACACACACACACACACACGTGTATGTGTGTATATATATATCATATTATCATATGTATGTGTGTATGTATGTATATGTGTATATGTATGTGTGTATATCCACACATATATACACATGAACATATATGTATGTGTGTAAATGTATGTGTATATATTATATGTATGTGTGTATATATGTGTGGATATATACACACACATATATACACATATACACATATACACATACATATTATATATATACACACACACACACACACACACACACACACACATACAAGTGTGTGTGCCTATGTATGTATGTATGTATGTACCTATTTATCTATCTAGGTATATCTCCCATTGGTTCTGTTTCTGGGGAAGCCTGACTACTACACGTCCTTACTGGATCATTTTAAGAATTAAATGAGTTGGTACATGTGAAGTCCATAGAGCAGTGTTCAACATGTTAGTAATCATATTAAACTTAGTACTTGCAGTCTGTGTACACTCTTTGCATGATCTAAGGCATTGGGTGGGGCACTGTTCTTGTCCTCAGGAAGAAGACAGTCCCATGGGAGGGCACATGGCCATTGTAATATGCTGAGGAGAAGGAGATAAGAAAAGGCGGAGTCCTAGATAGAGAAGAGGCTGTGATTGCCCTGGCTTTCTGCACATTTCTGTCAGATTCCTGACATGCTGCCCAAGGTTCGAGCGTTTAGCTATGTCTTTCTAGCATTATAAGAAGGGGTGAATTTAAGGGGATGTCAGCTTCCCAAATGTGAGACTGGCTTTTGTACAGGGAAGTTGTTTCTTGTTCAATACTGGGGTTACAGAAGGCAAAGCATCTGATGGACCTGTGCCACTTGGCTTTGATAAAGAGCAGCTGTTTTCCTGGCAGGTGCACATGCCCATCTATGCTAAGGGCTGGCACAGCGGCAGGTTAGTTAGAGAGCAGTTCTCATCCTGGGGAAAGTCAGGGCCCAGGGAGGGAAATCTCCACCTGGAAAGCTGTGATCCCACAGTGTTGCTGAAAAGGACGAGAGGAGGGAGTAGCCAGCACTGATGGAAACCAGGGAGGGCAGTGGAATTTCTGTGGATGATAAGCTGGGGGCCAAGGGGTAAATAGCAAGTCCCAGGAGAAACACCTCCCAGATGGAGGGCACAGTCTGAGTAAGGTCTCACCTCACATGGAGGAAGCAGAGTGAAGTTTGGCTCCAGGGAGAAGGCCTTTGTGTACTGGGAGTGTGGAGGTGAATTGGCATTAGGTGACAGATGTGAGGCCTGTCTAGCCTCAGCAAAGCTCATGCCTAACAAACCCATGACATGATTGTGCACAGTTCATTTTGATGATGAGATGGCAGTGCCATAAGTGCTGATAAACTGCTTTTTCTCTAGCTGTTTTTTCCTGAATTCTAATACAATTTTATGACACCATCCAGAGAAGGACCCCTCAGTGACAAAAGCATTGTCATCTATCACCTCTATCACCCAGCGTGGCACCTTGCTTAAAATAAATTTTTAATATTTCTTTCTAGAAATGAATTAAACTGTAAACTTTTGCTTTTCAGCTCATCCTATCCAACCAGTCAATGTTGAGTGATCATTGGAAGAAATATAATAAAAGAATTTCAGATTTCAAAGGATGCCATGATATTGGCTATCCACCCATCTCACTGAGATGAAGTTACCAAGTGATATGATTTGGTTCTGTGTTCCCACTCCAATCTCATGTCCTGTTGTAATTCCTGGTATTGGAGGAAGGGCCTGGTGGGAGATGAATGGATCATGGGGACGGAATTCCCCCTTGCTGTTCTCGTGATAGTGAGTTCTCATGAGATCTGGTTGTTTGAAAGTGTGTAGCACTTCCCCTTTCTGTCCTGCTCTGACCATGTAAAGATGG
The DNA here is from genome assembly GCF_000001405.40 of Homo sapiens. Taxonomy (NCBI): domain Eukaryota; kingdom Metazoa; phylum Chordata; class Mammalia; order Primates; family Hominidae; genus Homo; species Homo sapiens. Next base: position 8,145,526 of record NC_000002.12, on the reverse strand, counting down.
TGCCTGCTTCCCCTTCACCTTCTGCCATGATTGTAAGTTTCCTAAGGCCTCCACAGCCATATTTCCTGTACAGCCTGCAGAACCATGAGTCAACTAAACCTCCTTTCTTCATAAATTACCCAGTCTCAGGTAGTTCTTTATAGCAGTGTAAAAAATGGACTAATACACCAAGGCATTGAGATCTTAAGCAATTTGCCTAAAATTACCAAGTTGCATAGCTCACCAGATAGGGACCACCCAAATCTTTATAGTTTAGGAAATAGAGTGTAAATGCAAGTCCTCCAGGATCGCATATATTTTCAGATATGGTCTATTCATTTGTTTATGGTTGGTCTTCTTTGTTTTTTTGAGAGTGGTGCTAGTAAGATCGAGTTTGTTGGTCTAGTTTTGTTATAGATGAATTGACTTTTGTCTGTCCCTTGGTGATGGGCCGCACTGCTCACTAGCGCCTGACCTAAAATAATCAGTGGTTGGAGGGCAGCTGAATCAGTGCAAAATCACCTCTTGAGTGTCTAGTGGACATTTTCCAGAACTGTGCTAGCTGCTGGAGCTTAAAGGATGTTAGAAGATGAGTCAGACATGGTTTGTGTCTTTATGAACTCAAAACTGATTGGCAAAATATCATAAATGCAAGAAGAAAAGGGATGAGTAAAAGAAAGAGTGAAATAACCATAGAAAGTGGCTGGCAAGATGACCCAGCTTCCAGCTTCTTCCCCTCATCATGGTAGGTGAGTGTCTCCATCATCTCAGCCAGAGTGCAGTTTTGCTTGTCCACTTAGACAAGAACCAATTGATGCCTTTGCAATAATTTGCCATTTCAAGGAAATGAATTGAGGTTTCCACCCTGAAAATCAAGGATGAGGAAACAGCAAGAAAGAGGCAGGAAGCACTATTTGCAAGCCAGTGAGACTGGAAATGAAGAAGAGAATGAATGTTGTTAGGGCACAGTCCAGAGTTCTTCAGGGCAGACTGCATTTTCTGCAATGAGATAAGAAGAGCAAGGAAACACCAGTTTGTAATAGTGTCTCTCTGGCCAAGAGAGTCTATCTGTGGGCTATGCATGATCTCCCAGGTAGAAAAAAACATTGAGAACAAATTGATTTTGGATGGGAAATTCCTTGCAAAGTTGACAGGTGATTGTAGTGGCACCTTTCACGGAATCCCTTAGAAGCAGAAAACACATAGCGTTTTGATACTTTGAACTGCATGTTTGTTGCCAGGGCCAGCCACCCCAAAAGAGCCCAGCCCACTCATGGCTACATGGCAGCAAATTTCTACACAGGTGCAAAAGGACACTCCTACCCATGCCTGGCTAGGGTGATCTTTGTAGGACCACACAGTTTGTTATGACTAGTTTTCCAGAAATTAACAGAATTAGACACAGAATTAACCCCAAAATATCAAAAAGATAACTATAAGCAACACCTCTAAAATTAAACCCTTTTAAAATAGTACTCAGCCAAGGGACTCTTTGTAACCATTCATAATCCTTTGTCCAGGCTCTAGCACACAATAAATGCATACTAAACATCTGTGGAATGAATAAAAAATGCATAACGATGTAAAAAAGAAATTTAGAAACACATCAACTTAATGTCTTTAACTATGTGTGAACATGCACAGATAATTAAGAAACTGATTACATTTACAGGTTTAGGAAATAATCACTTAGGATAATATTTCATTACAAATTCATTAGAATTAGACTTTTCAGGTTGGCTATGTTGTCTAATTTACCCTCACAACAGAGTAGATACTTCTATGGGCATAAAGTATGTTATACTTTATGTCATACATAAAGTTTTGCAGAAACTAGTGCTCAGAGACATTGAGTGACTGCCATGAATGATTACTGGAATAAAATACGTTGGGCAAATGAATAAGCAACCCACCCGACGTGGCCCAGTCAGTGCAAGCTCGGACAGACAAAGCTGGGGTTTTTTTGGTTCCCACTTAGCACCCTGATTTAAGAGAACTCCTAAGTTAAGCTAAAAAGGGATGTGTTGCTGATGACTCCATCATAACCTGCTTCTCTGGGTTTTGGTTACAGAATCACTAATTGAAAGATATCGCAAAACTTTAACCTCTTTATCCTCATTCTATAGACCATTCCTCCACAAGTGCATATCACTATTCCTCATGCCAGTGTGGAGTTTCGGAAGGTAAGGCTAAGTCACGTCTCCCGCCTCTGCTTCTGTCTCCCTTGTGCTTACCTCCTGTAGTTCCCTGGATTAAGAGCCTGCCTTTCTGTCTCTGTCTCCTTCACCCTATTATAAGCTTCTCAGAGTTGGAGTCTGGGTCACACTCAACTTACTATGCAACCTTCCTGCACAGTGCTTTGTGTATAATAGGTGCTCAAAAATGGCTTACTGTAGAATCAGTGTGACCATTTCACTGGCTTTATCAGTCACATATAAAAGAGATTCTAATTAAATATCTTTTGATGACAGTAATAACAACAAATAATACTACCAGCAATTCTCAGGTTATTGTCACTCCTTCAAACAAGAGAGTGTGTCACAGAAGCCTTTCCTTTGGAAATTGCAAAGACTTGCTTCATCTGTGTCAAAATATTTCAGACCCAAGTATGGCTCCATCACTGGGGATAGGATGATGACAACCTATGGAAGGAAGAAATGAGATTAATACTTCACATCCCAGTTGGCTGGTGTTCCTAACTTGGTTCAGAGAGCCTTCTCCTTTACTCACTGTTTTGGACTATGTACCTCTAAAAACTCTAAAAGGCTAAATCCTACTTTCTGAGTTGGTGTTTATTGAGTCACATGTGATGAGCTGAATATCATGAATGCACGTGAAGGTGGTTACATGAGTTATTGCTTAACACAGCTTTGTAGAAGAACAAAGAGATCATCTTCCATGTAGAGAATCATCCTGCACTGGCAGAGAGCTGTGCTGGATGACCTAATGAGCCTTTTCCATCTCTAATTTCTATGATTCTATGAAAATCATCACCCACTATAAGAAACAGATGTGGGCTGGGTAGACAATGGCTGTGAGGATCCATCTTTCTCCATCAGCCTCTTTCAGAGGCATAGGTTGCCACCTCTCCTCCCCCCCAGCTCTGTGGCAGCTGATGGGATATTTATAGTCCTCTTCCTCAGCCTTCCAATTATAATTATCAATATCTCCACTGATAAAAAAAAAGCCATCATCAGAGTTGTGCACAGTATGTGATAAGCCAAGTTTGAGTTGAACATGAGAATAGTTTCTTTCAATTATGGACAAAAGAGAGGTGCATTTGGTGGCGAGGCTGCCATCTAAACTGTGTTAACGTGGCCATGGGAGAGATCTTTTGCCTCCCTGAAAGCACCTTCCTGGACAAATAGCGAGGTGGAGATGTCGTTATGAGCAGCTATCACTCGAATAGACAATGCTGTCTGTACTGTACAGAGTTAGAGAGTTGCTTTAAATATAATAAATAAAAGTGAAATCTTACACAAGGCAGCACAGCTTAGTAATTGCTGTTTTGGAGCGCACGTCTCTGCAGTTATTTAGCTCAGCATTTCATCTCCAGCTGCAGCACAATTTTTGCCAAATATAGATAAATGAAGTTAAAGTTATTGGCAACCACTAGTTCTGTGTCCCTGTTTTGAGTTTATAGATTTCATAGGAATGGCATTACTTTATTTCTGCAGCAGACAATTGTTCTTCTGAAGTGAGAACTTTTTCCATGGTACAGTCTGCCTGGTGTTTCGACTGAAGTTGGAATTTTTATCAAGAGCTATAAGAACAACAGGAGGGAGATTTCAGTTTGAACTACAGATCAGTTGAAACCTGGAGGTGCAGGGAAGACAGATCCTCAACCCACCCAACATATTTTAAAAGTTTCCAAGCCTTCACAGGGTTTTAATAAGGTATCAGCAAGCGCTTCCTTTGATCCTAGACAGCCTCTCCCCAGCGAAGATTCCATGCCGATATCTGTGGCTGCCCTGACTCACCTACAGAAGCAAGTGGCCCTGTCATCTGAAAGCAGGGTTTGGCTCTAGACTTTTATTTCTGGTGAACTTTGAGTCTGTACAATTTCCTGTTAAAATGACTATCATAGATTTATAGAGTTTAGAGTTAAAAACAACTGCAAGAACTGGAGTTCAACTTTTCACAGCCTACAGCTCACTTCTAAGGTTAATGGTCTCCTGACCTCTTTTTGATCCCTCTTGGGTGAACATAAAGCTTAGCTCTTCAAGAGGCAGATGATGCTATTATCTGTTCTCACTGTTGAAGAGAAGCATGGATCAGGTATTTCTGGTTGACATTAGTTGACAGCCACGATGCCTTTCCCGGGGAATTCTCTTCTTCATCCTTAGCACACTGAGCCCCTAATTATCTTGTTGTGGCTTCATTTCTAGACTCTCTGTTACCCTGCTGGCTTTGTTGCTTTGGGAAAAATACTTTCTAGAACTTACACAGTTGTAAAATGGAAGGAGAAGAAAACACATTTTGGAGGGACATCATTATGTGAGTCAAAGTCAAATTCATTGACACACACATGAAATCTTAATGTCTTTGCCATTAACTAACTTGGAGATACTACTTGGTTAAATTCTTAAAGTTGAGTTTTCTATCACTGTTTATCTCATTTATGTTTATAACAGAGTCATTCCCGTATTTCTTTGCTTGGTGACCCTTCCGTGCATGGTATTAGAGCAAAGTCATTAAATTATTCTTTTTCCTTCTCTTCTTTCCCCTTCCTCCCTCTTTCTGATCTTTTTCATGCTCTAGTTTTCTTTTTCCATGAATGGCTTAAGCCCATTTAAAAGTGGAATATAATTCAGCAATGATAAAATAATTTAAATATTCTAAAAGGCATCTTTTTCAATTTACATAATTTTGGTGATCATGTCTATTGGAAATCCCTTTAGGAAATACCTTTTCAGTCTCATGTCTTTCTACCAAATCTCAAGACTTATTAGGACCTGTCTTTCCTGATTCCTTGTCTTAGAGTTGGGTGTAACCTCCATTGTAGCCTGTGGCAGCTCAATCATGACCTTCCCTACACTGTATGATAGATATCTTTTGATAGATATGATACTTTTCTACATAGCTCCTCCTCACTCCCAAACTGGCTAATAATCACTTTAATTTATTTTCACATTCTAAGTCCTTGTAGGCTAGGAATGGATGCATAGAGAGTCCTCAATATATACCTATAGGCTCAATTAGAATCAATGAATGTGATAAGAACAAAAAAGATGGCCATGGCCTTGACCCGAGAGCCAGTTGAGGTCAACCTTGAGGGTTGGGATTCCTCTCAAAAGCCGTGATTTTCTAGGGCCATTTAAGCCCACCACTAGTGATAGCTTTCTTCCCTCTCTCCCTCCCTCCATCTCTTTCTCTTTCTTCTTTCTCTGTCTTTCAAAAAATTAAGGCAAAATTCACATAACTTAAAATTAGTCATTAACCATTTTAAAATGTGCATTAACCATTTTAAAACATATAATTCAGTGGCATCTAATGCATTCACAATGTTATGCAACCACCAGCTGTCTCTAGTTCCAAGAGATTTTCATCACCCCAAAAGGAAACCGTGTACCCACTAAGTAGCCACTCTCCATTTCCTCCTCTCCCCAGACCCTAGCAACCACCATTATACTATATTAGCTTTTGCATCTTAACATCAAAAGTGTTGGAAACAATTCCTTTGAGCCCTTTTATTTTATTTTATTTGCAAAATGTATGAAACACATTTTGTGCCAGGCACTGTTCTAAGCTCTTGATATAGATGAAGTATTTAACAGCAACACTATACGAGTGTTACTATTTTTATTCCTACTTTACAGATGAAGGGACTGAGGCAGAAAGGAGTGAAGAAATTTTCTCCCAGCCCACAGCTAGTCAATGGCTGAGCCAGCTCGCACACTCACTGCAGCCTGGCTGGAATCTGCTTGTACACACTTGGCTACATTCTCCTCTGCTGTGCTCTGGCCAGGCCTGTGGGCTTCAGGCCCCTGCTCACTGCTCTCCTCCCCTCTCTGCCCTCAGCCTAGCGACACTACCACAAAGTTACCTTATTTTTTCATTTACCGTATAAGGCTGTTTATTTTTCACTTTCTTCTGGTTTTGTTCAAGGGCTTCACGGGGCACTGGGCAATAGAAGGAAGATCCCGTATGAACATCTGTGTTGTAATTTTCCATGACTATCTCAGAATGACCAAAACATGACTACTATTTTCTGGATCAAAAAGTCATGTAGGCTTGATACTGACCTCTTTGGACAAACATGGCTTAGGTAAGAGTCCAAACTCTTTTTTTTGGAAATTGAGCAAGACTGGAAATTTTTTCAGGGAGAAACAACCAAAGTTCATAACCAAATAGCAATGTGTTTGCCTAACCTTGGAGAAACTTTTTTATTTTAAGTTATAAAATTTGACGTTATTGAAAACCTTCCCCCAATGCAAAAGACAATAGAAAGCACGAGAGGACCCAAGGTTGAGAATGTGAAGACTTTGTGTGTGTGCGTGTGTGTGTGTGTGAATGTGAAGACATTGTGTGTGTGCGTGTATGTGTGTGTGAATGTGAAGATATTGTGTGTGTGTGTGTGTGTGTGTGTGTTGCTGTCAAAAGACAAAATCGTGACAGATTTAGTTTAAAGATCTGGATTGGCTCTTATTTGTGATTCTAGAATTGGATACCATCTCATTCTATAAAGTAGAGTGAGTGTTCTGATGAGCTGAGCTGGGGAGGTTGGTTTTATAGACAGGAAAGGGCTGAAGAAGTCAGGCATAGCCAATCAAAAGCAGAGATGTTCTTTGCAGGGTTGAAACAGGGGGACTTCCTCACCCCGCCAGCTGAAACTGGCCTGTTTGCGGATTTGGCTATTATCTTTCTCTCTCTCCTGATTTCTCAGGAGGTCAGATCAACTGCTTAGTTTCAGCTTGGTGGCATGGAACTTGACTAGCAGTATCTCCATTTTGGTTTATTCTGTTGGGCCTAGTGCAGGATCTTAGTCCAAACCAATGGCTTCTTATAAATTCTATTTAACGATATATACAAATACATATATTGAATATATTTTAATTGTACTATAAATGCTTTTCTTAAGTACATAGACATAGGTGTTTTCAAATTTCACCATCATAGGAGTTATTATTTTTATCCATTCTCCAACATTAATCATTTTTATTCTCATAAAACAATATTAGCTTTTCAAACAAGGTATGGAACCTTTAAAAATCACCACGGTTGTGGGTGGGGTTTGGATTTCTTCCTGAGTTTGCTTCTGAAGTGAGTGGTGAGCATTTGGGCGGAGTCCCCTCACCTGTGGGGGTGGGTGCTGGAGTGTGGCTCCTGATGCAGGCCCCTGGAATGGCGAAGGCCATAGTTGTAAGGTGCGCCCATATTACTGGAGTAAACCTAAGTGTCAGGTGCTGTCCTAGGTGCCTCGCAGGTTTCATCTCCTTAAATTCTCCCAACAAATCCATGAAGTCAGTACTATCATCATCCCTTCTTATGCAGCAGGAAACAGAGGCACATTGCACACTCAGCGGTTTCTGCGTGGGGTCTGGATTCATCACCAGCACTAGGAGCTTCGGTGTGTGCTCTTCCTCTTTACTGATCAGCTTCCTTCTCTTTAGATAAACAAAGCCCAAGGAGCTGACTGTGCAATGTGGTCTCCTGCTGGAGTGGTCTGCTGGCTTCTCTGTTTAGTCTCTGTGGAGAGACAGAGAGGGGTCTCATGAACGCTGGTCTGCCAGGAGTCTCTCCAGCCTGTGCGGCTTCTGTGCTTGTGGAGGGTAGATGTCAGGGGACTGGGCTGCAGAATGACCTGAGACTTCCATTCACCCTGTCAAGCCACAGACTTCTGAATGCTGCCAGCTTTCACCTTACAGAGAAAAGGAAAGGTGAAGTCATATTTTATGATTGTAGATTTTTCTTTTCTATGTGGAAGTAGAGTTCTACACTGTATCTCAAAGAAATATAGCCATATATTTTTAGCTAAGGCATGTATTACTTTAGAAAATAATTCAGTACCCAAATTTAAATACTTTTTGCATGGAAGTGTATGGCTTGGTCCCTTTAGCTGTGAGGACTCACATTGATCATGCAGATTCTTAGCACGTCTCTGTGCCTTCTTCAGGCCTGCTAGCAGGTTTCATGCCCAAGTCAAGGCTCTTACATAAGGAAATAAACCTGAAGAAATGTCAACGAGAAACAGCATTCAGTTGAAGAGCTCAGGAATTCAGGTGCCTTTCGCCTCTTACCAATAGAAGAGAAAAGTAGCCCAGTCAAATGGAAAGCACTTGTCATGGGCACGAGATACGTAGGAGGCATTCAACAGATGCCACTAACTGCCTCCTGTCTGCTAACAGGAGGGTCTGAATCAGGCAGGGTCAAGATAACAAATAGATTTAGCTTGGTGTGATGAGTCGGATCACTTGGTAGTGGGTGTATGGAGGGCTTCGATGAAAAGGGTCCTTAGGCTGAGACCTCACTCAGTGGGAAGGTGTGCAGGGATGGATTAGGACGTCTGCCATGGGTAAGCTGGGGCTGAGAGGGGCGTGCACAGTGCTTATTGAACTAGCAACACAGAACAGTAAAATTATGTATTCGAAACTAAGTCCTACTAAAAGTGCTCTTTCAACATTTTACAAACGTTAAACCATGAATTCTACCCACCCTAGGAGATACTTCTTATTAGGTTCATTTGCCAGATGAGAATTAAACAGCTTAAGTAACTGGTCCAAGGTTACATGGCAGTAACTGGGGGAGCCCAGATTTGACCTCATGTCTGTCTCATTTCAAAGTCTTCTTCTTTCTACCACTTTCTGCTGGCTGCAATCAGGAGGCAGCCCTCATGTTTTCTGAGAAGTCAAGTGCATATGACTGATGGTCTTCTTGTCCAGTGTGTCAGTGAAGGACATGGCATTTCCAGATCAGTAGAAGCTCACCTGCATATGGACATAGAGAAAATCACCAGTAGAAATACGGGTTGAGGAGCAATCAGTAGATCAACGGGGCATCCAGCCTTTCCTCTAATATTCCAGATGGACTGTCATCTTCAAAGTGACAAATTGGAAGGATATTCAGCTAATGGAAACATGGAGAACACCTTACATTTACTTATCCACATCCAGATGTTTAGGCTCATTTTTTTTGTTTCTTTTTGAGACAGGATCTCACTCTGTTGCCCAGGCTGCAGTGCAGTAGTACAATCATAGCTCATGACCGTCTTGAACTCCTGGCTCAAGTGATCTTCCTGCCTCAGTCTCCCAAGTAGCTGGGACTATGGGCTGCAGCACCATGCTTGGCTAATTTTAAAAAAAAAGTTGTAGAGATGGGGTCTTGCTATTTTGTCCAGGCTGGTCTTGGACTCCTGGCCTCAAGCAATCCTCCTGCCTTGGTCTCACAATGTGCTGAGATTATAAGCCAAAGCCACCGTGCCTGGCTTCACTTGTTTTAATAAATCCTGAATTATCTGGGTTGTTGGCTCGTGATTTATTACTTTGCTAATCGTGTTTTAGCATGGCCTAGTGGTAAAAGAAAAATTTTAGAGTCCCTCTCTCCTAGTTCTTTCCTCCCATTTTGTATTAACTGAAAAATAAAGGTCTAGTTTTGGCCATGGCTAGTCTCTGAACTGCCCAACTCTGCACTAAATGTGGCTGATGGTGGTGGATCCAGCTTTGTTCATGAAGATCAACAAGTCACATCTGGATTCACATCTTTACCTAAATGTAGAAAACCTCAATTTTCTTGGATCTGCCTGATGTACCTCTATCTTTTGCTGTATTATTTTTTCCTAAATATCTCACTCCACCATCTCACGCCTCCACGTTTCTCTTTTCTCCAAAAACTTAACAACAAAAAGATGTGCTTCTTTCCCCCACTAACCTTCTCCACTAAAGCAAGGAGTTTACGAATTTCAGAAATATACCCTCCTTTTCTTTAATGTGATCCAATGCAAATTTTTTGAATAAGCATGACATGCAAATGATCAGAACATTTTAAAACAGTAATGCCTTCAGAGACTGCATGTTTTAACTTCTCCTTTTCAACAAAGCCAGAGAAAGCTCAGTCTCCACACCAAATAAGGAGCATGCGTTCAGGCACACACGCGCACACCCAGGCTTCCTTCCACCCCACCACACCCTCCTTTTTTTTTTTTTTTTTATTAGAAAACACTTGAAACTTATCATATGCAGCAGATGGGAGTAGAAAATGCAACTTGAAGACAGTTTTATAAATATATCCTTGATGTCTGTTTTGCTTTTCAATTTGCAACGAAAAGTACAAAGGTAGACCGGCGCGCCAGTGAGGGCCGCCTGTGTCTCTTGATATCCATTCCAGATGTTGGCTAGACTTCGTGGAGCCGGGCTTATGGCACGGGGGCTGCAGCCTGGCCTCCTCCTCCAGGTGGGATGCCTCACGCTGATTCCCCACATGCTCCCAGCCTTGTCCAAACACACTAAACTCCACCACCTTTCCTGACCCTAATTTACCTTCCCTAATTCCTGGCTCTCTGGGAGGGGAGTGTCTAGAGACAGGGCCCCATCATATGTTCCTGTTCATCACCTTTCCTCTTCAAAATGAGAATCTTAAAAAAGGAAAAAAGTAAATACAAAGGAAAAAAGAACCCTGGTGCTGTTCGCCAGCCAGTGAGTGACGCCGGCTGCGTATTCCTTTCCGAGATGGTGAGAGGCTGGAGGTCCATTCCACCCCAAGGCCTGCCTCAGCGCTAATGGTGGCTCTGTGTTTGCACATGCTTGTAAAGGATTTCACTCTGTAATATGTTGACTTCCTGATTAAACAATGCAAAGCACAGGAGGAGGTCATAAATCCTGGAGGCGCCAACTTCATTTATCTGAATGTTGGTTACTGTCTAGTGTGGGTAAACAAATGCCAAGGGCATTTATAACCATCTAGGGGGCACCAAGGAGGGGGCCCTGCCCCCTTTTCAGAGAGAGAGCCTTGTCTGAGAGAGAGCCCAAGTCGCTGTCCCTCAGTTCATGCATAGTCCCTTGGGTGGGTACTGCAGAGAGCTTGCAAGGAAGCTGGGGGAAGATTGTCCACAAAACCAAGAGCCGCTGACGGCGCCAGGGCGATTCAGGACACCAGTGGGTGGGGTGGTGGGGACCCATCCACTCTCAGGATGGCACAGTTCTGTACAAGATTTTGTAATAGGAAAAATTTGTAAGGACACAAAAATTCCAGGGAAATTACCAGGAATGACACTCGTTGAAGGTCATGAAGGCCGTTTTCTCCCTGGTAGGTTTCAAAGCAGGAAACGAACTGCACTTGGCGTCACAGTACAAATGGGCATATTCCTCTGGATAAGGGGCAGAAAACAGATGCTGGGGGACGTCTTGCTTTTCCTTTTGCTTCCTCATATAAAAAAAAACCACGTCTTAATTGGCTGTGTCTTTAATATTTTGAATCCTCTGTGTGTGTGTGTGTGTGCGTGTGTGTGTGTGTGTCTGAAGCTGGCGGGAGGCAGGAGGGAGGCAGCAGAGAAATACAGCAAACCATGAAGGAGATTATAGGAAGAAGAAAAACAAAAGTCTGAATTTGGGTTTGCCTTGCTGCTTTGGAGTTCAGATTCTCAGCGATGTGTGTTCAATATAGTAACTTGAAGCTCCACTGAGGTATTGCTAGGGTATCGTTCATTCGTCCTCCAACTAGCAGTGTGTCCTTGGACATGCCACTGAATTAACTGAAACTTGATTTTTTTTTCAACTGTAAATGAGGAAAATAGGGTACCTTGAGGTTTAAATAAAATTTTTAATAAGTGTAGCAGAGTGCTAGAGAAGAAAGTGTTCTTACTACATTTCAGAAATGCAGAATTCAGCAGAAGGGTGATCTATTTAAGACGTGAAATTCTAGAGTTTCCTGTGATAAACCAGTTTTACCTGTCATTAGATTTATTTTCACAGCCCCGTTTGAAGTCTGAGCATGCAGGCAAGAGTAGAGGCAGCATTCTGCGCACCGTGGGGAAGAGCGCCCCCGGGGGCTGTGTTCTAAACGGGGAGACAAGCCGTGGACACATTGGCGGTCCATTTTGGCAAAATGAGCTTTGTTCTGTGGCTTCACTGTCTGGCTGAGGAAAAGGATCCTGGGTATGAGAGAGGCTGGGCTTGGATGTTCCAGTGGGATCAGCTGTGTGTCCATGGGGGGAAACCTGGCGGGCGGGTGCTATGTCCTGCTCCCATTGCTCTGTCTGCCCCAAATCTGTTTCCTCCATTCCCCACTGCTCAAATCTGAGTACCCCCGGATTCTAGCTCAGATGTCTCCTGTGAAATCTTCCCCAGCTCCTGGGCTAAACTCAATCACTCCTTACACCTCCCCAGCCCCACACATTCCTCTTTGTTGTTTTATATTATTTTTTGTTGTACTCTTTCAATGCGGCTGTCTCAGAAGAGCAGGCAGGCTGGGCGTGTCCCACTCTGCCCCACATCCTGGGCGAGGGGGAGCTGTTCCCGAGAAGAGTGGGCTGTCCATGGGAAAGGGAGAGGTGAGAGGCGCTTCCTGGGCCTCCAGGGCGTTTTCCACCCTGCCTCGCGGCCGCATCCAGCAACACAGCAAAGGAGGTGGTGGTACCACATTTGGGGTCAAGGGACTAAGGTTTAAAGAGGTTTATTAACATGCTCAAGACCACACAAATAGTATGTGAATCCAGGTGTTTTTCATTCTATATCCCTTAACTGGACATGACTCTATGGGAAAAAACCCACAGCCAGGACTTGGGGGAGCAGCTGGTCACAGCCAGGGATGTTGCTTAGAGCAGGTGGCCCTGGCGTGTGGCTCCCTGCCCTGTACATCAGGGTTGTTGCAAAATCGGTTTGATGCAGCCACGGTTCAGACCGGCCAGCCTGCTAGCCATCCCACAGGAGCACACAAACGTCTGCAGCTGCATGGCTGGGTCTGAGGACAGCCTTCCCCAGCGGCTCCCTTAGAGAGCTCGCGTGACAGCACATGCACAATAGTGCTGACGATGCACACCAAGTGACCAAAACCAGGTGCGGTTTGGCATCTGGAATAATGCTTACTATTATTTAGCATTTGCCTGGGATTGCAGAGGAAGTGCTGCTAGGCTTCCAAAAGGACAGGAGTGAGCGATTGTCAAGGGTAGCTCCACGGCGATGTTAGGAGACACTGTGACTCAATTGCAGCCTGGCAACTGGTTGTCAAGGGGAAAATATTCTAGAGCTGGATCGACAAATGACTACAGCCTGTGGCCAAATCTGCACCTCAGCCTGTTTTTGCACAAACCAATGCAAACAAACGAATACAAGACAGAGACCCTATGTGGCCTGCAGAGCCTGAATATTTACGATCTGGCTCTTTACAGAAAAGGTGTGCAGACCTCTGTTCTGGAGCACTGTTTTCTTGTTTTTCAAAGTACCTTCCAGACATATGCATATTCAGGCTAGAAGGATGCTGCAGCCAGAGTATGGGAAATGTTGGGGTGAGAAAAGTTAACCAGAGAACTGCACTGAAGAGCCTTGACATCCCCAAGTTCATTTGGCCGAGGCTCTTTCTCCATGGATCACCTTGAGGACAAGTGTTCCAAGAACTGTACTTTGAGAGATGCTGATGTAAAAATTTTTTTTTCTCTTATTTTTTTATTATTATTATTATACTTTAAGTTTTAGGGTACATGTACACAATGTGCAGGTTAGTTACATATGTATACATGTGCCATGTCAATGTGCTGCACCCATTAACTCGTCATTTAGCATTAGGTATATCTCCTAATGCTATCCCTCCCCCCTCCCCCCACCGCACAACAGTCCCCAGAGTGTGATGTTCCCCTTCCTGTGTCCATGTGTTCTCATTGTTCAATTCCCATCTATGAGTGAGAACATGCGGTGTTTGGTTTTTTGTCCTTGCGATAGTTTACTGGGAATGATGATTTCCAGTTTCATCCATGTCCCTACGAAGGACATGAACTCACCTTTTTTATGGCTGCATAGTATTCCATGGTGTTTATGTGCCACATTTTCTTAATCTAGTCTATCATTGTTGGACATTTGGGTTGGTTCCAAGTCTTTGCTATTGTGAATAGTGCCACAATAAACATACGTGTGCATGTGTCTTTATAGCAGCATGATTTATAGTCCTTTGGGTATATACCCAGTAATGGGATGGCTGCGTCAAATGGTATTTCTAGTTCTAGATCCCTGAGGAATCGCCACACTGACTTCCACAATGGCTGAACTAGTTTACAGCCCCACCAACAGTGTAAAAGTGTTCTTATTTCTCCACATCCTCTCCAGCACCTGTTGTTTCCTGACTTTTTAATGATTGCCATTCTAACTGGTGTGAGATGGTATCTCATTGTGGTTTTGATTTGCATTTCTCTGATGGCCAGTGATGATGAGCATTTTTTCATGTGTCTGTTGGCTGCATAAATGTCTTTTGAGAAGTGTCTGCTCATATCCTTTGCCCACTTTTTGATGGGGTTGTTTGTTTTTTTCTTGTAAATTTGTTTGAGTTCATTGTAGATTCTGGATATTAGCCCTTTTTCAGATGAGTAGGTTGCGAAAATTTTCTCCCATTGTGTAGGTTGCCTGTTCACTCTGATGGTAGTTTCTTTTGCTGTGCAGAAGCTCTTTAGTTTAATTAGATCCCATTTGTCAATTTTGGCTTTTGTTGCCATTGCTTTTGGTGTTTTAGACATGAAGTCCTTGCCCATGCCTATGTCCTGAATGGTAATGCCTAGGTTTTCTTCTAGGGTTTTTATGGTTTTAGGTCTAACATTTAAGTCTTTAATCCATCTTGAATTAATTTTTGTATAAGGTGTAAGGAAGGGATCCAGTTTCAGCTTTCTACATATGGCTAGCCAGTTTTCCCAGCACCATTTATTAAATAGGGAAACCTTTCCCCATTGCTTGTTTTTCTCAGGTTTGTCACAGATCAGATAGTTGTAGATATGAGGCATTATTTCTGAGGGCTCTGTTCTGTTCCATTGATCTGTATCTCTGTTTTGGTACCAGTACCATGCTGTTTTGGTGATTGTAGCTTTGTAGTATAGTTTGAAGTCAGGTAGCGTGATGCCTCCAGCTTTGTTCTTTTGGCTTAGGATTGACTTGGCGATGCGGGCTCTTTTTTGGTTCCATATGAACTTTAAAGTAGTTTTTTTCAATTCTGTGAAGAAAGTCATTGGTAGCTTGATGGGGATGGCTTTGAATCTATAAATTACCTTGGGCAGTATGGCCATTTTCACGATATTGATTCTTCCTACCCATGAGCATGGAATGTTCTTCCATTTCTTTGTATCCTCTTTTATTTCATTGAGCAGTGGTTTGTAGTTCTCCTTGAAGAGGTCCTTCACATCCCTTGTAAGTTGGATTCCTAGGTATTTTATTCTCTTTGAAGCAATTGTGAATGGGAGTTCACTCATGATTTGGCTCTCTGTTTGTCTGTTATTGGTGTATAAGAATGCTTGTGATTTTTGTACATTGGTTTTGTATCCTGAGACTTTGCTGAAGTTGCTTATCAGCTTAAGGAGATTTTGGGCTGAGACGATGGGGTTTTCTAGATATACAATCATGTCGTCTGCAAACAGGGACAATTTGACCTCCTGTTTTCCTAATTGAATACCCTTTATTTCCTTCTCCTGCCTGATTGCCCTGGCCAGAACTTCCAACACTATGTTGAATAGGAGTGGTGAGAGAGGGCATCCCTGTCTTGTGCTGGTTTTCAAAGGGAATGCTTCCAGTTTTTGCCCATTCAGTATGATATTGGCTGTGGGTTTGTCATAGATAGCTCTTATTATTTTGAGATACATCCCATCAATACCTAATTTATTGAGTTTTTAGCATGAAGGGTTGTTGAATTTTGTCAAAGGCCTTTTCTGCATCTATTGAGATAATCATGTGGTTTTTGTCTTTGGTTCTGTTTATATGCTGGATAACATTTATTGATTTGCATATATTGAACCAGTCTTGCATCCCAGGGATGAAGCCCACTTAATCATGGTGGATAAGCTTTTTGATGTGCTGCTGGATTTGGTTTGCCAGTATTTTATTGAGGATTTTTGCATCAATGTTCATCAAGGATATTGGTCTAAAATTCTCGTTTTTGGTTGTGTCTCTGCCCGGCTTTGGTATCAGGATGATGCTGGCCTCATAAAATGAGTTAGGGAGGATTCCCTCTTTTTCTATTGATTGGAGTAGTTTCAGAAGGAATGGTACCAGTTCCTCTTTGTACCTCTGGTAGAATTCGGCTGTGAATACATCTGGTCCTGGACTCTTTTTGGTTGGTAAGCTGTTGATTATTGCCACAATTTCAGCTCCTGTTATTGGTCTACTCAGAGATTCAACTTCTTCCTGGTTTAGTCTTGGGAGGGTGTATGTGTCGAGGAATTTATCCATTTCTTCTAGATTTTTTAGTTTATTTGCGTAGAGGTGTTTGTAGTATTCTCTGATGGTAGTTTGTATTTCTGTGGGATCGGTGGTGATATCCCCTTTATCATTTTTTATTGCGTCTGTTTCATTCTTCTCTCTTTTCTTCTTTATTAGTCTTGCTAGCGGTCTATCAATTTTGTTGATCCTTTCAAAAAACCAGCTCCTGGATTCATTAATTTTTTGAAGGGTTTTTGTGTCCCTATTTCCTTCAGTTCTGCTCTGATCTTAGTTATTTCTTGCCTTCTGCTAGCTTTTGAATGTGTTTGCTCTTACTTGTCTAGTTCTTTTAATTGTGATGTTAGGGAGTCAATTTTGGATCTTTCCTGCTTTCTCGTGTGGGCATTTAGTGCTATAAATTTCCCTCTACACACTGCTTTGAATGTGTCCCAGAGATTCTGGTATGTTGTGTCTTTGTTCTCATTGGTTTCAAAGAACATCTTTATTTCTGCCTTCATTTCGTTATGTATCCAGTAGTCATTCAGGAGCAGGTTGTTCAGTTTCCATGTAGTTGAGCGGTTTTGAGTGAGTTTCTTAATCCTGATTTGATTGCACTGTGGTCTGAGAGACAGTTTGTTATAATTTCTGTTCTTTTACATTTGCTGAGGAGAGCTTTACTTCCAACTATGTGGTCAATTTTGGAATAGGTGTGGTGTGGTGCTGAAAAAAAGGTATATTCTGTTGATTTGGGGTGGATAGTTCTGTAGATGTCTATTAGGTCCGCTTGGTGCAGAGCTGAGTTCAATTCCTGGGTATCCTTGTTAACTTTCTGTCTTGTTCATCTGTCTAATATTGACAGTGGGGTGTTAAAGTCTCCCATTATTATTGTGTGGGAGTCTAAGTCTCTTTGTAGGTCACTCAGCACTTGCTTTATGAATCTGGGTGCTCCCGTATTGGGTGCATATATATTTAGGATAGTGAGCTCTTCTTGTTGAATTGATCCCTTTACCATTATGTAATGGCCTTCTTTGTCTCTTTTGATCTTTGTTGGTTTAAAGTCTGTTTTATCAGAGACTAGGATTGCAACCCCTGCCTTTTTTTGTTTTCCATTTGCTTGGTAGATCTTCCTCCATCCTTTTATTTTGAGCCTATGTGTGTCTTTGCATGTGAGATGGGTTTCCTGAATACAGCACACTGATGGGTCTTGACTCTTTATCCAATTTGCCAGTCTGTGTCTTTTAATTGGAGCATTTAGCCCATTTACATTTAAAGTTAATATTGTTATGTGTGAATTTGATACTGTCATTATGATGTTAGCTGATTATTTTGCTCGTTAGTTGATGCAGTTTCTTCCTAATCTCAATGGTCTTTACATTTTGGCATGATTTTGCAGCAGCTGGTACCGGTTGTGCTTTCCATGTTTAGAGCTTCCTTCAGGATCTCTTTTAGGGCAGGCCTGGTGGTGACAAAATCTCTCAGCATTTGCTTGTCTGTAAAGTATTTTATTTCTCCTCCACTTATGAAGCTTAGTTTGGCTGGATATGAAATTCTGGGTTGAAAATTCTTTTCTTTAAGAATGTTGAATATTTGTCCCCACTCTCTTCTGGCTTGTAGAGTTTCTGCCGGGAGATCCACTGTTAGTTGATGGGCTTCCCTTTTTGGGTAACCCGACCTTTCTCTCTGGCTGCCCTTAACATTTTTTCCTTCATTTCAACTTTGGTGAATCTGACAATTATGTGTCTTGGAGTTGTTCTTCTTGAGGAGTATCTTTGTGGCATTCTCTGTATTTCCTGAATCTGAATGTTGGCCTGCCTTGCTAGATTGGGGAAGTTCTCCTGGATAATATCCTGCAGAGTGTTTTCCAACTTGGTTCCATTCTCCCCGTTAAAATTTTAATACAAAGGCATCTCCACCACTTAAATTATAAAATAGCAAAGCACCGGAGAAAGCCACAACTTACAGAGATTCAGCTTTTGAAGATCCCAGTTCTGTCTGGGAGGTTTGACACATGGAAGGACAGAGGAAACTTGAGCCATCCCAACTGATTTTCACTCCTGTGCAGGAGTTAGCTATTTAATTTGGCACAACAGTGGAAACGCTATCTTGGGAAAACTGTATTATCCCAATCAAGTGCCTCAAAATGCTGTCAATAGCAGTGACTGACTTCTAGAAGGCCTGGCCATCGCTCCCTCCTCTCCCCATCAGTCCTTTGGGTTCACTCTGGGCCATGTGATGTTTGTGCACAAGAAATTCTTAGCAGACTGGAGCATAAGTCAGACCAAGCTGAACTGTTTGTTGAGCTCTGAGGCCTCTGACAAGCCTCAGTTAATTGTTTAGTGAGGAGCCCTTGACAGGCCAGATCTGGCCGAGGTAGACAAAGTCTAGCCAGGCTAAAACCAGGATTATAGCAGGACTCAAGTTGCCTTTATTCAAATTCAGACATTTTGTGGTACCTAATCTTGTGCTAGGCATTGTGCTAAGTGTTGGGGGATACACACATAAATGGGGAAATTCTTTTGCTCTCTAGAAACTCATAGTTGATTACTAGATTCCATAAATATTTATTAGTCACCAACTATGTGCTAGGCAGGAACACATGAGAGAGCTGATCCTGGGTTTTATGGAGCTCACAGTGGAGCAGAGAACTTGGGCATCCAGCAAGTAACTGGAAGTACAGGTGGCGGAGTCCCAGTGTTCAAAGAAACCCACAGTCCCTGCTCCCTTGGAGGTCACAGTTCAGTGTGGGAGACAGACATGTGGGTTAAAAGTCCAGTGTCGTGTGGCATTTATAAGAGCAAGGATAAAGATTACTGTGAGCTCATAGAAGCCAGCGATGCTAATTTTGCGTGGAAGTGGAGGAATGCTAGTGGGAGGAGACACTGGTAAGAGGGGAGTAAGGCACCCACAAATCAGAACAGCGGGTAGGGCATTCCAGGCAGAGGGAATGTGCTCCTCCTGAGCATAGGAGCAGAGAAGAGCACGGAGAGTGAGAGGAAGGGCGTGCAGGGTGACCCCGCATGGGAGCTGTGAGGCTGGGAAGGCCCCTGAAGGCCAAGTGAGAAGCTTGTTTTCTGATGAAGTCAAATAGATCGTATGTGCTTCCTGCCAATTATTCAGATGGGTTGAGCTCTCTAGGTCAGCTATCTCATGATGGGGTAGTTTCCCAAGAACGGGCTTGGGTAAGTTACTCCCATGAAAGTGTCAGGCATTGTGCAATTTCATAACATGCCCTTTGAGAAGATAAAGGTGACCTTGTGCTCTGGGATCTACAGGGTTTGTGTCACCAAAGCAACCGGAATGACAACATTTCAAAATTCACTTTTTTTCATCTTATCAGTATCACAATGATCAAGTCAGCTGGTCCCTCAAAAATTTAGAATGTGCCTTTGTAAAACGACACAGATAAGAATTTGCTGATGAAATTATAATTCAGTTCTCATAAACACATGCTGGGTCAAACACATAGTCTTTGTTCCAAAGCCTCCCTCTTGCAATGAAGAAACACTCAGTGGGTTTTGTTGATGTTGCTCTGCCCCTTTTGTCAAAGTACCATGTTACACAAATTCATCTTTTTTAAAAGTGAACATTTAAGTGAGTTTTACCTAAGTATTAGGTTGGTGCAAAAAACTGCAATTACCTCTGCACCACCGTAATATTTTTGCAAGATCCTATTAGTTGAGTGGGGAATGCCCAGGTGGCCCATGGTGTAGCCAGGTGTCCAGAGCCCTGGGTCTGGCTCTGCCATTCACCAGCCACATTGCTTGGGGAACGTTTCATACCTTCTTTGATTGTAATGATTTTAAAAATCAAAGGGAACTTGAAAACAATTTAGTCTTCTCCCCTGATCTCATGGATAAGTGCTCATCTGATTGAAGAGACTGAGACAAGATCTCTGTGCTAGTTACACCAAAACCCAGCTTAGAAATGAGTTATTGGAGTCTCACTCCATGGTGGTTTCTCTTACTTCTTTCCGCCTGATTTGTCTCAGTTTCCTCATCTGTAAAAGGAGGACAAGAATTCCTGCCCTGCCTTCTCCATTGGTTTATGGTGAAGATGACACAAGACAAAATGCGCAGAAGCACACTGGCCCTGGGCTTGCCTACACCTGTGCATGTAACAGAGCCAATGCCACCCTCGGACAGACAGGCGACAGGTCTCATCCTTCATGTCCTTCTCCATCCTTTCCTGCTTTTCATCCTTCACTTATAATAGAAACCTATACATTATGGTAAAAATGATATCTTAGCAATTTAGGAATTTCAGACAAGATATTTATTTCTTGAACACCTGCTGTGTGTCAGCCACCTTTTTAGGTATTTTACCATTCAGAAGAAAAGCAGGGCGGGGGTGGGGGGTGGGTAAGGATTAACATATATTATGTGGATGGAATTTGTGTTTGTGTGTGTGTGTGTGTGTGTGTTGTTTAGTCACATGACTTATTTCATAGAATCATTCTTAAAACCACCCAAGGTGAGGCATTCTTATGGCTAACTTACTAGTGAGTAACTGATAAGTCTCAGACAAATGAAATTACCTTCACACACACACACACACACGTCACAGAACAAAAGCTTTATGAGTCTTACCCTTACTATAGGTGAGAGTTTCTTCATCTCAGCATTATTGACAACTTTGACTGAATTATTCTCTGTGGCAGGTGCTGTCCTGTGAACCGTAGGATGTTTACCAGCATCTCTGACCCCCACCCACCAGGTACCAGGAACCCTTCTGCTCCAGTTAGGACAACAGTGTCTCTAGACATTGCCAATGTTCCTTTGGGGGAAAACTAACCACCGATTGAGAACTAATACCATACATGACATGCTGTTATTTTTTATATGATTCTATATCATATTCTATTTAATTTAGAAAAGCTGATTGCAACCTACTAAATTGATTTCCTGACTCACTAACAGATCTTGGTTTGTCATTTGAAAAATACTATTACGGGATTGTGAAATTAGTGGGATGTTTTATAAAGAAGGGAAATGGGGCCGGGCGCGGTGGCTCACGCCTGTAATCCCAGCACTTTGGGAGGCCGAGGCGGGTGGATCATGAGATCAGGAGATCGAGACCATCCTGGCTAACAAGGTGAAACCCCGTCTCTACTAAAAATACAAAAGATTAGCCGGGCGCGGTGGCGGGCGCCTGTAGTCCCAGCTACTCGGGAGGCTGAGGCAGGAGAAGGGCGTGAACCCGGGAAGCGGAGCTTGCAGTGAGCCGAGATTGCGCCACTGCAGTCTGCAGTCCGGCCTGGGCGACAGAGCGAGACTCCGTCTCAAAAAAAAAAAAAAAAAAAAAAAAAAGAAGGGAAATGGATGACATGATTTCCAGAGGCAGTGTGTTGCAGGTACTTTATAGTAATGAGCAAATCAGCATGACAAATTTTAAGATAAAAATACACTACTCTGAAGGTTGTTTTTAGAGGGGATTTAGTTTTTCCAAATACAAAGACAATAGGCTGTTTGGGAGACCTAGTAAATTGTTCAGAGGTGAATTCTTCGGCTGAACATTTGGGGAGGGGCCCATACAGCTGGCAGGAATGTGCAGGGTCCTCCCCAGGGTCCTCCCCAGGGTCCTCCCCTGCCTCCCTGAAGAGCTGGAATGCAGGTGCCTTCAGGATCTGGGAATGTGAAATGATGAAAGGATTTTTTCATTGAAGGATTTATTTGCAAACACGATCCAGAAAAAAGACAAATGATTTTATCAAAAGGTAAAACAAGTAAATGTCACCAGAAAAAGCTATGAACAGTAGGGTTTTCCCTTCTCCTTAAAGGGAGTGCAGCCTTGTACACAATTTTATTAGAACTCTGAGTCTGAAGGCATGCTTGGCATTGGCACTAGATTACTGTGTCTTCCTCAGCACTTTCACTGTTTAGATAACAGTGTAAACTAGGTCCCACAATAAGCAACTGGGTCACTGGTTTGGAGTCAGATGGGTCAGAGTTCGAATCCGGGTTCTGCCTGCTTGGTATGGAAGCTTGGACAAATGATGTTGGTCTTCTAAGATTCATGTTTTTAAATCTTTAAAATAGAAATGACAATATCTGTCTCAAAGCCATCTCAGGGCTTATAAATGTTGTATTAAAAGAAATAAATAGCTCAGTGCCTGGTATTTAGTAAGTATTCAGTGAGTATCATAAACACGACGATCATTACCAAGGGTAGCAGTGATATTATACAAAATCCTAGGCACTGCATACCCTCTGGGACTGGGCTTGTCTGCACCTGTGCATGTGGAAGAGCAAATGACACCCTCGGACAGACGGGCGATGAGTCTCATGCTTCATGTCCTTCTCCACCCTTTCCTGCTTTTCTTCCCTCACTTATAATAGAAACCTACACGTTATGGTAAAAATGACATATTAGCAATTTGCGTATTATGCTCTGATTCGCTGTTTCTTGGTAGAGAGTGAGCTATAAGGAACCCCATTTTTCATTGGGAGCCTAATAGGATCTGCTCAGAAACAGCAGCTGATGACCAGAAATGAGCCACACCCTGACGGCGGGAAGCTTCCAAGTCTCAGGAAAGGACCTCGTGAATCCCCTCTGCCTCCCATTCCAGCTGCGTCACAGGGAGGGAGAACTTCTGAAAACAGGGCTGTGAATGTCTGGTGGCTCAGCTACTTAGCTTCTTAAAGGGAAATAATGGTAGCTTGTAACTCTGTTCCTGGATCAGTGAGGGAGGATAGATGACAATCTATGGAAGGAGAAATTCTGAATTTGCATTATTTCTTGTTGTACCTTTTACAAAGTCTGATGTTAAAAACTGATATTAAACAAAACAAGCATCAGATTGGATGTATGTCCAACAAAAGCAAGGTGGTGACTGAAATCACGGAGGGGTATCTGTGCACGTGGTCTTGCCTGTCCATGCCACTTAGAAACGCTACTTCATCAGAGAGCCTCTCACCGGGTTGGAGCAGTGCCTGGGCAGCCTGTTAGTAACAACAGTTTATAACAGAAAATAAGTCTGATTCTGTTCCAATTTTTATTTTCTCTTTTTTTAATTTTTTCATACTTAAGGTGATAATTTTGGAGGAGAAATGATCCACATAGTTGATACTTCCTTTTATAAGATGGAAGATTGAATGAGATAATATATTTCATAAGCTGTGGCATAATTTTATCTGTGTAAGGTTTGTCAAAATGACCACTAAGAAGGTACAAAAGTCTGGAGAGAAAATGATGAAACTTGGTGATTACAGAATGATACATTCTTGAAATTTTTGGCAAGTGCAGATAGGAAAGAAGATCCAGCAATAAATGCATCCTCTACTCTTCTTTGGACATAGGTCAGTGGGTTCTAAAATAGGTTATGGCCACAGCAGGAATTGTCCTGCAAGACAGCTCTCAACACCTAACCCGCCTTTGCACATCAAAGGACATTAAGGTGCTTTTGAAAATCTCATTCTTGGTGACTATCATAGTTAGAAGGGCCTTTTTTTTTTTTTTTTTAAGATGCTTTAAGAAAAGCAGAAGGCAGAATACCTAGAGGCAACACTAAAATGAATCAGTAACGGATTTAAGCTCGAATGCTTACAAAACCACCCAGCCCAGCAGATTCCAAAATTCACCCTGGTTACACCGTGAAATTCTTTTTTCTAAAAAAGGCCTGCCATTGGAAAGCCTGTTATACAAAATAAATAAATAATATAGCTACGCCAGGGATGGCGAGGAGCAGTGGATTCCCACCCACTCTCCTCTCCCCATCTACCTTCCAGGCACCCCCTCTCCACCCACAGCCCCTTGCCCAGTGCCTCTCACGGATAGACCTGGGTGGGCTCTGAGGTGAGGAGGCTCCCTTCAGGCAGCTGAAGGTCCCCCTGAGCAGTGTCAGCCAGAAGCATCCCATTGCTCAATGCCTGGGTAGACCCTTCCATCCACGACCAGGGCAGGGGGAATGAATGCCCTGAAGACATGATTTGTAGGACTAAGTGTTTTAGTGAAACTTGTGATTCACAGATATCCTCATAGAATTCCAAGTATGCATTTTCAGCACGTATTTTTTCGCAAACCCAGTGTCTGGCCCATACATGAAAATTCTCAGATAATGATGAAATGTTCTAGTTGAATTCCAGGCAGCAGGAATGGAAATCTCCTATAAATGTACCTTGCCCTTCTCTCTGGCATGCAAGGATCAGTGTTGGGATTCAGCCTCTTTGGCATTCCTCCTCTTTATGAACACGTTCATAGAAAAAGGAAAGTACTATTATTAAAATAGATTATCTCTGAGTTTAAGTATGACTGTGTGTGTGTAGATACATACATACTTAACTATATATCTATCTAGTTAAGTCACTAACTAGTGACTGTGTGTATAGATAGATAGGTAGTTAAGTATGTATCTATCTATACACACACTTATATATGTATATGTAGATCTTTTTTCTTTTTCACTACTGACCACCAACAACTGACAATCTGGAATCCTGACTGCTTTCATAACTGAAACCAAGGGTTTGTTGAATATTCAAAAGTTTACACAATGTTCGGGAGTCCTAACGTCGAATCTGAGCGTCTCTTAGAAAGTGTTCTTACATTGAACTTCGGAATAGGGTGATATTTTCCGTTGATCAGTGAAGGAGGATTCTGATTTCCATGTGGTGTCCAATCCTGCCTTCCTGTGATGAGCTTTTAAAAAGCATAGAGAACTTTTGAAGGCAACAAAGGGAGGCTCTTCTACCTGAAAACACACACACTCTCTCACTGCAACCTGCATGCCTTTTATAGTGACAAACTGTAATTGTTTAAAACTTGGCTCTCTCCTCTTCCCTCAGTAAGAAGTAGAAGTCTGCCAGTTTGAACTTTAATGGTCTCAGCTGTTTTGGAATGGTGTAATCACATTGTGAGATTCATTTTACAGCTGGACCAGTGAATCATATTCATTCACAAAACCAGTTTTACCTGGTTGGTTCCAGTTTTCCTCTATGTGCACTCACAGGGGCATAGATTTACCTCTGGCCTTGACCAAGGAAATGTTTAATCCTGGAGGAAATTGTCGTTGTGGTTATTCTGGGGCTCTGTGCAGTGTGCCTGCTCCCCGAGGAGCTCTCTAGCCAGATGAGAAAGGGGGCTTGTATTGGGAGCATTCTCAGACACACTGAGAAAGTCTTGCATATGCAGCAATTTTAGTTTCTATTTCTGAGAATTTTGTCAGGAGTCTTGACAATCAATGAGGACTGAAAACAATTAGTCACAGTTGTGGATTTCTCGTTAGGTTCACGGTCAGAATGTGCTTCACAGGGAAAGGCACGTCTGAAGGCAAAGAGCAGGGCTGTGCTGAATGCGTTTTTTCACCGGACAATGGGATTTCAGTCTGTGGCTCAGGAAACATTGTGACATTCCCTTTGTTTAATCAAAGTTCTTTCCAACTCTCAAAGGCTGGCTGATTTGAGAGCCGCCTTATCTTCCCTATCTCTGATAGACGATGCAGTTGGTGTTGAAATTTTTACAGCTAATCTGAGCAAAATGTTTTCAAGCAGTACAAACACAGCCAAATGATGTCGTTCTTATGCTTGTTATCAATAAAAGAAATTTCCAGATTTCCCTGAATCAGGCAGGGACTCTGTTTTCTTTCATTCCTTCCAGTGCCCAGGTGAACTCACATAGATTCAGAAAGCAGGGATTCAGGAACAAGGAAACAAGCCCTCCACTGCTGGGAGAGGCGTGGGGAAAACTGAAACAGGGGAACTCTCGGAAGAAATGACAACCTGTTCCTCCTGCCTTTTGGGATCTTGCGATGTGGGCCCGGATTTGCTTTATATCATTTTCTTGTTGTTCCATGTCACGTGGAAGAATGGTATGTTGGGAAGAGGATTCCGTCCATGCTTCCAGAGAGCTCCATGTGTGTTCAGCGCAGAGCAAGTGCTGCCCTGCAGCTGCGTGTAGGTCAGGGAGAGATAGCCTTGTGGGCAAGCCAGAGTTCCAGAAGGTTCAGAAGGCCCAGACAATTCAGAAGTTTGCTTCAGCGTGTAGCGGGTGTGGGCATTTCTTTCTAGTTGGTAGTGGGGACTGGAGGAAGCCTGGAGCTGCTTTGGAGAGGGGTCTTGGAAGCTTGGCAGGGATTCGCAGGGGAGGGAAAGATGCTCCTCCCACAGCACTGGGTAGATAAGGACACACCCACATGACCCAGCCCGCGTCTAAATGGCTCAGGCAGCCCTTCAACCCAGCACACCATGGAATCACTCTATTTCCTGGGCTCTTCTGTTCAACCTCCTGCATTTCTGTTTTTTTATCTGTAAATTGGGGCTAATACTCACCTTCCAAGTTTGTTAAATAGAAGTTAAATAAGATTTATCTATAAATCTTGCATCTATCTATCTTTCTTTTTATCTAACTATCTGTCCATCTGTCTGACTGTATATCTATCTGTCTATCTACCATGTCTGGCGCATAACACACGAAGTTAGGGAGGCACCAAAGCTGGAATAAACATTGGTTCCCTTCTCACTGTGAGCTCCTCTGCTCCCTTTTCCAGCCTCCATGTATATAGCCTCAGATTCGACAGAGCAGGATTGAAGTTTTTGCCTGTTAGTTTGTTTTCTTTGTCTTGTCCAATATCTCTTCTCCATGGCTCCGGGCCTTCTGCTTTGCTGTTTTAAGCGCACACTGAGCTCACCAGGGAGAACCTGTGTCTGAAGCCACCCCCTGCGACTGCCCTGAGCAGAGTCAGTTTTCCAGGCTCCATGTAGTGTCCTCATCCTGCATTCTTCCTTCACACCCCCCAAGCCTCCTTCTGCCTCTGCGCGATCCTCTGCGTGGACGCATTTCAGAGGCACGGACATCATTGTAACAGAGGTGGTTTCATATCACTTCCTTGTCTTTTGTTTCCCAGCCTTGGAGGAGGCTGTCTGCAAACACTGGCAGTATTCTTAGAGGAAGCTTGGGTTTGGGGCCTAGACACATCCAGTCTCCATGAAACGATGAGAACAGCTGTCCTGAAATGACAGAGCAAGAAACCTGCGCAGCAACAGCCTCAGAGAGGCCCCTTAATATACCTTCTCTACTATGAAAAATCAGGTAAATTGCAAGCATGGCATGAAAACATATTTGCTTTGCTCAAATCTTATACGATGTATTTGGAACAAAGGCCGCCTGAGGGAAAGGCATGCTGGTTCCACATCTCAACTCTGCTCCTTGCCTGCTTTCTGTTCAGAATTGGAAGGAGAATGATGGGAAGCTTGGGGAAGGTGGACAAAGTGAGCTGGATGCAGCTTCACTCTGTGCACACATTACCTTTTAATAATTTGATAATGAAAAGAAGAACTGGAGTCAGGAAAGATGGGCTGCAGAGATGGGCTGTAGGCGGGTAGCAAGGATGACAGGAAACCTTGGGAGTTTCGGGATCTAAAGTTGTGGATTTACAACCAAATATTTTTTCCTTTCCTTAACATGACTCTAGCTCTGTGCTTTGGACTTACCTGGTAGCCCACAGCTGCTGCAAATTGATTTATTTTCTTATGATCCTTGAAGCCGCCACTATAACATCAGACACACTGCTTCTCAGGCTGTTTTCTTAAGACACGTTAAGGTTTTTGTTTTGTTTTGTTTTTTTCGTTTAGTTTCTCTTATTCTTTCTACCATCTGGTATATTAGGGTGCAAAGGATGGCTTATAACTACTCTTTTTCCAAATAGAGATTGTTTTGAGATGTATGTGCTTGGGGAAGTATTGGGGGAAGATGCATCATGTGATTACCATAAAATATTCCAAGACAACTGTTATACCGGACCGTGAAGCCTATTGCTTTCTCTTAAAAATACCTTCATCAATTCCCTTTTTTGGTTACTATTTCTTTTTTTTTTGAGAGGAAGTCTCACTCTTGTCACCCAGGCTGGAGTGCAATAGCGCCATCTCGGCTCACTGCAAACTCCGCCTCCTGGGTTCAAGCGATTCTCCTGCCTCAGCCTCCTGAGTAGCTGGGATTACAGGTGCCTGCCACCATGCCAGCTAATTTTTGTATTTTTAGTAGAGATGGGGTTTCACCATATTGGTCAGGCTGGTCTCGAACTTCTGACCTCAGGTTATCCACCCGCCTTGGCCTCCCAAAGTTGGTTACTATTTCTCATCCTTTTAAGACAAGGTGAGTTGGGCCAGAAATGAAGAGAAATCTGCCCTGGCCTAAGGGGTCTAACTCCCTGCTCCATTAGGTAACCGGGCAGCCATCCTCAGAGCTGAGCCAAGGCATGGAAACGTCTCCAAGCAGTGGAGGTGCACCCTAGGGAGGTCACTCTGTGCTGCTTGGTCCAGGAAGCTGTCTGCTTCCTCCCTTGGAAGGAAGAGCAGAGCTACCGTGAAGGAAGGAGCAATGCAGAGGACAGGACTGAGGTGTGGACAGCCCAGCCCAGTGGGAGGAGCATAGGGTTTGGAGCCGGGCAGACCTGGTTTCAGTTCCCTTTCCACCACTTTCTAACCCTCGACCGAACCATTTCATGCTTTTGAATCTTGAGCATTTCAGGTATTCAAGGAGTCGAGTGCTAACCACCTCATAGGAGTGTTGTGAGGCTGGAGATGGATGAGGCCACGTGTGTACAACCTCCTCTATGCCAGCATAGGGTAGATGCTCATGTGGTATCTATTGTTGCCATTACTTTTTGTCTGGCAACAGTAATGTTGGAATCTGGTTAAGCAGAGTGGTAGGAGCCTGTCTGGAAGGGGTCATTGTTTTTGTATGAAATCTCTCCCTCCTGCTCTTTCCCCCTTTGGGGGATGTTTCCTGTGGACTTGCCAGCTCCATCTGCAATTCTGAATTCAAGACTCCATTTGTGGGGGCTTCCAGAGCCTTCTGGAAGGCTCAACTTGTCCAGTTTACTAACTCTGAGAATGCTTACCTGCACGTTATAGCTAAATTGCTCATGAGAGCAATTTGTAACATCACCCTGAGGGAGAGGCCACATCAATAAAAACACGGGATAGAATGGGGTTGCCTGGAAGGGGGTGGAAATCATGTAAACTCACATGAACAGCAGCTGTGTTTACCTCTCTTGGACTTGGGGGTTTGAGCATCACCTAAAATCTGGAGTCCCATGGCTCAGGAAGGCATCTCAGTGTATGCTCTGAACCATGGGGTGTTACTCCCGCTTTTCAGCCTGGGTTTGATAGTAGCCCTAGAAATCCAGTCACCCATAATTTGCATTGCCAACAGCACATTTCCAATTAAAAGCACAAGTTTGTGGGTATGAATCATGTACTTTGTATAAATTCTGCTATGTGACGATTTATTTTCTTGACACCAAATAAATTACACACAGTGAACTTGGCCTACTTTTACACCTCCTCCTCAATGGATTCTGGGTGAGCATAAAGGGAATTGATTAGAATGACAACTAATTTACTGGGTGATGAGGACCCCATAATTTGGACCCCGTAGGCAAATTATTTTAAAGAAGTGAGGAGTCAAAATAGCTTTTATGAATCAAAGGGTTTTATAATTCCTAAGGGTCCTTCCAGTTATAAAAACTCACCTACCACGTGCAATACAAAGGTTAACCTCCCCAACGGGAACATCAAAGCCCCAAGTCAGCCCACACTTGAAATCTTGAAAGAGGCACTCATTACACACAGCCCTAGTGACCTACTTGCCAGGACCGGCTTCTCTTCCCTGTGCACTGAGGAAGTACAAGGAAGGAAGAATTTCAAAGAAAAGTCTGATTTTGAAACCTACTTAATTGTAATAAACTGATGTCTTACTGGCCTGTTTTTAAAGCTAGCTTTAATACCAAGTGTCCCTTTAAAAAGAAGGCATTTTACAAGCCGGGTGGCATATAGCATGCTCCTGGGTCCTGATGCTATGGACTGACTACGGTTGACTTTCCTTCCCCTGTTACCTGGAACAAAGACCATTAGAATTGAGGTCACACAATCAAAAAAGCTAGAAGTAACCATGAAGCCCCTTCCAATCCTTACCTGTGCAAATGAAGAAACTGAGGCCCAGGACCAGAGAGAGCATTTTTGTTTTCCAGCACACACAGCATCCTGGAGAGGGTTACAACCACATGGGGAGCACCAGGGATACTTGAAGATATTTTGACCAGGGCTCCTTTTCCACCTACGGTGCCTTTGCTGCTCAAACTAGCAAGTCTGAGGCCCAGCATCTTGGCATTATTTAGAAACTTCTCACAAATGCAGAGTGAGAAGTTCAGAGTCCTCAGGTTCTGGCCCAGTCCAGAATCAGAGTCTGCATTTGGCCTCATTGGCCACTTCCATCATACCAGAAAAGAGACAAAAAACAGTGAAGCCACCTCCTAATTTGAATCCAGTTTAATTCCGTGAAATTAATTGTGTGTCTTTATCTCTACACAAATTAACCCTCCCCTTCCCCCACCATACACGTCCGTTCATACAGCCATACCTCGGAGATGCTGCATGTTTGGTTCTAGACCACTGCAGCAAAATGAATATTGCAACGATGTTGTAGTCTATTAAACACGCAGTAGCATCATGTCTAAAAAAGTGGACATATCTTTTTTTTTTTTTTTGAGATGGAGTCTCCCTCTGTCAGCATGATCTTGGCTCACTGCAGCCTCCACCTCCTGGGTTCAAGGAATTCTCCTGCCTCAGACTCCTGAGTAGCTGGGATTACAGGCATGCACCACCATACCCGGCTAATTTTTGTATTTTTAGTAGAGATGGGGTTTCTCCATGTTGGCCAGGCTTCTCTTGAACTTCTGACCTCAAGTGATCCTCCTGCCTTGGTCTCCCAAAGTGCTGGGATTACAGGCATGAGCCACAGCCTGAGCCATGGTCAAAAATGGACATATCTTAATTAAATACTTTATTGCTGAAACTTGCTAACTAAATCTGAGCCTTCAGTGAGCTGTAATTTTTTGCTGGTGGAGCATCTTGCCTCAATATTAATGGCTGCTACCTGACCAATATGGTAGCTGCTGAAGATTGGGGTAATTTCTTAAAATGGCAATTCCTTAAAATAAGGCAACAGTAAAGTTTAACGCATCAGTAGTTTTTTTGTTTTTTTTTTTTCCCCCTTTCATACAAAAGTTATCTGTAGCAGGTAATGCTGTTCGATAGCATTTCATCCACAGTAGAACTTCTTTCAAAACTGGAGTCAATCCTCTCAAACCCTCAAATGTAGCTTATTAACTACATTTATGTAATATTCTAAATCCTTTGTTGTCATTTCAATGATGTTGACAGCATCTTCATCAGGAGTAGTTTCCATCCCAAGGAACCTCTTTCTTTACTCATCCATAAGAAACAACTCCTAATTTATTCAGGTTTTATCAAGAGATTGCAGCAATTGAGTCACATCTCAAGCTCCACTTCTAATTTTAATTATCTTGCTGTTCCTACCACATCTGCAGTTACCTTCACTGAAGTCTTGAACTCCTCAAAGTCATCCATGAGGATAGGAATAAACTTCTTGCAAACTCCTACTAATCTTGATATTTTGACTTCCTCCCATGAATCACAAATGTTCTTAATGGTATCTAGAGTGGTGAATCTTTTCCCGAAGGTTTTCAATTTACTTAGCCCATATTCATCATGGGAATCACTATGGCAACCTTACAAAATGTAATCCTTAAATAATAAGACTTGAAAGTTGAAATTACTCCTTGACCCCATGGGCTGCAGAATGGATATTGTGTTAGCAGGCAGGAAAACAACATTAGTCTCTTTGTACATTTTCATCAGAGCTCTTGGGCAGCCAAGCACATTGTCAATGTCCAGTAATATTTGGAAAGGAATCTTTTCTCTTTTTTTCTTTTTTTGGAGCAGTACATCTCAACAGTGGGCAGAAAATATTCAGTAAACCATGCTGAAAACAGAGGTGTTATCATCAAGGTTTCAGAGTTCCATTTCTAGAGCACAGGCAGAATTGATTTATTATAATTCTTAAAATCCCCAGCATTTTTGAATTGATAAACGATCATTGGCTTCAAACTGAAAGTCGCCAGTTGCATTAGCTCTTTTCTTATGGCTCATTGGTCAACTTGAATGCATTACCTTTTAACAGGAGAGTCAGCTTATCTTGTGAAGCTTTGAAGCCAGGCATTGACTTCTCTTGTCTAGGTATAGAAGTTCTAAATGGCATCTTCTTCTAATAGAAGGCATTTTGTCTATGTTAAACATCTGTTGTTAGGTGTAGCCACCTTTTCCAGTGATCTTAGCTAGATCTTCTGGATAACTTGCTGCAGATTCTCCATCAGCAATTGCTGCTTTACCTTGAACTTTTATGTTCTGGAGATGGCTTCTTTCCTTAAACCTCATGAACTAAACTCTGTTAGCTCCAAGCTATTCTTTGGCAGCTTCCTCACCTTTCTCAGACTTTATGAAATTGAAGAGAGTTAGGGCCTTGCTCTGGATTAGGCTATGGCATAAGGGAATGTTGTGGCTCCTTTGATCTTCCGTCCAGACCACTAAAACTTTCTTCACATCAGCAAGAAGTTTGTTTTGCTATCTTATTATTTGTGTGTTCACTGGAGTAGCATTTTAATTTCCTTCAAAAACTTTTCCTTTGTATACACAACTTGGCAAAGTGTTTAGTGCAAGAGCCTAGCTTTTAGCCTATCTCAGTTTGAACATACCTTCCTCACTAAGCTTAATCATTTCTAGTTTTTAAGTAAGATATGTACAACTCTTTCTTTTGCTTGGACACTTAAAGGCCATTTTTGGGTTATTGATTGGTCTAAATTCAATACTATTGTGTCTCAGGAAATAGGGAGGTATGAGAAGAGGGAGAGAGATGGGGACACAGCCATTCTGTGGAGCAGGTCAGAACACACACAACATTTATCAATTAAGTTCTCTGTCTTACATGGGCCTCACTTTTGGTCCCCCCAAACAATTAACAATAGTAACATTGAAGATCACTGATCACAGATCAACATAACGGAGATAACAATAATCAAAAATTTTAAAATATTGTGAAAGTTGCCAAAATGTGATGCAGAAACATGAAATGAGCATATGCTGTTGGAAAACATGGCTTCAACGGACTTTCTCAATGTGGGGTTGCCACAAAACTTCAATTCATAAAAAATGTGATATCTGTGAAATGCAATAAAGGTTAATGCAATAAAATATTATATCCTTGTAACACATCAAATTTTTAATTGGCTACTAAGTGCTTTGGATATTTTTCCTTAAATATTTCTGACTGTGCAATGCCCTCCTACTCCTCAGCCCCATATCCAAAGTTCCTTTGCCTCTGGTCTTCTTAACATTCTTCCCCACAGACACCAGAGTGGCTTTTACAAAATCCAATCTGCGCAACTTAAATCTTCATGGGATCTTCTACAGACCAAATTGCATCCCCCAAAGTTGCTATGTTGAAGTCTTCACCCTCAATGTGATGGAATTTGGAAGTAGAGCCTTTGGGAGATAATCAGGTGTAGATGAAATCATGAGGGCTGTGCCCGCATAATGGGATTTGTGTTCTTCTAAGAAGAGACACCTGAGAACTTTCCTCCTGTCTCTCTCTGCCATGTGAGGACATAGCAAGAAGGCAGCTGCCTGCAAACCAGGAAGAGAGCCCTCACCAGAACCAGTCCATGCGGGCATTCTGATCTGTTTTCCAGCTTCCAGAACTGTGATAAATAAATGTCTCTTATTTAAACACAGCCTATGATACTTTGATATGGCAGTCCAAGCAGACTAAGATAGGTTCTATTCTTTTTAAAAGGGAATGTACTATACAAACTCCCTAAAATGACATGAAGATCATTTGTAATTTGGGCACCTTGTAAGTGTTCAGCAGATGTTTTCTGATTGTGCAATTAAACTGCTCAGTGCTATGTCTTAGAAATGGATCCAAAGGTTGAAATGGTGGTGGAGGAGGGTGAGCTTATTCCGGGAATCATACAAGGGGGTGTTTAATTTTATGCTGCTTCACTGTCTGTACTGGTTAATTTCATGTATCATCTTGACTGAGACATGGGCTGCCCAGACATTTGGTCAATCATTATTCTGGCTGTGTCTGTGAGGGTGTTTTGGATGACATTAACATTTAAGTTGCTAGATTGAGTAAAGAAGTTTGACTTTCCTAAAGTGAGTGGGCCTCATTCAATCAATTGAAGACCCGAATAGAACAAAAAGGCTGAGTAAACAAGAACTCCTCCTGCCTGACTGCTTGAGCTGGGACACCAGTCTTTTCTTGTCTTTGGACTTGAATTGAAATGTTGGTTCTTTTTGGGTCCCCAGCCTGCTGCTTTCCACAGTAAAACTTACACCACTGGTGTCTTTGTCAGTTAGAGCTGCTATAACAAAAAATATGATAGACTGGGAGGTTCAAACAACAGACACTTATTTCTCACAGTTCTGGAGGCTGGAAAGTCCAAGCGCAAGGTGCTGGCAGATGCAGTGTCTGGCGAGGGCCTCTGCTTCTTGGCTTGTAGACAGCCTCCTGCTCACTGCATCCTCATGTGGCAGAGAGAGCTCCAGTCTCTTTCTCTTCTTGTAAGGACACCAATTCCATCATGTGGGCTCTATCTTCATCAACTCACCTAAACCTAATGATGTCCCAAAGCCCTCACCTCCTGATACCATCCTATTGGGAGTTAGGGTTTCAGCATGTGAATTCTGGGGGGACACAAATATGTAATTTTGTGAAAGCATTCAGCTTTCCTCTTTCTTAAGCTTTCAGACTCAGACTCAGACTAGAACCATCACGTTTCATGCTTCTCCAGCTTGCCAACTGCAGATCTTGGGAACTCCCAACCTTCAGCATCACATGAGCAAATTCCTTATGATACATCTATCTGGTTCTGCTTCTATTGGTTCTGTTTCTCTGTGGAACCCTGACTAATGAATACAGTGTCTTTAGGATAGCAGCACCAGGGCAGGAGGCAGTAGTGTGGTGTGGGCTCAGCCCTCTCAGCCCTTCTGCTCCTCCGCCTGGCCCAGCTGAAGACAATGCCCCTGGGAGGGCGACCTGGCCATGCTGTGGGATACCAGGAGGAAATCAAGCAATACTTAGAGGCAAAACACAGCCTTCCCCAGGGATGACTGGAGTTGAGCAGGAGGCATCTTTGTTTCTGCTGAGGGTGACGGCCATGCTCAGAGTGTGGGTACTGGCATTGCCAGGAGCATGCTGAGACCCGGTGCCCACCCTCACCCTCCTGAGCCCCCAGACTCTCCTCTCTTGAATGAGTCTGATGGAAGGCAGCCATCTGCTCTCAGGCCCTGCATGCCTCCACTACAGAGTGACGACTAAAGGGTCTTCACTAGGATTTCATTTCTTTGAATTCTCTCACTGAATTCCAACATTAAAGGGGATAGCAGCACCATCTAGAAAATGAGTTTCTGCAAAATCTGGGCCAGAAGTTAGTAACTTCTTGAACAATTTTGCATTTAGCTTTATTTTGTGATTTATTATTTTTAAATTTGGATGGTATAGAATCTTGAGTGGAATAATGGAGACCAGGGGAGGGGCTAGGTTTTGTGCACTGACGCATATACAATTTGGGGGGCTCTCTTTAAGAAAAAAATAAAAATTATGACACAAAATGAAAGTGAATATTTATTTAGAATGAGAAAAGAAACCAAATTTTAAAAAGTTATAAAGTAGCACAAATACCAAAAAAATCTAGAAAAATAGCATATTACTTTTGATAACTGCTTGACATAACTTTATAATACTTTCATTCCTATGTTTTTGGCTGCGTAGCTTAAGAAACACCTCTTCATTGGACAACAGTATTTTTGAAGTTCTATTTTGAAATAACAAATAGTTATCTTCAGAAAAGAGCTCCATGCTGCTGACAGCCAGGGAAAGGAAGCTGAGTCTGAGGCTCAAGGAAGAAGGGCCGAACAATAGTTTGTAATATTTTCATAGAGAAAGGAGAAGAATAATTTGATCTTCTTTTAGCATAGTTGATTAACATTTATTTTAGTTATTGATAGTTGAGATGCATAAAAAATGCAACTGTATACACGGATCTCCTTGCTGTTTATTCCAGAGCTGCCTCGCACACATGGCTATTCAGATAAAGTTCCTTTTGTTGCATTTACATAAACAAATGCATGGTGTATGCATCATTGCATTTGCTGCATTGTTGATTATATTCTTATAGGAGAGAGCTTCTGTTTTTCCATAAGCATTGGTGGAAACTGATCTCTCTGTGCAATTTTACATGACTGATAATTAGAAGAATTTCCCACAGTCTAGCTTCTGACTCTATATACACGTCAAAGGTTATTTCTGTTCCGTGATCCACATACTTTTGGTACCAGATGTCATAAGATGCATTTACATTGCCATAGGATCTCTGGGCCTGGACTTTCATGTCACCCTACCATGGGAGTTGGGCAGCAGGAATTCTCCTGGAAGGCTTCACTACACTGGGACAGAAAACAGTAACTTACCTGCACTTACTCACAGAAATATACCCCAATAAGCCCAAACTAAGTGTATCCCCAATTATTCTTCTTTTTATCCAAAACTCAAGCATGCACAAACCATGCCAAGAGAACCTGAGGGCAGAGGATATATGACATGGAGGGTCTGGGAGTGGAGAGATGGAGCAAGCTGGCTTAACAGACTGCAGACAAAATCACAGAAATATGAACTGTCAACAATAGCAATATATTGTGAGATACCCTCCCAAGGGCCTCGGAAAAAACCAGTGGAGGACAGAAGTCCTAAAACTTTAGCTTTTTGGTAAATCTGTCTCTGATGGAGGCTTCAAAAAATACATTACAGAAAAGTTGGATTGAGGTTGATGTTTGCTTAGTAGAAGTTTTCTATACCACAAAGTTAATATTGCAGAAAAATATGTAAAGCGCCTGGTCAAAGCAAACTTTTAAAGTTATTTAGGAGTCCTATTTACGTAACAATAATTGATATGCTAATTTCAACTCATTCTCCACCAGTCTTTGGAGCAAGCCCTCCATAGATTTCTGCATTTACCTAAAAATGAATGTGAGTGCATACCATAGCAGAAAGGTTTGTTTATATAGAAACATAGGATGTTGGTCCTGAAGGTGTCCTGAGAAGGGACATCTCACAGGAAAAAGTATTGAGGCCCACATATTGTTGAAGGCCTATTTTGAAACAATAAATATTCATCTTCAGAGAAGAGCTCTACTCTGCTGACACCTAGGGAAAGGACGCTGGATCTCAGGCAGGAGGAAGAAGAGCTGCTCCACACACAGGTGCCCTGCACCTCCCAGGCAGAGATAGCTTTTACCAGCAGAGTTGGCTGTGTTTATGTGGAGAAAAACAACAGTATGAAACCAAATCCTGTGTAATTCACAGTGCCCTTGTGGTTAGGTGTAGAGGAACCAGGAGGGTGGCAGGTGACACTCTCCATCTTCGTGCATTGGGTCCTTCATGCATTGGAGGGAGTAGGGAGGGATGTCCTGAGGCCACAGGGACACAATGCTGAAGCTCAGCCAGGATTCCAGCTCCCAAGTAACACAGTTATGTCCCTTCTGGGTGTGTGCATGCATGTGTGCCTGGGTCAGATGGGGCAGTTACTGAGAAGTCTCACATTTCCTTCCTCCTCATGCAGCCGGTCTTCCCCCTGATTCCTCTTCCTCCTTTCTTTATTTTCTCTCCCCTCTACTCTTTCA
The DNA here is from genome assembly GCF_000001405.40 of Homo sapiens. Taxonomy (NCBI): domain Eukaryota; kingdom Metazoa; phylum Chordata; class Mammalia; order Primates; family Hominidae; genus Homo; species Homo sapiens. Next base: position 8,107,695 of record NC_000002.12, on the reverse strand, counting down.
GGAGTACTAGAGACAAGGACAAGGTCCTGGTCATACGGTTGTTACCGGAAAAGGAGTCCCAATCCAGATCTTAAGAGAGGGTTCTTGGATCTCGCGCAAGAAAGAATTCAAGGCTAGTCCATAGAGTAAAGCAAGTTTACTAAGAAAGTAAAGGAATGAAAGAATAGCTACTCCACAGGTAGAGCAGTGGCTTGAGCTGCTGGCCTAAGAATACTTATAGTTATTTATTGATCATATGCTAAATAAGTGATGGAGTATTCTTGATTTTTTTCTGAGAAAGGGGTGGGCAATTCCTGGAGCTGAGGGTTCCTCCCTTTTTTAGACCATATATGGTAACTTCCTGACGTTGCTATGGCATCTGTAAACTGTCATGGCACTGGTGGGAGTGTCTGTTAGCATGCTAATGGATTATAATTGGCATATAATGAGCAGTGAGGACAACCAGAGGTCACTCTCCTTGGTTTTGGTGGGTTTGGCCTGCTTCTTTACTGCAACCTGTTTTATCAGCCAGGTCTCTATGACCTGTATCTTGGGTCCATCTCCTATCTCATCCTGTCACTTAGAATGCCTAACCTCCTGGGAATGCAGTCCAGTAGGTCTCAGCCTTATTTTACCTAGCGCCTAAACAAGATGGAGTGGCTCTGGTTTAAAAGCCTCTGACACTGGGACATGGTCTTTTCTGACTTCTTCACAGTATATTTCTAGCTTTGACAATGAAATCCCTCATGGCAGTAGGGACTTTGCTAGCCTCCATTTTGTTCATGGAAATGTCATCCTATGTGGGAAATTCAAGCACCTCAGCACTTAACACTAAGTAGTATATGCTAATTTCAATGTATTCATATACTACTAGCAGTCAGAAGTAGTGTATGCTAATTTTAACTTATTCTCAACAAAATAGTTAATACTAAGTATAATTGTTAGAAAGGAAAGCATAAACATGACACGTTAATGATTTTTAAGGCTCTTTCCTTCTGATAGGAATTATACCTGGTAGTTTGGATATTACATATAAGGTATTTGTAAAAAATGAAGAGGGGGAAACAAACAGTCTTTGAGTTCCTCACACATCCAGATGCTGTGCTGGGTGGCTTCTCTGTGAGATCTTATTTGTTTCGACTATCCTTTCTGGATGTAGTACGTCCTATGCCTTTGCAAAGGAAGAACATGAGAGGTGAAATAATTAGTAATGTGATTTTGGTAATATCATTACATTTCCTCAAAGAAGTAGCAGTTTGAGTATTATGAAGTCAATGTAAAGGAAAGCTAATATAGACAGGTTTTTCAACTTACATGTCATTGTAAATATAAGGCATTGCTTTTAAAATATGGACCATTCACACCATGAAATATATAAATAACTTTCCTTTCCATGCATAAAAATGTGTTCACAGTGGGGATAGTCTCTCTGTGACGGAGGAACTTGCTTGGGGTGATGTGTGCAGACCTTACTTTTAAGCACCTGATGCCGTTTTGTCGTACCCCACAGACAAGGTGACAGTATATTCTGGTCTGCCCAGGATGTCCAGGTTCATTTTTATGATCCCACTGAAATTATCATAGCACCGCCTGTCACTCTCAAAAATGTCCTGGCTTAAGACAATAAGTTATATAGTCCCTCAATGTATTTTCCTACCAGCTTGTGTTTCCTTTTAAGCCCTGAGTTGGAGCTTGAAGCTAAAAGATCATCTTGTCAACCCACAAATCTTACATCTCTTCAAAACACAAATCTTCCAGATGAGGGATCAAGAAATATTATCCAGTGGCTCTATGCAGTTCAAAGGGTAGAAGAAAGAAGACCAGCCAAGGCTTTTGGATTGGCAATCTCCAGGTGGCATCTGGTTTTTCTGCCCCCCGAAGGTTGAACAGCATTGGAATGTAGGTGCCAGGGTGCATGACAGATGATATGTATCAAGGTGTGCTGAAATATGATAGTTTTGGTTCTGGGGAAGTGCTGATTCCTGTTCTGTTTATTTTAGAAATTTTAAATCAGATGAAAAAAAGCAATCCTCATGGGGGAGAGAAAGAGAGGGAAAAGGAGGAAGGAAAAAGAAGAGAATAGGAGGAAAGGATGGAAGGAGAAATGAAGATTTTGGGCAGATGTAGCCAGTGACATATTGCCAAGGAGTGAAAACTATTGCCAAGGAGCGATTCTTATTTGGACATTGCTTTAAATAATTGCAGATCCTAAGAAAGACACTACAGTGGACCATGTCTGAGATATCAAAGTATCAACAAGGGTGAGCACTCTGAGAGCAAAGTTTTGCGAAACTGTGACACGTCAGTGTGAATTAAGAAGTTCCCACAGGCAGGTGAGCCAACCAAATGCTCTCCTAGTAGAGGTAGCATGATTACACACAGATCACATTTCTTTATCAGCAGAGATTTATCAAGAAGTTCAACATTTGCATTTGCACAATATTTCTATCTTGAAAAATGGACAATTCCACACCTTCCCAAAACAAATAGAACACAATTTATGTATTAATTCATGTGATTCTGGATTTCACACCGTGGCAGTTAAACACTTTTTTTTTAAAGTTTATGGGCAGTTTTATTTTGTTTGTTATGTCTTGTTTCTGTGGGCATGGAAGTTTTACTTTATGCTTTTTGTCTATGCTTTTTCTGACCTCTATAAACCATCTCTCAGAAAAGCAGCCATGTGCTCTAAGAAAAATGAATCTCAACATCACGGTTATGTCATTGGAACAGGGGTCTATGTCTGCCTCAAAGTTTGCTCACAGAGGAACACACCTCTCCAGCTAGTGATTAGCCAAACTGATCGGACCTTTTCTGTTTGGGACAATTGCAGCAGAGAAGCGGATTCTGAGCAATGGGGTGGGATGGATCTTAGCAGGGCAACCGAGGGCAAAAGAGGAGGAGAAGAGAGGTAGAGGGAAAATATCTGAGGTCCGCTGGACCCATCTCTGCTTCTCCAGACACAAAAGAGCCAGGCAGAGCATTTCACTTCTGGATATAAATGAAGACAAGACAAATGAGAAGAAGCAAAGGCTATTTATCCTGAGCTTGCTCTTTGCAAGGGAGTCAACCACCATCCCTTTCATTTTGGCAGAGAATCCAAGTCAGGCAGAGGAGCAGAAAAGCTTCCTGGTGGAATAGGGAGGCTTCAGGTGGCCCTGATTGGAGGCTGTTGGCGGGAAGAAGCCAGAGGTGGCCCACTAGAGGCAGGGTCTCCTATGGGACTGGTCTGGGGCACGTAATTGGCTTTCTCTGGTTGGTCTTAAGTTGGAAGAAGGCAAAAAAATTAGGAAAGCTGTCAGTTCTTTAATCAAGTCTTGGCTATTTGGGGCCAGTTGTTACAGAAGTTATTGTTTAGATCCCTGGATTCTTCCTAGAAATAGCTATCTGGCTTCCTGCAAGTCTGACTTCCAACAGGTTGGCTTCCTGGGCTATTTACTGTAGAGAAGGGGCTGGTTTATTGGTCTGGCCACTGCAGGTTGTAGTCGGAATTCTATTTTCGTATACGCTTTGGCCGTTGCCTGTTTGTGTTTTCAGTCTCACCCCACTCTTCTGCAGTGGCCTTTCTTGCCTATAAAGAGTCACTCCCTTTGCTTGCTGGAAATTGCCCATTGGGAAAGTTTGTTTGCCTTTTTGTTCTTCCTGAAGCCTACATTGCTTGCAAATGTGCTTCTGAATAACTTGACAGCATTTCTTCTCTTCTGGAGTCAGTTGGCTGGATGGCCTTATGGGGAGCAGGTGTTTTGCATCAGGATGTACTTCTTAGGATGTAGGAAAATAGCAAAAAATGCTTCATAAATATGGAAGCATAATGACTGTTTAATTTGGAAGAATCTCTATTTGCAAGTTTTAGGCCAGTCTCGGAGATACGGGGTAAAAAGTCAAATTATGGAGTCTCTTGTAGCCTTTATCTGTGTTATATAATACAGAATTCACTTCTCCATGCTCCAGTGCTCACAGCAAAGGCAGGGTGAAGTGCATCTTCATGAAATCAGGGAAAATCACATTGTTATTTAAAATGTAAACTGTGCAAGAAATAAATTATTTCTGACCAGGTCCTATTAAAGAATGCAAACGTGATTAATTCCTGGCTTAGAAAAGCACTTATCTCTACCAATTACATACCACTATTACAGTGATTATTTTATAAATGCTAATAAACACTATCTCAAGTTAATATTTGCTCCTGAGGAAAGTTTGCCAAGAGCTTAGAATACATTTACGGAAGATTTTTGCCTGCTAGGTTTGTGTACAAAGCTTGAAACATCAAAATCCTATTAGCCTCATTAATTTAAAAAAAGCAGTGCACAAAGAGTTGTAGCCAGTAAAGCTGAAATCTGATACAGAAATAGAAAAACTTTGGAAATGTTGCATAATCAGGCAAATACTGTTCATCCCTAATGAATTTCAGCCGACTAACTTTGCTATTGATTTAGTCTCTGAGATGACCTCTACTTAAATCTATGCAACGTGCCCTTGCGCATGTGAGTCATAAATAATGGCTGAACTCTTGCTAAAGATTAAACAGACATTGTTCATGCTGTGTAGACTATGGACTATCGGCTTAATATACTGATGCTGGAATTAACAACTGGATGTTGGCTAATGTTCTTAGCAGGAAAAATCAGGAACTCATTCATGATCCATGTATCAGGTGAAGCATCACATTTAATAAATTGTTTCAGTGGGGTTTGCATCAACTTAAACTACTTGTGGGTATGTAAAAGAAAATAAGTTTGAATTTTAGTAAATGTGTTAGATATTCATACATTCTTATTATTAGGCCATGGAGTCCAGGAAAAAACTAATATTTTATTAAACTGGTGTCATAATTATAATATCTTCCTTAGATTCATATATTGTAATTATATAACAAATGATCCACCAATTTAGAATCTTCTTGTCAACTTAAGTAAAGCCTTATCCGTTAACCAGAAAATGCTCAGGTTTGCTACCATAATTTTCTGTATTTACCTATAGATCTTAGGCTTAGTCAATGAGGAATAAGTTGTGGGTGAGTGTGGAAGAAGCGGACTGAGTCTGCATCTGGGTCTTTGATGCAACGAACTTTCTGCAGACGTTACTGTCTGATGGATGTCTCAGGCTTCCTCATTTATTGAGGGCTTGAGGTAGGATTTCTGGTTGCTAAAGAGTAGAAAGTAAGATCTAAAATTTCTTCTTGCATTCCACAATTTATTGTGTGCCTAAACATTTTTATTTTGGTAGAAGAGGACAAAAAAAGGCATGCTAGGCTCTCTGTATGTATAAATCCTGAGAAAGTCTAGGAGAGAAAGATGCTTTGTAAAGTACTAAAGTATGTTTGTATTTCCTCTATGGAATTTATTTAAAAACTGTCCTGAAGATGTTTGATTTACCTGATTTTATTTTTTAAAGGATAGGTATTTGATTTTTAGAGAGCCCTGTCTATGGGAGACAGTTTAGGTTAGTGACTAGAAGTACAGGCTCTTAGGCAAGTTACCGGATATGATTTTCTTCTGTTTTCTCAATAGCAAAATGGGTCACTTGGAGACTTAAGTAAGCGAACCCATGAAATGTGCTGAAAGCTCCAGCCAGGGACTACCACCATGGTAGCTACCATCAAGGATAAAGGTCATATGCAGGGCTGGAGGGGCAGACACAACTAACAGTCTTGTGTGTCCAGCTCATCAGGAGAAAGACCAACAAGGTGCAGAGAGGCACAAGAAAGGATTGTAGACACCACCAGGGACTGAGAGGTTCAAGGAATTATTTGTCTGCCTTAACAATGTAAAACAAAGTCTTTTTAGAATGGAATTGCTACCTCAAAAAAGAACAAGAAAGTTCAAAAATTCAGCAATCTAATCTGGGGAAGTTTATGTTTACTTAAGGCTTGAAACCAAGGGCCAGCCATGCTCATTCTGTCTACTATGGGAGCTGCTGTGAAAACATTTGTCAACAACTAACCATTACTCTTTCAGCCAAGAAAGCACTGCTCTTAATGTCTTAAAATACAGGTTTTGGGAAATAGATGAGCAACTATGATGCATGTGTATGTGTGCATGTAAGTTGGGGTAGAGTGCACCAACTCTGCCATTGGCAAGTGGACAGGTTACACTTACATATGTTTATAGCAAAACTTAACTGAACAATTAAAAAATTAAATTGAGAGAAGTCACTGAATATAAGAATGGCATATAAAAAGAAGTAAGTTGGCAAAAGTTTTAAAATTATTAAGGTTTATAAATTCTTTGATTTTTAAAATTTGTAATAAACTATTCCCTTATTTGCTTATTCAGTAAACTTTTATTATCTATCATGTGCATGACACTGCTAAAAGTATATGGGCTAATAAGTTAAACATGCTCCCATTTTTACGGAAATTATGGTCTTGTGAAAGAGATAAACATTAAACCATTATTATTAGTTAATTTAATTTTAAGTTATTTAAATTGTTATTACTTAATTGGAACTGAGGCGTTCAGGGTGCTGAGAGAGGTTAAAGTGAGTAGATCGGATGCAGTTTGGTGCATATAAAGAATGGTTTTTGTAAAAATAAATCATGCAAAAGGAGTTCCAAAAAAGAAAGAAAGAGCTTGATACAGTAAGAAAAGAAAGTGCAAATGACTAGTGATGGGAAAAAGAATGAAACTTTCAAAAAATTGAAAAATAGCCAGTTTGAAGAAGCAGAAAGAGCAAGGGAGAGATGTCAAACTGATGTACTATATACAGGCTTCTGGTGCTGTTCCCAAAAGTCATTCCCAATAAACTACAGACTCTAGCAGAAAACACTAGTATTAGAAACTAACACATATACAAAATGAAAGAATACAAAGGATCCAACTATCATCACCATTGCTTAGCACAATACTAGAGGTGATGGCCAATGCTATTGGTAAGAAAAATGAGAGGTATAAGGAAAAGGAAAACTGTTATTATTTGTGGTTGGTATTATCATAGACCTAGAAAAACAAAGAACTAGAGAACCAAACAATTACTAAAACTAATAAGAGTTCTTAGCAAGGTGTCCAGACACAAGATAGAAAATCAATACTATTTTTAATTTGCCAGCAATTACCAACTGGAAAACTTAATAAATAAAAGATACTAGCTCTAGTCACAACAGTGAAACCACTGATGATTGATTTAAACAAGATTATTCCAGGTGGATTATAAAGTCCAAAAACATTATTTGAGTAAGTAGGAAGGCATTATATGCATTTGATGAGACATTTTTATCTACTGGGCCTCAAAAGGCCATGTGGAGACTTAAAAACCTCCTATTCTGTTCTCTTCTGGAAAGAAATTGCATTGTGTCTCCCCAAAAGCAGGCTGGGGCATGGAGCATGGCTGTGCTGTCTTTACCATACTTCTAAAAATTCATTGCTAGGAGCCATGGGTTCAGAGAGTTATTAAAGTGTCCATGCAAGAGTACAAAGACCAAATTCGTTTTCTTATTTTCTCTCTGCTCAAATGTCACCTCTTTTTGAAGGCTTTTTCAACACACGTGGCTCTCATTCTGTGCTCACAGTACTGTGCACCTCCATCCAGTCACCCTCACCCAATCATGTTGATTGCGTGTGTGTGTGTGTGTGTGCACACTTATATGTGCCTGTGTTTCTTCTGCTAGACTGTGAGTGTGAGCTCTTTAAGGTCAGGTTCTATGTCTTCATTCAATTTTGGATCTTCATGGCAAAGCACAAAATCAGAGATAGAGCAAGTACTTAACAAACTGTTGTTGAATTGAATTCATAGAAAAAGTGTTGTTTTACTTTTGCTAACTGGTCTAGTTTAACATTTTCATTTAAAATTATCATATGAGCAATCCATAAATTGGGATTGTCATGGTCGTTGCAATCATATTAGTCCCAGAACTGAAAGGGACTTAGAAATCCTATGTCAAATCTGGCTGTTGATCGAGCCTGTAGATCTCCTTAGCACATCCCGGCAACATAGGCATTTCTAGCAGGATGGGGGCATATTCCCAAGAGGATGGACTTGGGGTGGCAACACGGCCTGAGAAGTGTTCTTTTCTGGAGGCTGTTGCTTTCATGGAGGGAGTTTTGGCTGCTTATCCTCCCCCTCCTAGGCACAAATTCACTGCTCTCCTGTCATCCTGGGCACCCCCGATCTCCATGCTGATGGAAGGTCTTAGGTTGGAATCAACAAGACTCAGTCATGAGCAAGACTCCAGCTGGGGATAGACTCATGGTCTGCTTTAGGTGCACAACGTGGACCCACATTTTGGTGTAGGAAACACACATGTCAGTCACAAGCTTGGAGTTAGAAGACTGAGAACCTGCCCGTTCGTTCCCTGATTGCTGTATGACTGGGGCCAAGCGGTTTAACTCTGAAATGATGGTTGATGAGCAGCTTTGGAGTGGCTGAAAGAGCAGAGGAGACTCACTTTTCCACTTTGTTTATGACAGTGATAATGTTTTTCAATTTCTATTGCTGTGAACACATGTTTTTGTTAATATGTGTAACCATGAACTGGGGAGAAGCTCAGGTTGTTGACCAGGGCCAAGGTGGAGAATGATGAACGTTGGCAAGCAGGCTCTTGCTTGAATCCTGTGTGACTTGGCAGACACAGTGCAAACTTGCTCAGTCCTCACAGATGCCTGGCTGTCTGTGGAAACCCTGAACTAGATGATGCTAAATAGGCGGCAGCCCGTGAAGGGCAGGGCATGCTAAGCCTGTACTTCAGAGCTTTGGTCTGTTCCCACTTGGATAAAAAGTGCATGATGGATGGGGAATTTGGAGCCCTGGATAAATGTTTTTACTGAACAGAAATGAAGGAACAACCACAGAAATGAGAGGCCCGTGCACAAGAGTCCTGCTTAAGGGAAATCTTTAGATGGAAATATTCTCTGGCAAATAGTAAGTTATGGAGTGGTTATCCCTGACCTACCCTCATTCCAACTTGCCCTGCAGCACAGCAGAGGTGGCCACAATCTGAACACAAATGCTGGAGAAACCAGGAGTGTCCATCCACTCTTTGCAGATGAGCTTGGCACACACTCATTTCAGGAGTCCTGGCGTGGGCCAAGAGGATGTGGAGGTGAGGAGGCAGAGCTCTGGGCTGAGTTTTCACTCTGCTACTGCGAGATAGGGGCCACAGCAAAGGGAGTTCCTCATGCTGGGCCTTGGTCTTCTCATCTAGATAATACCTGGGTTGATGGAGAGGGCTCTCCACCCTGGAATCTTGTGATCCTGGACAGGATAAAACAACTCTCTCTCTCTCTCTGTTTGGATGGTTTTAATAGCCTACAAATATGTCTTAATCCAGGAGACCTCAATGGCTGGATAGGCAGGAATGCATTTTTTTGTCACAGCTATTCTCCTCCAAGATGGTTTGGTTATATAATTTGTGTGTTCTGTAGGGTCATTATTATTGTTTACCAGGCAATTTACACTTCATCTAAATATTTGAATTTCAGATTTGGTGAACTGGGCATTTTCCAACAGGAACACCTGCCCAGTTTCTTAGACACTAGAATTAAACTCTCAGAAACGTTGTTTAGGGCCTTCTTTTCAGAATCTATCCTATTTTCCCCAAAGATCAGAAAGTTGCAACCTTTGAAAAATATCTTCTTGAGTTTTTTCTCTCCTGCGGTTTTCTGATTATCTTTTTTGATTAACAGATTTTGAAATATAATTCATATACCATACAATTTTCCAATTTTAAGTATACAGTTTCCTTGTTTTTAGTATATTTACAGACTCACGGACTATGAAAATCAGTATTAGAAACTTTTTATCACCCCCCAAAATAAACCAATACCCTTTAGCTATCTCACTCGCCAAGAGACTCCATCCCCTCCTCCAGTCCCTGGAAACTACTAATCCACTTTCTGTCTCTATAGATTTGCCTATTTTGGACATTGCATAAAATGGAATCATATAATATATGGGCTTTGGTGTTTAGCTTCTTTCCTTTAGCATAGTGCTTTCAAGGTTCATTCATATTGTAGCATGTATTAGTATTACATCCCTTTTCTAATCATATATCATTCCATCTTTGTATATACCACATTGTTTGTCTGTTCGTCAATTGGTGGTCAGTTGGAGTTGTTTCCACCTTTTGGCTATTATAAAGAATGCCGCTATCAACATTTGTTTGTAAGTGGGTTTTTTTTTTTTTTGCGGGGGGACATATTTTCATTTCTTTTGGGTATCTACCTAAGAGTGAAATTATTAGATTAAATGGTAACTCTCTGTGTAATCATTTGAAGAAATGTCCAGTTGCACCATATTACATTCCCACAGCAGGGCAGGAGGGTTCTGATTTCCCCATATCCTTGCCAACACTCGTTATTATCTGTCTTTTGATTATAGCCATCCAAGTGGGGTGTGAAGTGGTATCTAATTGAGGTTTTGATTTGCATTCCACTGATGACTAATGATGTTGAGCATCTTTACACGAGCTCATCAGCCCTTTGTGTATCTTCTTTGGAGAAATCTGACTATTCTTTAAGCTTCTGCTTTTGGCACATCATTGCCCCTTTGTCTTCAGCTCTCTGGTGGCCTTCCAGAATATAGGGCAATTGCCAAATAATCTGAAATCTGCAGATTTTGGGAACTACAAAACAGGATGGTTAATAACACATCGGAATTGCAGTGTTATTACCCCCCACCTTCATTTTAAGCTACTTTTATGTAGTATCATAGCTACTTTTATGATACAATATAATCATATAATCTGTTATTACATATACTCAATGCAACATGATACGATTCAGCTTTAAATGTTAATGTCTTCATTTTATGTACTTGATTAGGATAATTTCGGTTTTCATAATATTGTCTTTATATATAATGACATCCTACTGGTTCAGGACAAAGAAGCTTTAAGTATAAACATGCTGGTTTATCTTAGAAATACTAGCACTCAAATTAGAGAATTACAATAAAACAAATGATCAAGATTATGTTTCTTCTCCTTCAAGGAACAACATTTCTATTCTGTCTCTTTGGATCTCCTACCAAGAGTTCACTGCCAACATGCCATGTGGTTTTCACATAGAGTTCATGGTGGTGCCTCAGGCTGAGTTCTCATCTCTGTAGACTGATCTCTTTTAAAAGCATGTCATTAGTCAGATCTTAACAACTTTTCCTAAGGGTGAAGATTCTAGTTTGGTTCTTACTCCTGATTTGGTTTACATCTAGGAGGTGTAAGTAAATTAGCTATGGCTCCTAGACGAATTCTTTTTCTATGTCTCTCTCTTTCTTTATCTCTCTCTGTATCTCCTAAGGTACTGTTTGGTGCTGGGTATAAGAAAATCAATAAGGCCTAAACATAGCTCAGCAAATGAAGCAGAAGTTTGCATGATTGTTCATCCACCAGGGGAGGCGGCTGTGATGAAGTCTGTGGGGCCTGGGGGTGCACAAGGATGACACCTCAGTGGCAGTCTTTGTGTTGTAGGTGTTGGTGCCAAGATTTCATAGAGGAGGAGAGAATCAAGCCCTCAATAGTGAGTAGGTGTCAGCCAGGTAGACAGATAAGAGAGCCCATTCCAGTAGGAGGGCCAGAATGGCGAGTGCCTAGAGGAGGGCCAGATGACTCATCTGTGAGACGGGAACAGGTCGTGTGCAGGGAGCACCATCACAAATGTGAGGTGGTGAGCATAGGCCAACATCGCTTTCAGTTGCATTATGGCTTATATTATTATCCCCATTGACCTCAGTTTTACTCTTTGGAACAACAAAGAGTGGATTGAATTATTCTTTCATTAGTACTTTTCATAGATTTGACAACAGCTAATTTCTCTCCCAACTCTTCTATTTTCCAGGCGAAACATTCCTCATTCCTTCACTTTTCCTCATAGGAAATGGTTTTCAAGGCCTTTACCATCAAAATTTTCACTATTGGGTGTGTCTCAATTTGCAATTTTTGTTATTAAAATGTGGCTCCCAACACAGAACCCAGCACTCCAGGTGTTGAGTGCACAGCGTGATGTATTGGGGCCATTCTTTTTTCTGTCATGAGCACTAAACGCTGGCATGCAAGCCTATCAGTCCAGGTGACTTAATTTCAAACTTCTGGGCCTTGTTTACCGATGAAACCAGGTGCTTTCATCCTTGGGCATGTTACTATTTGATTCAAAATACAGAACTGGATATTTATACATATTTATTTTCATCTGGTTAGCTTTGTTCCGTTGTTCTCAATACGCCAGCACCTTTTAAAGTCCTGATTCCACCATTTGATGTTTTGGTTATCTCATTCTGCCTACGGCATCTGATGATTTCAGAGTCATGACATCTAGTTGTCTCCCTCCAACTCTTTAATGAAAATATTGACGGTAACTGGGTTCAATATAGAACCAGCAGCCTCAGCTTTATTAAGAACTGGTGTTAGTTCCTCCCATGACTATATTGAATCATATTTGTGAAACTGACAGTAGTTTAAAAAGTTTTGTTCACTGATTGATAAATAGATACCCCAGAGCAGCATTTCTTAGTTAAATCTTTGGATTTCCTCTATCTTAATGAATGCAGATGCTTATTAAAATGTAAATTCCTGGGCCTCTTTTGAGGCCTACAGCTCAGACACTAAAGGATAGGCACCTATCAGGTGTTTCTCATGAGGACTAGAGTTTGAATGAATAAAGTAGTTATGCTCTGTTTAATGTGAATGATGAACAGTGGTTGAGTACAGGCAGTTTGCATCTCGCTTATTGTAATGGGCTGTGGCTTTATATATGGACAAACATGTTTAAAGTGATATGTTGGTGAAATGATGCCAGAGGGATTTTTGGTGCATCTTATAAAAAAATCCTTCGCCTATAACACCCTCCCCTCTAATGCAGCCTTCAGCCCAGACCAAGGAGCATCTTCGCGTTCTCCCAGAGGTGCCAGCATCTTCCCGGCATTATTGCTGCGTTAGTCAGTCCCTGCTATATTGGGAGAGTGACTGTTTCGCATTGGCTGCATGAAGTGGCTGATCTCATCCGTGAGTGGCACCACCTACAGCCGCGTCAGACTCTGGGGCCTCGACACTTAGGGAGACTGACTCGCAGTTCCGTCCGCACACGCTGCGGCTCTGAATTCACACCAGGGTAGACAGTGTGGGCTTGGCGATGTGCTGTGCTAGGGAAGAGGCTCCTGAAACACATACTGACTCAATCACAACTCTTTAGACTCTCCCTCTATATTCTCTCGTGTAACGTGCCTGCCAAGGCTCCACCTATTCTCATGTGACTGTGACGCTACTCAGGATTTAAAGATCACTATTTTTAAAGCTAGTCGTGAATGTCACATTTTCCCTCTCCTTAGAAGATTCTAATTATCTGTTTGTCAGACATCCCTCTGTTCTCTGCAACTTTATTCGATTCCTCAGTCTCTTTATTTTAGGAGTCAGTGCACATTGTTGTTCAGGTTTTCTTTGGGGATGTTGTGCAGTCTTGATTCCTTCCCTCTCCTGGCAACTGGAAAGGTGTCTGGAAGTCATTCTAGATTTTTCCAGCATCTGACCACACAGACTCCATTATTGCTTGCTACTTAACTTTCTTATGTCAACATCTCTTGAGCTATGTCTCAAAGTCTTTCTTTTGCTTCTGATTTATAAAACTAGTATCTCTCAATTTCTACTGTTCTCTTTTGTCTGTAATATCAACAAGAAAAAGCTCTTTAAATAATTTTTTTCTGATTATAAAAGCAAACATGATCATTGCTTAACATTTTTTCATGTAAGAAATGTAGAAAACAATATATTATTTATTATACTACCCTAACATTTCTACATTTTGATGTAGTTTAATTAAATCTTCCTCAGTGCATACTAATTTTCACAGTTTTCATACTCTACCTACAATTTTATGTCCTCCTTTTGTCACTTACCACCAAAAGTTACCAGTTTCATGTCGTTATAGAAACATCAAAATAAAAATTACTATGTGGAGGTAACCTTTCGTTCATCATTTATAATGTTTCTTACAAATAATCCATGATGAGTATCTTTGATATGAAGTTTTTATCTCTCTATCTCTCTTGGGTAATTTTCTCAGGATAGAGTCAAAGAAATGTTATTATTGTACCAAAGTGACATTTTTAAAGTTCTTGATACATATTTCCAATTTGCCTTCCAAAATGGTTGAATCCATTTATACTCCTACCAGCAATATGTGAAAGTATTTATTGGCATGATTTATTCTATGAAAACCATAGTTACACATTCTAAGGGGAAAAATAGCATCTTATATTAGGATAAAGGTGAAAGCATTTTCATAGTTGAAGCAAATCTTAAGACAGGTTCTATGAGCACATGGTTTTGAGGGCTCAGCAAATCCCTTATCCATTGGGCATGATATGGTGAGCTTCCCAAAGACAGTGAGGGGCACCAGCAATAAATAAAAAGACTACTGTGTAGACTTTTTGCTTTTCTTTTGACTTTTTAAGCATTAACCCAGTCATTCTCACAGATTGCCTGTAAAACAAGAGAGAAAGTCAAATATTATACGACTGCTTAATAATTCATATGCGCTACCCGGGAATCAATTCATATAGACAAATCCCTGGAAATTCAACAGAGAACAATCCAAAAGATTTGCTCCTTGGTCCATGGTATGAAAAATGGTCTACCTGTGACTATCCAAGGCTGGGCACGGTGGCTCATGCCTGTAATACCAGCACTTTGGGAGGCCGAGACTGGTGGATCACCTGAGGTTAGAAGTTCAAGACCAGCCTGGGCAACATGGTGGAACCCCCTCTCTACTAAAAATAGAAATAAAAAATTAGCTTGGTGTGGTGGCACACACCTATGATCCCAGCTACTCGGGAGGCTGAGGCAGGAGAATTGCTTGATCCCAGGAGGCGGAGGTTGCAGTGAGCTGAGGTCACGCCACTGCACTACAGCCTGGGAGACAGAACGAGACTCCATCTCAAAAAAAAAAAAAAAAATTGTGACTATTCAGAGGACTCAGATATTGTTCTCAACCCATTAAAGTGGAAATAGGAATCAGATAGGGGAAAATGGCCATAACAGAGAACTGGAAATATATGGGCTCTCCAGCTGTGATTCAACATTAACTCCCACCGTCATCCCATACAAAATATTTGCCAGTCTAGGCTTTCACCTGCCAGGCTAGAAGAAAGGAATAATCTTGGAGTCAAAGGAGTTGGGGTTGAAATCCTAGTCCTGAAACTTTTGCAGGCTCCTGTGAAATTTACTGAACTTCTCAGAGCTTCATTTTCCTTATTTGTCAAAACAGGGCAATTTTTAGAATATGTAACATTTCTTTTTAATCTAGTGCATTAAATTAAACAATGTGAGTAATTCACATGAAATTGTAATGTGCACATAGACATTATTCAAAATGTCTATTTTTTCTTTTTTCCTTCTCTGTAGAGCCCCCAAATGCGTGACACTTATTCCTGCCTTGTCTTGCTGTTTCCAAAGCGTGGCTTCCTAATCCTAGAATATATTTCAGTGCAAACTGATTTCTTTTCACTCTGCTAACTGTCATGTCTTGGAGCATTTATCCTTTTCTTTTCTTTTCTTCCCTTTTCTTTTCTTTTCTTTTCTTTCTTTCTTTCTTTCTTTCTTTCTTTCTTTCTTTCTTTCTTTCTTTCTTTCTTTCTTTCATTCTTTTGAGACAGGGCTCTGTTGCACAGGCTAGTGTGCAAGTGGCATGATCTCGGCTCACTGCAACCTCTGCTTCCTGGGCAGCTAGGACTACAGGTGTGCACCACTTTTGGTAGAGACAGGTTTTTGTCATTTTGCCCAGGCTGGTCTTGAGCTCCTGGGCTCAAGCTATCTATGCACCTCAGCCTCCCAAAATGCTAGAATTACAAGCATAAGCCACTGAGCCTGGCCACTTTTTTTTTTCTTTTTGAATTTTCAAGCACCAACCAAGTCTTTCTCACAGATTCTCTGGGACAATGTTCTGCACTGTAGTAATATTCTTTTTATGTGTTTCTGTGTCTTCTCAATCAGATCCTGCCCTTCTCATGGGTGGGGAATATCTTTGTATTCCTCTAGGATCCTGACACCATTTCTAAAATGTTACAGGTCCTTGGTGAGTGTCTGTTCATTAGTCAAATGTTCAAATGTTCAATATTCATTCAATATACTATACATATTCTTTTAGAGCTTTCCTTACTAGATGCTGGAAATCCAATCACACATGGGATTGATCAAGTATCTAATCTCCTGGAGCTCCAAGTGCCTCCCTATCATTTTCATACAGGAGGGGCTCAGAGACAGGAGAAAGAAGCACAGATGGGTCTCAAGGTACGAGAGAATCACCTTGACTCTGTGTCTCACAGAGCACTTACTGTGAGACTGAAAATTTATCAGTCACCTGCATCAAAGGAAAAGGCTCACATGGATATTGCTCAATGATCAACAGTTCCAAACACACACACTATCCTGATCCGTCATCTAATGGTTTAGTTATGGTTCTCAGAGTGTAGAGAAGACATATTACCGAAAGCTATAATCACGTGGTAAGTCCTATGATTCCTATGAAACAGGAAGTGCAGGCTCTCACAGAAGGACATGGGAGGGGCCCCAACCCAGTGGGCAGGGGAGGCTTCTTATAGGAGGTGACAGATCAGCTGAGCCAGGAGTCATGCAGGCTGTGTAGCCAGAATGAGGGAGGGTGTTTCACAATGAAAGAGCCATATGTGAGTCAGCCTGGAGCCCCAGAGGACAGCCTGTCTTTGAAGAGCTGAAAGTGCTTTAACACAATTGGAGATTATGGTAGACAGAAGGCAGTGAGTTACCAGGTTCAAGGCTGAGTGGTGAGGGATCAGGAAGGGCACAGTAAACTTTTTAAAAGAGTTTGGCCTTTAGCCAGAGGACACTGGAAAACAACTGGAGGGTTTTAATCACTGGGGTGAGCTCATTGTGAAATGGCAGCCTGGCTGGTGGGTGGAAAGTAGATTTGAGCAGGACAAAATGCAAGCAGTGAGACCAGGAGACAGTGGGAATCATCCAGGAGGGCCAGGGTTCTTTCCTGGGCTAGAGTAATGCCAGCGGGTTTGGAGGGAGCCCGGTGTGGTATGAGATATTTATAAGGTAGACATACTAGGGCTTGATAGAATGTGGATGTTTGAAATTTGGAGAAATAAGGATTGCACTTACAGAAATGATGCTTTTCATTGAGAAAGGAAACACGAATAACAGAGTTATAGAAGAAAGATCATGAATTTGGAACATTCTGAATTTGAAGTGTCTGTGGAACATCCACATGGGGATGTACAACTAAAGTGCATGTTCGAGTCTGAAACTCATGGGCCCATTTTCTGGAAATAGAGATTATTAGAGGGGAGAACCTACAAGAGGCCATTAATGCAAAGAAGTAGATGAAGCTGCCCAGGGGTAACTCAGGCAATGAGAAGAAGCCCACGGTTGCGGCATTTACATGCAATGGATAACCAACTGCAGAGCTGGTTAAAGGGTTGTGCTGCGCTGTCACTCATTTTTCACTTACTCATTCCTTTGCTCAGTCACTTTTTCATCCATTCTTGTATTCATTCTTTTCTTTCTCTATTCATCCATGCACTTGATAATCATTTATTGAGCCAGGCACTGGGTTAAGCTCTGAGGATTCACAGATGAATGAGATACCATTTCTGATCTAAAAGGGGCAAGTGTGTAGTTTAATAATGGCCAAGGTGGTCAATAAGATTCATAATGACAACACGAGGTAATAAGTGCTTTAATGTTAGTAGAGAATTACTTGAATGCAGATTCCTATCCTACTCTGGGAATGCCTTCACAAAGAGAAAATGCTTGAGTGGTGACTTGAAGGACAGACAGAGCCTTAAGAAGTGGACGAAGAGATGGTAGATTATTGCAGAGCAAGAACTGTTGCATAAAATGCATGGACCTCAGGGAATTACAAATTGGTTAATGTGACTCAGCCAAAGGGTACTGAGATAAGAAGTGTCTCTAGGAGCTCGTGATGAAAGACCTTGAACACGGTGATAAGTAGATAAACAAATCTTGGAAGCAGTGGGAAGCAACTACACGACTTTAAACCGTTTTAAGAGGCATGATGGATTGGAGATTTGGCGGATGAATCATTCAGTGTGGAAGTAGACGAACAGGCATGATGAGGTTGTGCACAAAAGCTGGTTGGAATGATGAGGGTGTGACTTCAGTCACAGGAGTGATGGAGAGGCATAACACCATCTGAGAGATGTGAACAGGTAAGAATTGATAAGGCTTGGGGGCCAACTGGTTTTAGGGGCTGAGGAAGAAGGAAGGAAGAATCAAAGATAATGATCAAATCTGGATTTCTGATTTGTGTTAGAGGACAGACGGTGAGGCCATTCACAACATCAGGTCATAGAAGGACGAGGTGCTTAGCTCTGTTTTGGAGCCAGAACAGGTCCTTTTATTACATGTAACTTCAGCCTTGAGAGTGGTTTAGTACGATGGAATTACAATTGCTCTGGCTATAGTGTAAAAGAGGTCTACATCTACGTGGTTCAGCCAACCCACAGGCCTTCTTGACAATCTACAGTATATTTTGAACTGTTCTCATTGCTGAGGAAGAGAGAAAGTTACTCTTTTACAGTTGGCAAACCTTTTGTAACAGGGCTTTCTCCTCTAGAACAATTACAACAGCCTGAGACAGAATTCACCAAGTACTGAATTGTAAGATACGCCTCAAGGGCATTAGGACTTTAAAAGAGCAGGGGATCAGAAAAGCAGCTAGGAGCAATAAGGGGTGGTTTTCTGAAGAGACAGGACTTGAGCTGAGTTTGGCAGAGAAGTATGGGTTATAAACCCAAAGTCTCATGGGCATACAGTGTTGAAACCAAATGTTAAACCAGGCAGTGGGCTCTGAGATTCTGCATGTCTTCCCAAATCATTTTGCTGGTTTAGGAGTTTGGATTTTGGATGAGATTATCATAATTAGTCTGTTTTGTGTGTCATGATTACCACTGAAAAGCTCTCCCACCTCATCCTTCACTCTGTACACATGTTTATGGTATTACTGGATGGTGCTTGAAGAGTTTCTGGCTTTCAAGAGTTTAGGTGCTGGGGACACCTGCCTCCTTCCCTCTGGAATGCTAGGACCTGATAACTGAAAAACTCTATGGATCAAAGTCTGGGCCAGTGGACTCTTGTTCATATCAGGCCTGAACCTGGCCATGCTGACAGCCTCCCCTTGCTGGGGGCCCATGATCCACAAAATCTCCATCTGGAGCTACATCTGTGATTGGAGCAACCCATCCCTGAGCGTTGCCCATATTGCATCTTCATCTGAGGTGTTTCTAGACTGAAAACTAATGGTTTGATTATCACCTGGAGAAACCGGCCTCTTTTTTGTCTGATTTTTATTTCTTGCTTTCTCAGGGAAGCTAAACATGTTGTAAAGGAAGGCCTGGATTCTCACCCCAAAGCTGTGACAATATAAGGGGACACTGTAGGTTGCCACCCTATAAGCTGCATGGAGGTTGTTGGCCAGGGAACCCGGTGAAACCCATATCCCTCTGCTGCGGATCATATTTTTGTTGAAAACACCCCTAGTTTAGTGCTCTGTCTTGATATCTGTCTCCAATCCCTTGACATTAGCAACTCATTAAGATCCTCTTCTTGGGTGAATTGGACTAAGCTTTTCCCTGGGGACTCAGTTCTTAGCTCTGCTCACTCCCTACCCCACCGACTCTGCTTTTTGGTGTCTTCATGAATCTCAGTGTGATGCTACTTCCCTCCACCCCACCTCCAGGTCACATCAGGTGGACCACCTCCTCAGCAGCACACCAGACCCATCTGTTTTAGACAGTCTGAATAGAGAATATAGTAAAAGCTCTAATTTTCCCTTCCTAGAGATGAGTTAGATGCTCAGACTTAACATATAGGAAGAAACACAAGCAGCTGGGTGGCAGAGCCAGTCCACTTGGAAGGTGTTGGCTGGAGCATGGGCATCAGGAGCCTGGGCAGAGTTGACCTAGGCAGATTCTCCTCTGGTCATCCTACTCAGCCTGGGGAGCTTTCAGAGCTGACCACCCTCTGGTGGGAAGGGAGTGGCAGCAGAAGCATCATTTCTATTCTTCTCCAGGGCCTGAATAATTGTGCTGGGAGAGCAGAGCCAGCTAGAAGACTTTGTAACGCTTCTTGGCAAGAGCTGGGCTCCAAAGTGCGGAGGACATTTCCTATCTCTCTCCTGACTGCTATGCTGGGGGTGCACAGAGAGTTCTGAAAAGCCTGATGAGTATTTTTCACAACAGAAGGGAGTCTCATGGCAGCTCTCAAACTTGGTGTGCATGGACACGTCTGCCATGAGTCTTGCCTTTGCAGAAGGAAGTAAAGGCTCTTTGATGACTGGGTCTTCAGCATCGTGTGTCTGCTTGTTACCTGCCACCACATTGCCAGGCATTTCTTCTGTCCGGTGGGCTGGGAAGAGTTAGCAGATCCTAGGGAATGGTGAGCTGTGGTTTGTGGCTTCATGGATATTTAGGTTCCTGCCCATGGAGTCATGCAACACTGTGACTCACCATGAGCTGTACACCAAGTACACCAAGAAGTAGCAAAATCATACTTTACATAGTAATTTTAGAGCTGTTTTCTTTTTCCTTATTTTTAAAAATTACATATGTTACATGCACAGTGAGAAAAATAATTAACTAAGTCAGATACAGTTTCTTAACCTAGACATAGGGTCTATGGAGAGAGCCATTACAGATTCACTGACAAATAATCAAATAATTGTGTGTTTGTGTGTGCGTGTGTGTGTGTGTGTGTGTGTGTGTGTGTGAAAGAGAGAGAGAGAAAGGGAAAAGAGAAAGAGAGAGAGAAAGAGACAGAGACAGAGACAGAGGAGAGTGGTTTTGCCAGTAATGTCAGCAGAACTTCCCTGGGGCTGATAGTGACTGGAGAAGGTTGCCTTGTGGAGTGCCAGTGAAGACAAGCAAAGAGCTTCCCCACTGCATCTGAGATGAGGGGCCTGGACATCTTATCATGACATTCAAGGACTCTGCGGCATGGGCCCAACATGTCTCTCCTAGGGCCTGTCCCCATGGCTGCCTCTTCCTCACCCCTCCAGCCTCTTCTCCTCCCCACCCTTATCCCAACCCACCCATTAATCACACCAAGCATCCAAGGACTCACCATTCACTGAGCCAGGATCTTCTGGCCCCGGTTTCCACTTATGCTTTCACTCCCCCTGAGTGTTGTCATGGTGTCTATTATATCTGGGGACAGATGGAGTTTCTGTGCTTTCAATAGCAATGGGTTAGCACTTCCAGGACTTAAGAGACATGAGTCATTTGAAAGGTTTCAGCATGCCCCTATTCCCTCTCAAAATGTAGTATCCCAATGATGTCCAGACATTGCACAGTGTCAGCAGGGCTTACTAATGTGAAGCTGCAAAGGCCGAGGGTCTCTTTAGGACACCATCCTATGCTTCAGGCACCCCATGCTTTTCTTTTTTCTCTACTTGGTGAAATACAGCATTCATCAAAGTTCAGCTTTACCATATGACACAGTGATTTCACTTCTGGGTATATTTCCAAAAGAATTGAAATCAGGATCTCAAAGAGATATCTGCACTTCCATGTTCATTGCAGCATTATTGACAACAGTAAAGAAATGCAGTCAACCTGTTTTCATCCACAAATGAGTGAGTAGAGAAGATGTGCTGTATCTATGCAATAGAATATTACCCAGCCTTAAAAAAGAAAGAAATCTTGACATTTGCAACAGCATGGATGAACCTGTGAAACATTTTGTTAAGTGAAATAAGCTATGAACAGAAGTACAAACACTGCATGATTACACTCATATGAGGAATCTAAACCAGTCAAACTCTTGGACCAGGCGCAGTGGCTCATACCTGTAACCCTAGCACTTTGAGAAGCCAAAATGGGAGGATAGCTTGAGCCCAGGAGTTCAACACCAGATTGGGCAACATAGTGACACTCTGTCTTTACAAAAAATAATTTTAAAAAATTAGCCTGGCATGGTGGCATGTGCCTGTAGTCCCAGCTACCTGGGAGGCTGAGGTGAAAGGATCGCTTAAGCCTGGGAGGTCAAGGCTGCAGTGAGCCATGAATGCCCCACTGCACTCCATCCTGGGCAACAGAGTGAGACCCCATCTGAACAAAAAAGCAAAACAAAACAAAGACAAAAGAGTTGAACTCACAGAAATAGAGAATACAATAGTAGTTTTCAGGAGCTGGGGTGGGGGACTGGGTGGGCAAAATGAATTGTTCAGTGGGTATAAAGTTTCAGTTCTACAAGATGAGTAGGTTCTAGAGATCTATACTACACTATGCAGTATAGTGCCTTTAGTCAACACAGTATTGTCAACTCAAAATTTGTTAAGAGGGCAGATATCATGTTACACGTCCTTGCCACAAACACAAAACTAAACAAAAGGGACACAAGGAAACTTTGGGGGGTGTTGGTTATGCCTATTACCTCAGTTTTGGTGATGGTATCACAGGTGTTTACATATATTCGAACTCATCCAATTTAAATTGTCCACATTAAATACATGTAGTTTTTGTATATCAATCACACTTCAATAAAGCTGTTATAAAAGTTGCTTTCTGTGTGAAGTCTCCCCTGATCCTGCCTCTTCTCCCCCATCATGGGGTAGACTCACTCATGCAAGCTCCTGCAGTCTGAGCTCAAGCATTTTAATAATGTTTTCTCAAATGTCACTGCAGTCCCTTGGGTGCACATCCTTTCATTCCTCATAAGACTGCATGGACTTTTGAGGGGACGGTCTGAGCTTTGTTCATCTCTGAGTCTTTATCAGGGTGCCTCGCTCAGTAGACACTAATAGAAGATGCCCCTTGCATGAACGAATGAGTTCCCCAAGGCTGGAAGGCTGGGAGAGAAGGAAGAATGACACAGCTGGAAGATTCTCTGTCCATGCAAACAACTGAAATGGTTTTAGTATAAAGCTGCAGAGAGATCAAGAAAGGAGAGTGAGGCAGAAGGGTGCAGACAGTAGGGCTGTGATCACAGATGCCACACTTTCTCCATTCCTACAAGTCATGAAGAGGAGAGTGAGTGAAAGAGTCTGATATTAATATTAGCCCTTCTGGCCAGGCGTGGTGGCTCACACCTGTAATCCTAGCACTTTGGGAGGCTGAGGCGGGTGGATCACTTGAGGTCAGGAGTTCAAGACCAGCCTGGCCAACATAGTGAAACCCCATCTCTACTAAAAATACAGAAGTTAGCCAGGTGTGGTGGCACACGCCTGTAATCCCAGCTACCTGGGAGCCTGAGGCAGGAGAATCGCTTCAACCAGGAGGCAGAAGTTGTAGTGAGCCAATATTGCGCCACTGCACTCCAGCCTGGGTGACAGAGCAAGACTCCATTTAAAAAAATAAAATAAAATAAGGTGCGGGGGAAGAAAGAAAGAAAAATTAGCCCTTCTACAGTGGCATAAGAAAAATAGGTGGCATTTTATTCAGATTGTGTGTGTGTGTGTGTGTGTGTGTGTGTGTGTTGGAATTGGGTGGGGAGGCAAGAGAAGGGGACCCTGCCTTCACCTTGGATCAGTTGCATGTTCTCTCTGAACCTTGGTTCCTCACCAACTACATGGATATTTCAAGGTGCACACTATGGGATTGTTATGGTGATTAACTGGGATGAGGTCATGAAAGCATCCAAGTACATAGCTGGTGCTTGGTCAGTGTTTGTAACTGACGTTTATACTGTATCATTCTTGAGGGAGGACAATAAGAGTTTCAATTTATCAAGTACCTACCTTGTTTCAGGCACTATACTAGTCCTGCGTATGCATTATATTCAATACTTCAACAAATGGACAAGGACAATACCTTGCTGCTACAAAAACCAAAGCTCACATGTTAACAGAATTGCTCCAGAAGAAACAGCCTGAGTGGTGGGAGTGGTAGAGAAGAGCCTGAGCTTAAATCCCACTCTGCACAATAGGGAAACAATTCATTTTACTGCATGGTGGCTTGGCTCTCTCACCCCCTTTCACCTCTTCTATTGGGAGAAGTCAGGAAGCTGCAAAGGATACTTGTGAGCAGCTGGAGATTAGATTGAGAATTGTCTGCCACAGTCAGAAAAACCTGTGGAAGATTTGGAAGGTAGATCTGGAGTAGCAGCTGTGGTCCACCTCCTGCAGCTTCTGAAAGCAAGGAGGTGGGTCTCATGGGAGTGCATTTTGAGTCCAGACACCCCGTTCTAGGGAGCCAGCAGAGTCAGTGGAGTCAGGGGCAGCCTCCTCTTTTCTGGTTCTTCTCTATAGTGCTGTCAGTAGCTCAGCAGCAGGCCCATTCCTTGATCTGTCCAGTGATTTTATGGGCACCCACTTCCTTGTATTAAACCTTTCTGTGTTCCAAATACCTGGGGCAGTTCCTCTCTCTTGCACTGGATCCTCACACACACAATCGTGGAGCAGAGGTAGATTGGAACTCTTGAGTAATGAGTTCCAAGAATATGATTATGCACATAATCATCACATCATTTGCATATAGTTACTCTCTTTTCATCACCCTACCTCCTCTATTTACCCTTAACATAATAGATTTTTAAAAATAGATAATAGATGTTGTCTGATTTTTTCCCCCTCTGGTACATGTTTTTTGAAGCATAAGAGTAAATGAAGGGTTGGACTAGGATGTTGAGGAAAAGCCTCACCTAGGTGAATGTGAGTGTCCTCCATCATGTCTGAGCATGTGTGGTGATGGATGTGAGCTCTAGGACCCTGAGTATGAGCACAGTTCATTGAACGGACTCTTCTAGCTCATGAAGTTAATCAAATGATCTAATGATTGTGATTGCGAATGACATAAGACAGAACGTGACAGCTTGTGCTCCTTGGTTTGTTTCAGGCCAGGAAAGGATGATGGAAAAGGTAATATTTAAAGACATTAAAGCTGAACTTACAGAATAATTTATATTTATGAATATGGTCTATCCCCGGGCATCATATGAATGCATCATAATGTTACAGAACCACAGCAGCAAGAGTGTATTGATGTGTGGGTCTCCTCCCCTCCCCACCCCAACTCTGGCCACAGTAGAGCATCGAAGGATTGTCTGCTTCCTTTGTTTTCCTCCCTGGAATTTCAAAGCAAGAAAGCATCATCATGACTGGGAACATTCTCCCCATAAAAGCAGCCAGGCAGAATAAGAACTAAACTCTCAGGGAATCTGTACCTTGAGTGACGTAGGAAAACTGAAGACTTTGGACAAAGAGAAAGGTGATGTTCAGATTTCTTGTGGCAGAGGAGAAATGAAGAGGTAGACAAGAGGCCAAGATGGCTGTGCCCAGTTGGTGTAGGTGAGGGATATGTTGTGCCTGGGTTGGGGGCAATTTGTAAGGAGCATAAGAGAGTCCCTGGTACTTATGGGTTTATATAATACAAAAAGAAAAGAAAATTAGTAAGAATTGTGTGAACCTATTCATGGGAACAGGCATGAATCAATGAATCATTATTTGGGATTTAAAAAAAAAAAAAAGAAAGAAACTATAATGTTTCCAGGCTGGACATCATGAGGTTTTATAAGGTTTACAGACAAAAGTAACTTTCTTATAAGAATTTTTCCATGGGGGTATTTAAAAAAAATGTTTTTTGGATTAGTAAAGAAGAGGAAAAGAAAAAAAGAAGGAAGACATTCACACAACATAGATTTCCTGAACACCTGTTCTGTTCTAGGCCTGGCTCTAGATCGTGGAAAAAGAGGTGACTAATATAATAGTTCTTGCTCTCAAGCAGCACACAGACAGCAGAGAGATGAATGTGTTTGTATAAGAAACTGCTAGCCATAAGTGTTATAAAGTAAGTGTTAGCAAAGTGCTTAAGGATTCTGAAGATCATAGCATTCTCTCCCATTATACACGCAGTTGAGTAAGATATCTTTAAGGAGATGCTAAGGGGGAGTGGCCAAGTGAATCCCCACCTTAGTATTTAGGGAATAACAAGATGCTCAGTTTTGCTCTGTTGCCCAGGCTGGAGTGCAATGGCGTGATCTCGGCTCACCGCAACCTCTGCCTCCGGGGTTCAAGCGATTCCCCTGCCTCAGCCTCCTGAGTAGCTGGGATTACAGGCATGCACCACCGCGCCCAGCTGATTTTGTATTTTTTTTTTTTTTTTTAGTAGAGATGGGGTTTCTCCATGTTGGTCAGGCTGGTCTCTAACTCCTGACCTCAGGTGATCCACCTGCCTCGGCCTCCCAAAGTGCTGGGATTACAGGCGTGAGCCACCGCGCGTGGCCTGAAGTGCAATATTAATGATAATAATAGGCACATAAAAACAAACATTTATTGATTGTTATTTTGCCGACACTGTACTGAACATTGAAAAAACATTACCTCACTTCATCCTCATATGGACTCTGTGTGCCTTTGAGATAGTCACTGGGATTCTCCTTCTTTCACGGAAGAAGAAACCAAGCTTTCATCAGGGTGTGTGATTGACTTCCAGGTCATACATCTGCCAAGTTCTCAGGCTGGGACAGAGTTATCGATGCCAAAGCTCATGCCCTGAGGCTCCACGCCTGTGAGAAGCAGGAGGAGGGCTGCCTGGGAAGGAAGGCTAGGGCAGGGCAGGACTGAGGCATTTTGACTTCATTTGTATTAATAGATAATGAAGAGAGGAGTCTGGGGTCAGTGCGCAGGCTGCACTGAGAAGGAAAGAGACTGGAAGAAAGAGCCCACTGGAAATCACCAAAGGTGTTGGTGGGGCAACAGGGTGGTGTCAATGGGATCAGAAACAGTGAGTGTTACATTGTCATTCATTTTAGGCAGTGTTGTTGTATGTTGTGCGTGTGTGTGTGCTTGTGCATGCGAATGTATATATGTAAACATGCTATACAAATTAAACTAATTAACCATAGCCAAGGGGCACTTAGCTAACCATTTAACAGACACCACCTGGGGATATAAACTCAGAAAGGCGCGTATTACTGGGTATGCCATTATAAGCCCTTCTGTGGTGCTTAAACTCCCATGATACTCAGACGGTTCGTTAAATAACAGAAAGGCTGCTATGAGAAGGTGGATGCTTTTCTATTGGTGAAATTAATAGTGTTTAAGTTATACGGAGTCATGTCAAAAATGCATAAAGCTCTTTAAAATCATTAAGAACATAGCCCAAGAGAAAAATGGTTAAGAGGCAAAAACACATTTCCTAGTCAATAAACACTTGATTTATATATGATCATGGCAATGCCAATCAAGACGACACTGAGATGTTATTTCATACCATACATTTGGCAATAATTTTAAAATGGACTGTACTAAGTGTTGGAGAAATGTGTGTCACAAAACAGCTCTTTTACATTGCTGGAAAGAGAATCCACTTTTGTAATCATGATGGAGGACAACTTGACATTTTCTCCTAAACCTTTATTTACCCTGTTGGCCCAGGAATTCTGCAACTCAATTTATACTCAAGAAAAACTTTCATATATGTGTAACAAAAGACTTGTACAAGAATGTTTGTAGCAGTAT
The DNA here is from genome assembly GCF_000001405.40 of Homo sapiens. NCBI lineage: Eukaryota > Metazoa > Chordata > Mammalia > Primates > Hominidae > Homo > Homo sapiens. Next base: position 8,080,336 of record NC_000002.12, on the reverse strand, counting down.
CATCAGAGAAAAAACAACTGAGAGTAACCTAAATTTGTCCATTAACTAGAAAGTGAAAGAATACATAGATATGAAATAGAGCAAACTACAACCACATGCAACAATGTGAAGAAATATTAATAACTTACTATGAGTAAAAACAGTAAGTCCCAAAGAGCACATTCAACCTATCTTTAAGTTAAAAATAATTGCATAGTAGGTATATATATTTATGGGGTAGATGACATTTGATACAGGTATAATATATACACCCATAAATATATACACCTATGTACTCACAAAAGTTAAAAGTTGAGAAGATATTTCAATAATCTCAAAGAATCTCCTTATGATATATATTAACTACAAAGAAAAAATAGTAACTTTAAAGGGGAGAAACGGGGCAGATACCACTTCAGCCAAGTGATTAAGGTCAACAGCACCAGTAGTATGACATTCAGATATCTTGGACTCCTTGATGTGATACACCTGAAAGATTATGCTACTTGCATGATATTCTTGCTATATATATATTTTTTCCTCAAAATCAGACCAAGCTATATCAAAGTATATTTTATAAAATGACTTGACAAGTACTCTTTAAAAAGCCATACTCATGAGATACCAGGGCATACTGAGGAACTGTCTTGGAGGGTTTTAGAGGAGGCTAGGAGACATGAAAATTGAATGCAAAGTAAAAAACTCAGATTAGATCCTGGAACAGAAAAAGAATTTAGGAAAACCAGGAAAAATCAGAACAAAGTGAGTAGTAGAGTTTACACAATGGCGCTGATGAAAAATTCTTAGTTATGTTAATTTATTATGTGTTTAGGGTGAAAATATTAGGGAAACCTGATTGAAAGGTGTATGGGAACTCTGTGTGATTTTTGTAACTTTTATATAATGCTAAAATTATTACAAAATACAAAATTCTAAACAGTTAAAAAATATGCACATACATGCTTTTTTTGGGAACACATACAGATACAACAGGTGAACATGAACAGGAAAGCAAAGGAATATTGATCCCAGAGTTCTGGTTATTCCAGGTGAAGTTGGTTTTGGACTGGAAGCACCACTGATGTGACTTACTTTCAAGGTATTAGTCTTTTTATTTTTCAGCTGGTGGTTGCATCAGTCCTTAATACATCATTAAAATACTTCCTAAATAAAACTGGTGAAGAAACGTATGTGGACTGGCTTGAAATATTATGCAGTCAATCCTGCCCTTGTGCGAACAAGAGAGAAAAATCCAGTGAGCCTAATTGCCAGCATCCTTTGGAATAGGCTCCTCAGCTTAGTGTTCCAAGCCTGACTGTTTTTAGCTGATTCTGGATGGATTTTTGTCACCTGACTTGAACTAGAATGTCAGCTGAATGGTGCTGCTAGAATATTGTCACATCAGCATCGAGTGAATATTTCACACAAAACAGAGTGTTGGAAAGGATGAGAGCTGGGCTTCATGACTCCAACACAACAGGTTGTTGGATGCCATTTGTGCCTACTGACTAATAAGGATGTATGTGTCAGAATTCAGTCTGAGGCTTATTTTTGTTATGACATGCCATCAGAGGTTGTGAGAGAAAAACCTTAGAGCTTTCACTAACTCCAACCATTGGAGGCTCAGACCTCACCAAAAAGTATGGCGTAGCTGTGGATGCAATGAATTTGGCTTTGGGAGATTTGCAACAATGGTTTTTTTATAAGAGTTAATGTATGCAGACTAAAAAATGGGTTCGATGAAAGAAGTAGCCATGGGAAATATTTCGGAAATTATACTAAAGTGTGGGTCTCATATAGAATGACAGCTTCGTTGATCAAAGAAAGAAATCTGTAGAAAGCACCAGTTTAAAGAGAGCAGTGATGAGTAGGATTTTCTATTTGCTGAGTGTATTTGCTGGGCAGAGTTGAGTTAAAGCACGTCAGTACCTGGAACTTCAGGGTTAACGTGGTGGAGAGAAAAGTTGTGGAAAACACCATTTTTTAAAAAGTCAATCCCATAGAAGTGCTAGATGAAGCTTTAGGAGTAGTGTGAACTCCAAAAAGAGAAAAAAGAGAAAGAAAAGGCCAGTGTGGGAGCATGGGACCACCTTAGGGTAAGGCTAGACAACACAAAGGAATGGGGTACGGAGCAGCAGTGCCATTGGGAGTTAGAGGAGATCTGTAATGCTAAACTATTTCAGAAGGAGAAGAGAGAAACAAACAGAACAGCAGCAAGGGAGGCTCAGGAGCAGTGGCTGACTGTGTAAGTGTTCCAGAGACTCACCAGCAAAGAACACAAGACAGGGACAGCCGGGTGGGGAATGGTGACCAGCCCTGAAGTGGGCTGTGGCACTAGACTAGTGGACAAGTTCAAGTCCAGTGCAAAACAAAAACACGGGCCCCTTGTTCTAACATTCATAAGACTTTTTCGATGGTGACAACCGAGTGAGTATTAAACTAAGCACAGGACTCTCCTCGGTGCAGAGCCTTGTGTGACTGTACAGCTCCTATGGCTACAAAGCTGGCCCCACACAGATGACAGCCAGCCAGGATGATGCTAAATTCCAGGGTTCTGAGAAAGGATATTAATACTTGGGCTGTGAAAGGAGAGAATCAGGATGGCAGATAGAGGAGCATCTGAGCAAGTAAAAATTCTTTCTTGGCTGGGTGCGGTGGCTCACGCCTGTAATCCCAGCACTTTGGGAGGCCAAGGCGGGCGGATCACGAGGTCAGGAGATCGAGACCATCCTGGCTAACACGGTGAAACCCCATCTCTACTAAAAATACAAAAAAAAAAAAAAAATTAGCCGGGTGTGGTGGCGGGTGCCTGTAGTCTCAGATACTCGGGAGGCTGAGGCAGGAGAATGGCGTGAGTCAGGAGGCAGAGCTTGCAGTGAGCCGAGATCGCGCCACTGCACTCCAGCCTGGGTGACAGAGCGAGATTCCATCTCAAAAAAAAAAAAAAAAAAAAAAAAAAAACTTTCTTTTTTTAGATGGGGCTTTTGGAGAATGGTTTTGTCGTTGTGGTTGTTTGTTTGTTTTCAGAAAAGAAGTTAGGCAAGATACAAAGATTGAAAATGCTGGAGAAAGAGCCTGATATGGTTTGGCTGTGTCCCCATTCAAATCTCATCTTGATTTATAGTTCCCACAATTTCCACTTGTTGTGGGAGGGACCTGGTGGGAGGTAACTGAATCATGGGGATGGGTCTTTCCCATGCTGTTCTTGTGATAGTGAATAAGTCTCATGAGTTTGGATGGTTTTAAAAAGGGGAGTTTCCCTGCACAAGTTCTCTTCTCTTGTCTGCCACCATGTGTGACATGCCTTTTACCTTCCGCCATGATCGTGAGGTCTCCTCAGCCACGTGGAACTTTGAGTCAATTAAACCTCTTTTTCCTTATAAATTACCCAGTCTCAGATATGTCTTTATCAGCAGCATGAAAATGAACTAATACAGGGCCATAGTCCATTCAAATCCAGAACTAGCATGTTAAACCTAGGTAGTTTCATTTCAGGAAAGCTACCTGATGTCTCCAGACAGGGCAAGAGGTGTAGACATACTTTGATCTGGGAAGCCCAGGGAACGTGCTCCAGGCCCACACCATTGTGAAAGACAGTAAACCTGAATGTCTGTGTTCAAGTTTACCAAATCCTGGACACCAACAATCAGAAAACATACCTTTAAACAAAAAGGAAGCAGGTTTAATGAAACCGAAAGGAAGGAGCCCTTCACACAGTGGTTAGAAATCAGCCACTGGCTGGGGCAATCAGACGTTAAGTAACAATTACTCCACTCTTTTAAACTGCCTTGGTTTTACTTTATTTTTTTCTAATTCATACTACATTTAACTGTTTAGGTTATGAAAGCTGATTGTGGAAGTAGGTCAAGTGTATTAGATAAATTGATGGGTGACTGATATGCATTGGGTTGTATGTGAACTTGGGAAGCATGATCTATTTGCTGAAGTTCACACTCAAGTCCCCCTACAGGGGGTCTTCTGAGTCCAATATCAGAGAGACGACATGGAAAACATGGGAGAAGAATTGATTCATTCATCAGCTGGGATTTAGACAGACACACCCAAAATCTGAATTTCTACTTTGCCCCTAATAGCAGGATAGCTTGGAACAAACTCCTTTTGCCTTGATCTGCTCACCCTTTTCTTTTTTTCTGAGGCAGGATCTCACTGTGTTTCCCAGGCTGGAGTGCAGTTGCACCAGCACGGCTCATTGCTGCCTCAGCCCCCTGGGCTCAAGCATTTCTCTTGCCTCAGCCTCCTGAGTAGCTGGGACTACAGGCATGTGCCACAACACTCAGCTAATTTTTTATATTTTTTGTAGTGATGGGGTCTCACCATGTTACCCAGGCTGGCATCCAACGCTGGGCTCAAGAGGTCCTTGTGCCTCAACCTCCCAAAGTACTGGGATTACAGGTGTGAGCCACCACGCTGGGACTTCGGCTCACCTTTAAAATGGGGTTATGACAACAATTCCTCATGAAAGGAGTGAAGATGGAAAGATTCCACAAAACTGAATGTCACTAGGCACACTGAAGGAACTCAATAGAGTTTCTTCTCCCTTTTTCATTACACGTTATGGAGAGAGAAAGGCCTAAGAAGCAGATGTGGAGGCTTGGAGGAAAATAAGAAACATAAACACGCACACAGACCAGGAGAGAGACTCAAGCAAAAGACAGACAAACTATGTTGAAATGACACATTCCACACCGGAGCCAGGGGCTTCTCTGCCAGTGCTCTCTTCTTCCTTTTCCCATTTTTTTTTTTTCTGAAATGAAGTCTCACTCTGTCACCTAGGCTGGAGTGCAGTGGCCATGATCTTGGCTCACTGCAACCTCTGCCTCCTGGGTTCAAGTGATTCTCCTGACTCAGCTTCCTGAGTAGCTGGGATTAGAGGCATGCCCCACCACGCTGGCTAATTTTTGTATTTTTAGTAGAGATGGGGTTTTTCCATGTTGGCCAGGCTGGGGTCTCAAACTCCTGACCTCGGGTGATCCACCCACCTCAGCCTCCCAAAGTGCTGGGATTACAGGCGTGAGCCACCTCGCCCGGCCTCATCTTCCTTTTCTTAAAGAACAAATACAGTTATGCTTGTAACACATGCTTTAAACCCTTGGAATCCTCCCATGCATATTCTAGCAGACTGGTAGAAAGTGGACCAGAGACACAGCTACACTTCGATCATAGAAAATGTTTGGTTACTTGAGTCTGTCGGAAAACATGATGCCAGCCTTCCACAATAGAACTAAGCAACTCCAATTTTATCATTATGATGGACATTGAGGTTGGTTATAGTTTTAAAAATACCCTTTATTGAACCTGAAATTTGTAAATGTTTATTATAGAAAATTTGGAAAATACATTTAACTAATAAGAATAAAATGAAATCTGTCTATACCCATTTCCCTTTTAATCACTTTAAATATTTTGATGTATTTCCTTCCATCTATTGTACTTTCATATGTACACAGTTGAGATTATATTGTGTCATTCACCCAATTTTACTCATTAATATTATAAATATTCCTCCAAATCGTTATAAACTTTTAGACAACAAATATATTATGGCTATAGGCTATTCCACTGAATGTATCTGCCATAAATTATTTCACCATTTCCCTATAGTTGGACATCTGAGGACATTCCATTTTTATTTTATGATAATAGTAAACATTATGACAATGACAAATATCTTGCTGCATAAAAGTTATTTTATTGATGCTTTTCGGGTTTTCTTTTCTTCATAATTATTGGTACAATTGTAATTACCAGGTCAAAGGACATTACTATTTTTAGACTTATTCTGTGTGTGTGTGTGTGTGTCTAATTAAATTCATTTTCTAAAGCATTGCACCACTATATACTCTCAGGAGCAGTATATGAGCTGCACACATATCTTCTAAAACAAAGTGTTGTTTGATGTATGTGAACCTTTCTGTGCCAAGGCTGAATCTTAGCAAACAATGGCTATTTTTCCTGCCCAGTCTTTGGGATTTCATGACTTCTGGATGGTCAAGAAGATTTGCAAATATTTTCTGCAAGTGACAGCTTTGAAGCATTGAGACAGGGGGAGGTTTCAGGTAAGAGTTACGGGAACGTACAGGAGCAAAGACTGGCCTTCTTGGGAAATGTCCAAGGCTTTAGGCAGATTTTAATTGGAACAGGAGCAATTCCTTTTTCTGCCGTGATAAGTATCGTACGTTTCTTTTTGTCTGGCAGCAACTTCCATAGTACCATCAGATACTCTCTACTATCTACTAATTTAATCTGTCATACTCTGTGCCACCATACGTTGCTGCTTATATTTAGAATCAGCTGTCTCCAAATCCCAGGCATATTTCAAGCCCTACTAAGCCAGAGAATGTGTGTTATGACCCCGTTGTTATATAAAACACATACACACATATATTTTAAGAACCCACCCTGAAAAATATGGCCTTTGCTTAAAAAAATAGGAAAAGAAGACAGTTTACACTGCTGTGTAGCAAAGACCATATTTTCTCGTATTTAGGAACAAAGACATGTCAGGCTTTATTGAGCACATCACTAACTATATAACTAGCGTTAAACACTCTATTTGCAACTGTTGCTGTGTATTTTGTGTGTGATTATCACCCCTAGATCTGCATCCTATAAAAAGATATTTCTGTTTGCTTAATTATAAAGCTCTTTATGAACAGGCTCATCTGTAAATAGCTTGGTGCAGCTGAAATAGAAATATAATTATAATGAAGGCAGATGTTTGTGAGATACTGGCTCATGAAACTTGTTCAGAATCTACAAAGGAGAAACGTTGTGAGCCTGTGTTTACTGGTGGGCCAAAGCTGGGAGCAAGGAGTGTTTACTTCCATACTTATTTTAGAGTCCTCTTATTTCCTCTCCACCTTTGCCTTCCTAGGTCTCTGTAATTTGGAATAGGCGTGGCTTACCTCATCTCATTACTGAGCTGTGGGGGAAACTGATCTACATAAGAGACTGAGACAAGGCCAAAAAAAAAAAAAAAAAAAGAAAAAGAAAATATAATCACTAAGTTGAGTTTAGGGGGAGGAAGCAGAGTTTTTGGCCATGGTGCCATCATTTCTGTAATGTGGGTCAAGTTTTAATGGCTTGGAATTTGGAGTGAAAGATTTTGGTGTGATCAAGAGGATGTTTCTTCAAGTGATTAAAATTTCCTTTCTCTAAATGCAAATTTTCTAGAAGACACACACAAGAAAGGCCTAATGTGTAGAAAGGAGAAGGCTAAAAAAATGCTGATGTAACAGCTTTTATTTTTTTTTCCCCATTCTGGAAAGTGGATAGATATACTGATAAATGACTCTGGTAAACATAGGATAACACTGTAGTTCGTATGAGATTTTAAAATTAAAAAAAACCATTTGATCAAAGCATTATTTTCATTCTGATAATCATTTGTTTGATTTAAACCTCTTTGAATCAAATTAAATTTTTCCTGAATTCCTTTGTAAGTGGCTATGGTTTTAAAGTCCCTATATTTATTTGTCCGAGCTTTCTGAGTTATTATTGTGTTTGGGTCTTTTTGGCACTTTGAAAGTGTTAGTGCTTAATTTTTAATATTCTAATAATTGAATGAATTAAAAAGCAGGTTAATCTCCCTAAGATAATCCACCTATGGGCACATTCTTTATGGTCACACTTTCAAGCTATTTACGGCTAGGTGTTGGTATTTCAGAATTTGTGTAGGGAGATTAGCAGGCATTAATAACTATGGCTTTCAAGTGTAAATAAATGTGAATTATTTTCCATGTCTACCTCGTGTATTGAAATATATGTGTCCCTGCGATACTGAATATGAATTGTACCTTTAAAAATCCAGTTAATTACATTTTAACTATTAGATAAGATTTGGAGTCTTATGGAGGATCATGAATTCTTTCATAAAATGACTAATTTATTTTATTTCTTCATTTCTATCTACCTCTTTATATGCAATTAAGTAGACATAATAGATATTACATCTGTATAAACCTATGTATTTATATATCTCATATACAACTATTCTCATTGTATGTGTTTGTATGTGTATATATATTATACTGATCTTGTATCTTTATGTTTCTCACACTCGAGCACACATCATCCCCCAAAATTATTTTGCCACATGTACTGGCAATCGGAAATCAGTAATTATGAATGTAAATATCTATTGTAAAAATAGTATTCCTGAATTATCTACCATCTTAAGGGAATAGTCTCAGTAAGTGAATTTGTTATGTATATATTCCTTCAAATGCCTCTGCTTTCCAAATTGTCAATGTTTGAGTGGAAACCGTTCCACTGTGGCCTGCTGGGAGCTGCAAGTACCCTACATCTCTCAGGTGCCACTTGGCAGGAAGCTCAAGGTGAAACAGCAGCCAGAAATTGCTGTCAGAATTTTCCTAGTACAGCAAAAGATGGCAAAAACAATTATGCATTGGGTCGGATGCAGTGGCTCATGCCTATAATTCCAGCACTTTGAAAGGCCGAGGCTGGCGGATCACCTGAAGTCAGGAGTTTGAAACCGGCCTGGTCAACGTGGTGAAACGAACCCTGTCTCTACTAAAAATACAAAAATTCGCCGGGCTTGGTGGTGTATGCCTGTAATCCCAGCTACTCGGGAGGCTGAGGCAGGAGAATTGCTTGAACCTGGGAGGCGGAGGTTGCAGTGAGCTGAGACCGCGCTACTGCACTCTGGCCTGGGCGTCACAGTAATACTCTCTCTCTCTCTCTCTCTCTCTCTCTCACACACACACACACACACACACACACACACACACACAAAATCCAAAAAATAATTATGTATTAAGTGTCCGCTATATGCCAAGCTCTATTTCAAATGCTTTACATATATAACATATACACAAAGTAGGTTACTATTCCTGGTGTTCAGTTGAGGAATTGAGACTAAGAGATACTAAGCATTGTCTAGGTTTGCAATGATAAATAATGCTGTGGGCGCATTCCTGTACATATTAAACTTAGCTTCTCTATCTGATTAACAGTGTTCCTTTTAATTCTAAGTCTTCTTAAAGATTCTTGATATATACTTCCAGATTTGCCTCCTGAAGGAAAATATATGTGTGCTTTTTTCAGAGTATTCTTGCTAGCATTGAAAGCTGCCATCCACAAATCCTTAGTGCATGGATAGGCAAAATATGCTATCTCATTTTACCAATCAGTGAGGTTGAACCCCATTTCAAATGTGTTAACCACTTGTGTTAGTTCTGTGAATTTTATGTTTTAGTCATTTTCATATTTTAGGAGGATTTTGAGTGTTTTTGAGTTTCATTTTTGGTGAACAGGTGGTCTTTATATATTAAGAACCTCGACCTTATATCATGCTTACTATGAATGTTTCCAGTTTTTTTTTTTGCCTTATTTTTTGCTATATAATGTGGCTATTATATTATGTTTCATCATTCAAACTTACAGATATTTTTTCTTTTATTTTTTATTGTTTAATTGTTTAGGAAGTCCTTCTCTATAAGGATTGAGTTGAGATTCACACATATTTTCCTTTTTGTGTTTTATTTTTAAAATATTTAACTCTCTGATACATATAGAACTTATCTTTGGTGAAGTGTAAGGCAAAGTTCTACCTTTAGTTAACATTAAAATGTTTTTAAGCACTAGTTACACTGAATCATCTTTACCTTTTGGTTTGTGATGTATTCTGTATTGAAAATATCACACACATTTCCATGAGTGGTGTGGAGGGGTATGTGTCTTCCATAACTCTTATCTTCTATAACTATCTTTTCTCTTCTATTTACTTATCTGTTCCTTCTTCTTACACAAATACCACAATGTCTTTTTCCTTAATTTTGTTTTAAAACAAGTTTTATTACTTAGGTAACCTTCCCGGCATTATTCTCTTAAGAAGATTTAAGGTTAGGTCCAGGCACAGTGGCTTACACCCATAATGCCAGTGTTTTGGGAGGCCGAGGGAGGAGAGTCACTTGAGGCAATGCATTTAAGACCACCTTGAGCAACAGAGCAAGACCCAATCTCTTGGAAAATAAAAATAAAAGAAATTAGCCAGGCGGGGTTGTATGCGCCTGTAGTCCTTGCTACTCGGGAGGCTGAGGCAGGAAGATCTCTTGAGCCTGGGAGTTCAAGGCTGCAGTAAGCTATGATTGTGCCACTGAGCTCCAGCCTGGGCAACAGAGTGAGACCCTGTTGCTAAACAACAAGAATATTTAAAAGCTTTTTTCAATATATATTCCTCATTATGAATTTAGAATTGGTTGTAAAGATACAAAAATTGTCAGTTGGAATTTTGATTAGAATTTAGTTAATAATTAATTAGAAAAATAATTTTACTGACATTTTCAGTGAAATCTTGCTGAAGTGAACTAATTTGTAAGAGAGCTGGCAGCAGCTTCGGGAAATTGAATATATTTTGTGTTCATTAATGACAAATGGCTGTGTCTCAGAAGAAAAAGGGTGACTTCACCACCCATCCACTCTCCCCTTCGGCTCGGGGCATGGATTTTCTAAAAGCCGTTTCACCATGCTTAGAGGCTTAAAAAAAAATGCTTCCTAGTTCAGGACTATTGGAGGTGGTGGAGGTAGTTGGGCGTCTGAGTCTTAAATAAGAATGCATGGTCTCCTGCCTTCTTCCTATGCGTCTCTGCTTCCTTCTTCCTAATAATTGGTTTTGCTGTAGCCTGTCAGGGTGTTAGGTCATCACCAATGTGGCTGTTCTGATGTTCTCTAAACCTTCACTCTTTGGGATTGTGAAGTTTGAGTGGGTTCTGTCTAGAGGCAGAGACAAGGGTCCCCTCCCACCTCTGAACACTCCATTTGTCACTTGGGGTCCAGACAGCTCTGCTTTACACGGATCCTCCCAAATCTCCCTAGGGCGGAGAGATTCTCCAACTCTCTGGAAGCAGGAACTTCTCACAGTCTTGAAGATTATTGTGGTCCCCACAGGACTTTTTTTTATTTGGGTTGCATACACTGATACTGATTATGTTAGAAATTGAAAGAGAAATATTTTGCACAAGGATGACATGCAAATTCGTCCTTGTGCAAAGCATTCCATTTTTTTTTCTTTTTCTTTCTTTCTTTTTTTTTTTTGAGAGAGAGTCTCGCTCCTTCTCCCAGGCTGGAGTGCGGTGGCGCAATCTCGGCTCACTGCGAGCTCCACCTCCCAGGTTCACGCCATTCTCCCGCCTCAGCCTTCCAAGTAGCTGGGACTACAGGAGCCCGCCCCCACACCCGGCTAATTTTTTGTATTTTTAGTAGAGACGTGGTTTCACCGTTTTAGCCAGGATGGTCTCGATCTCCTGACATCGTGATCCTCCCGCCTAAATGCTGGGATTACAGGTGTGAGCCACTGCGCCTGGCCTTTCTTTTTTTTTTTTAAAGAGACATTTTTAGAGCTGAAAAATGCACCCCTTTTACATACTGTCAGAACAGTGGTGCCATCAGGTTCCTGTAGGCTCCGGGAAACTCCATTGAGAGAATGAGAATGGAAACAGGGAAAGCGTGTCTTAGTGTCACTATGAAAAAAGCTTTCAATCCTCAGATCCCTTGCAAAGGTCTCTGGGGTCCCAAGGCCTCAGACGTGCCTTTGATAGCTACTGCCTTGGAGAAGCCTGGCCACTTTTGCCTCTGGTTTCTCTCTGTCTGGGTATTTAAAATCAGTCCAAGGGATGAGGGGTGGGGAGGTGCTTTTTCATTTCTTTCTCTAATTTATTTTCTCCCAGTTTTAAAATAAAAGCTCTTGTGTTTGTCAAGCAACACAAAGAGAGGTTTGGTGTGTGCTGGGAGAGGGAGAAGGGCGCTGGGGATGCGGGCACTGCCCTCTCACCCGCAGCAGGCCCCACACAACCCTGGCCTGGAGGAAACTCAGCCTGGCGGAGCTTAAGCCTAATCGGGTGCCAGGAGAGCCACTCAGGTGTCACTGCAGAAGGGAGCCCAGGAAAGGATGGGAGCAGAGAAAAGGAACCCCTGAGCTGGTCTCAGAAAGTGCTCAGGGAAAAGTCTTCTGAAGGCAGCCACACTTCAACCGAGTTCTGGAGATGCCGTGAGCATTTTGTAGGAAACTTATAGGTCTGTTTGCAGAGTTGCGAGAACCATCAGGAGTGCTGGGACACACAAAGTCAGGAACGTTAAGGGAATGAAACATTGTGAGGTCTCAGATGTTCATTTTGGCTCGAAGCTAGAGTGCAGGCAGGGAGTGGGAGAGGAGGGAGGGGCAGGCAGAGAAACCAGACTCAGCCTCTAGGGAGCAGACAGGGCCAGGAGCACGTGCTCCTGCAGAGGGGAGCACGTGCTCCTGCAGAGGGGAGCACGTGCTCCTGCAGAGGGGAGCACGTGCTCCTGCAGAGGGGAGCACGTGCTCCTGCAGAGGGGAGCACGTGCTCCTGCAGAGGGGAGCACAGGCGGCCAGCAACCAGGACAGGTTGGTGCTGTGTGCCAGCCTCTCATTTTTTTAATATTTGGACTCTCCCCGCCCAGATTGATCATAAGCTTTCTTGACGAATAACACTGAGTCTTCGAACCTCTATAAGTGCCTGGGAACAGTGTTGAGTAGGTAACGGGTTGATAGATAGGGCTCCTTCAGGTTCAATGTATTTTGGGTTCCTGGTTCATTTGCTAGGGCTGCAAAGTACCCAGATGGGGTGACTGAAACAACGGAAATGTATTGGCCCAGTTTCAGAGGCCGGGAGTTCGAGATCAAGGTGTGGGCAGGGTGGGGCAGGTGGCAGCTGAGGGTCTGCTCCAGACCTCTCTCTGTGGCTTGTCTTCTCCCAGGGTCTTCATGGTGTTTTCTCTCTGCAGATCCACATTCCTCCTCCTCCTCCTCCTGCTTCTCCCTCCTCCTTTTTTTCCTTCTTTTTTTTTGAGGGAGTCTTGCTCTGTAGCCCAGTCTAGAGTGCAGTGAGGCGATCTTGGCTCACTGCAACCTCTTCCTCTCGGGTCCCGGTTCAAGCAATTCTCCTGCCTCAGCCTCCCAACTAGCTGGGATTACAGGAATGTGCCACCATGCCCAACTAATTTTTATATTTTTAGTAGAGATGGGGTTTCACCATATTGGCCAGTTCAAGACCTCCTGACCTCATGATCCGCCCACCTCGGGCTCCCAAAGTGCCGGGAATACAGGCATGAGCCACTGCACTCAGCCATTTCTTCTCCTTATAGTGACACCAGTTGTATTGGATTAGGGCCCATCATAATGGCCTCATTTTACCTTAATTACCTCTATAAGGACCCTGTCTCTTCATATGATCAGGTTCTAAGGTAAGGGTAGTTAGGTCTTCAACACAGGAATTTTTGCGGGGGTGGGGCAGGTTCTGACAGCTCAGCACAACAGTGCCCTACCAGTTTGCTGTCGTTGATGGAAATTCAATTTAATTTTTATAAGCTTGCTACTCTTGATTTTTAAGTCTTCATTTGGGTGGCTTTTTTCTACTCTCATTCTATATGACTTTTTGACTTGAGTTTGTATTAGTTACTACAACTCTCTTGTTTTCAAGTAACAGGTTCCAGTTGAGCCCTCATTCTGGAGTTGCCTTACATACTCTCCTCATTTGCAAAGAAGAGAGTTGAATGCAATTCACTCTGATTTTTATTTATGGGCAGAATGTGGCCTTATCAGTTTAGCTGTGAGAAAAGCACCAGATCCAATGTGGCATGGTAGATAGAGTGCAGGGTCTGCAGTGAGAGTCGTGGCTTGGCATTGGGCTTGCACTGGTTCCCACTGAGATGTCTCCAGGCCCGTCCCACTTCTATGACTCTCAGGTGTTTTTGTTTTTGTTTTTGTTTTGCAAAATGTGGATAGTATTCATGGAGTACTTGAGAAATTAAAAGAGATTAATATCAGTTACTGTAAGTGAAAACTAAAAAAGCACTACACATTATTTTTTATTTTTTTGAGATGGAGTTTCACTCTGTCATCCAGGCTGGAGTGCAATGGCGCAATCTCAGCTCACTGTAACCTCTGCCTCCTGGGTTCAAGCAATTCTCCTGCCTCAGTCTCCCCAGTAGCTGGGACTACAGGTGTGCACCACCACACCCAGCTAATTTTTTTTTTATATTTTTAGTAGAGATGGGATTTCACCATCTTGGCCAGGATGGTCTGGATCTCTTGACTTTGTGATCTGCCCGCCTTGGCCTCCCAAAGTGCTGGGATTACAGGCGTGAGCCACTGCGCCCAACCCACATTTTTAAGTTGTTACAATTATTACATTATTTTATCTGAATGAAACCTTCCATATATTTGTTTTTGTTTTGTTGTTTTTTCTTTTAGAGACAGGGTCTCACTCTGTTGCCCAGGCTGGAGTGCCATGGTATGACCATAGTTCACTGCAGCCTTGAACTCCTGGACTCCAGCCATCCTCCTGCCCCAGCCTCCCTAGTACCTGGGGCTTAGGTGTGTGCCACCCTGCCTGCCTATTTTTTATTTTTTTGTAGAGATGAGATCTCATTGTATTGGCCAGGCTGGCCTCAAACTCCTGGCCTTAAGCAATACTTTCACCTCCGTCTCCCAAATTGCTGGGATGATAGGTGTGAACTGCTGCACCCAGCCCAAATGTTTAACAGAAGCAGGATTATAGACACCTTCACCTCACTAGAAACTGGCCTGGTCTTATTAGAGTTAAGTACCTAACCAAAGACAAAGGTAGGATGTTATGAAAATATTGATTGCATTTCTAACTTTGCTGTTATTCATTTATATTTTTTTGAGGGGGATGTTGTGGTGGTATCAGGGGAAATGCATCCATGAGGAAATAGAAGTATTTACAAAATAAAGGCAGAAGACGGAAGATTAATTTGGGTCCTTCTGTTTATAGGCAAATTGAACACCTGCATTTGCCTCAGACTCCTCCAAGAATTCCATTAACACATCAGCAACAACAACTTTTAAGACACTAACCCATAAAAATAAAGATAATAGGAGTTCTCTAAGTTCCACAGCAAGCACTTTGGAAGTTAGAAAGCAGAAAAACAGTTAGTTGCTGACTTAGCAGTTAGAAAAGTCATGTCTAAATCACCTGTGAAAAAAAGATTTTACAATTTTACAAAAGTCTCAGGAATTGGCTAATCCAGTGTCTCCAAAAGTTGGAGTATAGAGAGGGCTGGAAGCTGAAGGAGTCTCCGAAAGGCTGTCTGAGAGGTATCAAAGCCCTCATTTCCACTACCCTGAAAGGCAGGGAAACCCCTCGTCAACCTCAAGATGAGACTGGAATTTTATTTTCTGAAGAGATAAAGACAGAGTTTCTGAATTGAAGGACATGAGTCAAAATAGATCACAAGGCTGCCACACAGAAAACAGGAAATAAAGGCAATTTTATGAGCTGCATATTGAGACTGCCCCAGCCCTCTTCACCTGCAGAGGACAGGTAGACAGATCTGTAGCTTTCAGGTACAGATTCAAGGATTCTGCTCTGGGAAATCTGATCAGCCCAAGAGAAGACACCTGATATGGTTTGGCTGTGTCCACCCACAAATCTCATCTTGAATTGTAGCTCCCATAATTCCTGAGTGTTGTGGGAGGGACCCAGTGGGATAGAGTTGAATCATGGGGGCAGTTCCCCTATACTGTTCTCATGGTAGTGACTAAGTCTCATGAGATCTGATGATTTTATAAGGGGAAACCCCTTCCGCTCATCTCTCATTCTCTCTTGTCTGCCGCCATGTAAGACATGCCTTTCACCTTCCGCCATGATCGTGAGGCCTCCCCAGCTACATGGAACTGTGAGTTCATTAAACTTCTTTTCTTTTATAAATTACCCAGTCTCGGGTATGTCTTTATCAGCAGCATGAAAATGGGCTAATACAACACCAAAAGCCACTGATATGAAGATAATTCCTCCAAAATGATCCAGTCATTCACTTTATCAGCAAACCCACAGTTGACAATTCCCATACACAGCAAAACTTCCAAAAATCTTTTAGTGTCCCGCTATTAAATATGAACAGCTACAAAAGTCCACCAGTTAACTTACGAAGGCCTCTGCCATAAGAACAAGAGACAAAACAAAACAAAAAGAAAAAAAAAAAGATAGAGGACACAGAGTCTATGCAGGAAGATGGTAATTGAAAACATACATTATTAACATCATCAAAGAGTTTACCAAACGTTTTTTCTTTGTGTAGGAAGAACAGAATTCTTTAGAAAGAGAAAATAAATGGAGAATAAGAGAGAAATTTGGGGAATTAAGTATATGATAGGAGAAATGGGTAGCCTATTAGCAGGACTGAAAGATAAAGTTGAAGGAATCTCTAAGACAGTGGGGCAAAAAAGATAAAGAACTGAAAATTAAGAGGGGAACATAATAACTATAGACAATCAGTTTAGGAAGTCTAGCATTCAAAGAGAAATCGAGTTCTGTGTGAAACAAGAAAATAGAAGAAAGGAAATAATAAAGAAATAACATGCAAAAATGTCCTAGGATTGAGGATCTCTGGTCTTCATTCAAAGTGAACACACCACTGCACTGCAGCCTGGGAAACAGAGTGAGACCCTGTCTCTGAAAGAAAAAACAGCAAAACAAAAGCAAATATATGGAAAGATTCATTCGGATAAAATAATGGTAGTAATTATAACAACTTAAAAATATGGAGTGCTTTTTCAGTTTTCACTTACAGTCACTGATATTAAAGTTTCAATTTCTCAAGTACTCCATGAATATTATCCACATTTTGCAAACAAGAAAACTGAGAGCCGTAGAAGTAGGGTCATCCTGGAGACATCCAGGTGAGAAACTAGTGGGAGGAAAAGGTTTCATTGAGGATCTTGTGTTTTCAAGAGTAGGAGACAAAAATTATCCTGTACCTGATGGGACCATCATGAAATTTCAGAACTCTGGGGTTAAATGTAAAATCCTGAATGTCTCCAGAGGTTAAAAAATAAAAAAGATGGTGATTAACTAAAGATAAAAAGCAGTATGGCTTCAGATTTCTCTAGAGCACACTGTAAGATAAAAGTCAAGAAGAAATTCCTTCAAATATCTCAGGAGAATTATGTCCAACTTAGAATTCTATATCCAACCCAACTACAATGTCATATCATATTTTATAAATTATATATGAAGCTAGACAAAAGACAGTTTCAGGCATGTAAGGTCTGAAAAACTTCTTTTCTATGACCTCTTTTTCAGGAGGCTACAAAAGAGTTATTTTATCAAAATAAGTGAGAAACATGGAATCCAGGGAACAGAGGATTCAATCATAGAGAGAATCCTCAGTGTGACGCCGCATTGAGATCTCAGGATAACAACACGAGGCCAAAGGGACCTGTTAGAAGGCTATGAAAGAGAGGCCTCTAAGACAATGACAGAAATAGATACCTGGTATGCATCAGTGTATGAAAAGGGTATTTAAACAATTGGGAGACAATTTGGGAGTGAATAAATGAGAATTGCTTTTAAACATAGCAAACAGAAAATACAATTCTTAATTTTAGAGCTTAAAAATTGTTCAAGAATGGAAAAGTAATCATAGTGTATTATATGGCTCAGCTATGAACAGAGTTTACATGGTCATAATTAAGTAAACATTGACTATGATGTAACTATATTGGGAAGATGGGGATACAGGAAGTGATAGTTTAAATCTTCATCTCCTGCTGTAGGACACTAATAGATACAGTCTAAAACAGAAAAGCAAAAGTTGCACTCTAAGCGACTTACAGAGAGAAATGATTGTAAGTACCAATAGAGTCAGCTGACAGGGCTAAAAGTGCTTTTGAACAGTGGAAGAGAGTCGGGGATTATATTCCATAATAAGCATTATGGAATGATCTGCTCTTTTGAAAGGTGTCACGTACATATTTGATAAATACATAAAGACCAAATGAAAAACGAAAGCAAAAAGGGACTCAGGTAGTATAAATAAAAGTCCATCTACCCCAGGGAGAATTGTCTGGGGCCAGGAAAGAGACCTGGGAAGGATCGCCTGTGAGAGAGGGAAGAGCTGGGGGTCTGAGAGCCCAGTGGGAAACAGTGGGAGCCAGGGAGCCTTCTGAAGCCCAGCACGCATGAAATCACCAGCAGAGTGACGCTGCCAGGCCCAGCACGTGGCAGGGTGGCAATTATTCTGAAGGTTTTCACCTTTTCTATGGAAGTTTGGACAACGATGAGAAAGCACTACTGATGATAAAAAGAAAGCCAACAGATTATAGCATTTACTTTGCAAAAGCACAGTTTTGAACATCTTTCCAGAGCTCTACAGTTGGGAAAGTTTAAAAATGAAAGCTTATAGACAAGTGAGTATAAGTGTGTGCATGCCGCCTTCAGCTACGTGGGTGCTTGTCCCCACACCTAGGCTGCTGTAGAAGGGACTAGGAGCAGGATGTCATCCTTCCTGGAGCACAGCAGGCCTGGTCCCAGGATCTCTGCTCCTGCTGTTTCCCTAATAGAAAGTATTTCAGACAGAGGGCCTAACATTACCCTTTATTTTCTAAGGTTAAACTGTCGTATTTGGAATCTTGCTGGAGCAGAGTGTATACCTAATCACACCTAACTCATGCTAGCAAATCCCTAAACATCCACCCAAGTACAAACCTAGAGCAGGAATGAAATAGTCACAGTCGAGGGCTGGGACTGGCTTGCACCAGCTCACAAGAGTGGACTGTTAAGTTTTCAGAAACTTTGTGACCCAGTTGTTATACACAGGCATTGGTAAAATTTAACAAGTTAATATTAACCAACAAGGAAAAGGTTATATAAAAAGATAATATTCAAAATTCATCACTTGCTAATCATTTGACCACATGTTTCCATATCCCACAATCTAGCGGTTACTCCTGTTATTTCTGTACGGTGGAAATACTATACAGCATGGGCTACTGTTCATTTCTTCCCTACTTGCAGTCTGCGATGACATATTTATGGTTTTGAATCCGTCATGGTCGTTGTATTTACACCATGGAAATTGGCAAATACCACAAATCAGGACCTGTTTTTCTCCAAAGACCTGGTTGTTAGACATTAGCGGCATACCACTGTGTATTGGTGACATCTTCTGACAAGTTGCACAAGGCGTGCAGACTTTTTCTCTGGACGTGTCTGTGGTTGGAGTAACCACAAAGAACAGAGAGATGTGTCCAGTCTCTCATGTTCAGAAGGAGTTATGGTAGTCTGAAAATACCCAAGAGAAAACTTCGGATAAATAAAACACTTTACCTAAATCTGTAAACCTTCCCTCTCCTGTCACTTGCCACCAATGGTTAGCTACTCGTGTATTAATATTTTCTTTATCTCTGGTGAATTTATGCACCATGTTTTACACTAGTTGGACCAAAGCCTACTGTGTGTTAGAGACTGGTTAATATCCTAAAAAGCTCTGGGAAGTGAATATACAGAAAAAAAAATGAGTTTCCTTTAGAATTTAACAATGTAGTTACTAAATGTTTTAAACTTACTGAATATCTCTTTGGTAAAAGAGCAAGTCCACAAACTTTGGGATCAGATGTGGATTCAAATCTCAGCACTGACATGGTTCCTCATTTAGCTTATTTGTTGAACTCAGGAAAGTCACATAGCTCTCCTGACCTTCTGTTTCATCTTTAAAATGAAGGTAATAGTGGCCACCTTGCACACCTGTGCTAAAGGGTAAATGAAATAAGCTATGTGAAAGAAATGAGGGCATATATGTCATAGAAATGATTGCAACATATTAGGTATGGGTATGAATAAACATTCCGCCTTCTTTCATTTTGTTTTTATTATCCATGCTTGTCAGAGAATTTTCAGGTAATTCACATCTATTATAAAATATCTTGGTAATCTGGGACAAATAATAAAATAAAAAAGTAACAGAGTTGGATTAAACCAAAGATTTTTCCAGTGCTAAAATTTATATGAATTTAAGTGCATCCTTGCATTTTATTTTCAGTATATTCTACCTTAGAGACAAAGAAGTGGATAGCTTGGGGAAGGAGGAGAAGAGAGTTTCACAAAACATGTAATGCAGTTTAAAATCTCATTGTTTCCTTGGTTTAGATTTTGTGAACAATTTGGCATGAGGAGAGAAAGGAACCTGAAGTTTTTAGCAAGGAAGGTAAGTTTCAGTGAGTTTGATTTTGGTGGGGGGCTTGGTGGGGTGCTTCACTTTCATTTTGACTTTTTCCAGATGAACTCCCAACTTAGAGAACATTTTAGAGGGCATAAATATGTGTGAACTGAAACTAGAAAGCAGTCTCAAGAACACAGTGAAAAATAATATTGAGGGTGTTTAATGAAAAAGCCATCTGGAAAAGAGTGGTGAGGTTTTCCACAGTAAAAAACAACTTATTATTATTGATTCTGAAACTACATATTTCAACCCTCCAAATCTTTACTTTGATTGTAAGGACTCTTTAGAATTCTTTCCAAATGCATCACACCTTTCTAAGAACTTGCGAAATCACCTACTCCAACAGCTTCTTTTTATGGATGAGAAAACTAAGGCTGATAATTGGAAGTGATTTAGGGTCCAGAGTTGAATCAGGATTACGGCCGGGGGCTTCTAGTTCTTAGTCCAGAGCTTTTTCCATTGAACCATACCTCTGTACCTCGGGTAGACCTGTATGCTTTACATTTCTTGGTGTTCACTTGCCTACTTTGTTCTGGATTGAAGGAGGAAGACAAGGAGGAAGAGAAAGAAGAAAAAAAAGGAAAAAAAAAGGCAGACTTCATATGTCCCTCCCAACTCTTTTTTTATCCACCTCTTAAAGGCCAAGGTTATTTACTCATATTTTAGTATTATGTTTAAGCAATAAAAAGGTGTTTTTATTAAAGGGTCAGGTAAATAGAATTTTTAAAATACCTAGGTCAGTAAATGAGATTTCAGTCATTGTACAGGTGTCTTTGACTTCTGCACTTTCTATAGTGATGGCTGCACCAGCACATTCAGAGGTGTTTGGCACATGTTCTAGCCTCTGGACGCTCCGCTTCTTTTGAATTGACTGAGGGATGTGCACGGGTGGGAGGAGTCCCTGATGTTGACACAGGTGTTGTCTTTCTGGATCAGTGTTTTTTTTTTTTTTAATCTAGAGTGTTTCTGAAAAGAAGAGGGATTTCATTCATTGTGTACCTGTAGACTGTGTGTCAATATCTGTTTATTAACTGCTTACTTTGGATTTAGAGTTAATCTTTGTATTTACATACATTAGCTTAGGGACCTGAATAACTAATTGAATATGTGACATCTTTTTCAGTCATTGAGTTGATGTTGATTCTTATTGGTTTCTTTGATCTAAATATGTTAAACATGTGGAACATGTAAAATGATACAAAAATTCAGGCATACCCTCAAGAGAGGTTTTAATTTCCTTAGTAAAATCTAATCATTCATTTATTTATTCATCCAATCAGTGACATTAACTGAGAGTCTACTACATGCCAGGCTCTGTGCTAGCTGTTATAGGATGCTAGAGAGGAATAAAACATTCTTCATTCACTTCCAATAAATCTCAGACCAATAGGAATGACAAGGCAGATGTACAAAGAGCTTTAAAAAAGGCAGGAAATGATAACAGCTCTGAAAGAGGAACCGATTTTGCACAACTGGATCAGAGGAGAGAAAGAGCACTTCCTCTCTGGAGGCAAGACATAAGCACACGACAAAGTTTATGTTGGACACATTGTATTAAGTGCCAAAGGAGTGTAACAAGAATAACAATAACAAAAACAAATGGCTAATTTTAGCACTGTTTCATTGAATTGGCAGTAGGGGAAAAGGCCATTACACTTGGGACTGAAAGAAGAAATACTTGTTGTCTGTATTTAGACTTCTCTATCAGAAAGTCTAGCCCTTTGCTAGGGGAGTTGTTGGTTTTCTATTGCCCAAATCTTCCCCAAAGAAGCACAGGAGGGCCTGCATGACAATACTCCAACAGTGATATTTTTTCTAATTTACATCTTGTGTAAATATTTTCTGATGCTTCTTACCAAAAGAGTTTCAGATAAATGGTTTAAATGTTGTGGCAGACAGATCTTAGTAGGGTGGCCCTATGGTCTTGCCATTTAATCTTTTCCTGTGATCAGGCTATTTTATATGGTAACAGTGATGGGATATTACAACACACAAATACACACACAAACATACACACACACACCCCATCTTTATAGCACACATAAGACTTCTCTCCCTTGGAGGCTTGAGGAAGGAATCTGCCATATTGCAAGAGAGTTTATGGGAGGGCAATGCAACAAGGAACCATAAGACACCTGTAGAGTTGAGAGCTGCCTTAGCCAACAGCCAACAAGAAATTGGGAATGTCAGTTCTGCAAATGCAAAGAGATGAATTCTTTCAACAATCTGAGGGAAATCTGAGGGAAGTTAGAAGCAGTTCTTCCCCCATCCAACCTCTGATGGAAGTGTAGCCCAGACCGCACCTTGATTGCTGCCTTGTGAGATGCTAAGCAGAGGAAATAGCTAAGCTATGCCAAGACTCTTAACCCACAGAAAAAGTAAGATAATAAATGTGCTGTTTTAATCCACCATTTTGTGGCGATTCATTATGTAGCATAGAAAATGAATACAAATGTGAGAGCCAGATACATGAGGAGTATTTCTGTGAAGTTAATAAAAACACTTGATCCCTTCTTACCTGTAAAATAGTATATGGCTATTATACAAATATGACTCATTTGAAAGAACCCCAGTAGAGACAACTGAGAAACCAATTGATCATTCATGATTCATTATAATTCTAAAAAACTGAAGAGAAAGGAATACTTTCAAAATCATTTTAAGAGGTCAACATTAACAATAATAATTAATTAATATTGTTAAAACACCCACACTATCCAAATTATTCTATAGACTCAATGCCATCTCTATCAAATTTCCAAGTTCATTCTTCATAGAAATACAAAAAAAGATCCAAAATTTGTATCAAACCACAAAAGATTCTGAACGGCCAAAATAACCTTGAGAAAGAGCAAAGATGGAGGCATCACACTGCCTGATTTTAAAGTATACTACAAAGCCATACTAATAAAAACAGTATGGCTGGCATAAAAAACAGGCAGACACACCAATAGAACAGAATAGAGAGCCCAGAAATAAACCCACACACATACGATCAATAATTTTTGACAAGGCGCCAAGAATCCACAATGAGGAAATGATAGTCTCTTTAATAAATATGTTGCCAAAACTACCTGAAATTATAAAACTCTTAGACAAAACATTTTGGGAAAAGACTCTTTGACATTGGTTTTGCCAATGACTTTTTGGAAATGATACCAAAAACACAAGCAACAAAAGCAACAATAAACAAATGGGACTAAATAAAACTAAATACTGCTGCATGACAAATGAAACAATCAACAAAATTAAAAGACAACTCTATGGAATGGGAGAAAATATTTGCAAGCTATAGATCCGATATGGGGTTAGTATCCAAAATATACAAGGAACACATACAACTCCATAGCAAAGGCCCAAACAATCCAATGAAAAAGTGGTCAAAAACCTGAATAGATATTTCTCCAAAGAAAATGTACAAGTAGCCAACAGATACATGGAAAGGTGATCAACATCACTAATCGTCAGGCAAATGCATGTCAAAACCATAGCGAGATACCATCTCCTACCTCCTAAGATGCTATTATTGAAAAGACAGAAGATAATAAGCATTGGCAAGGATATGGAGAAAAGGAACTGCTTGTACTCTGTTGATGGGAATGCAAATTGGTACAGATACTAATTAAAACAGTATGAAGACTCCACAAAAATTAAATTTCCATATGACCCATCAATCCCACTTTTGGGTCTATATCCAAAGGAAGCACAAGAATCAGTAGCTAGAAGAGATATCTGTACTTCCATGTTTATTGCAGCGTTATTCAAAATAACCTAGACATGGCAACAACTGACATGTTCATGAATGAATGAATGGATAAAGAAATTGTGGTATACATATACAATAGAATATTATGCAGCCTTATAAAAGGAAGGAAATCCTGCCATCTGCAACAACTTAGATAAACCTTGAGGACTTTATACTAAAGTAACATAAGCCAGTTACAAAAGGACAAATAATGTATGATTATACTTGCATGAGGTATCAAAAATAATCAAACACAGAAGTGAAGAATGCAATCATGGTTTCCAGGGGCTGAGTAGTGGTAGAAATGGAGAGATGTTGATCAAAGGGTACAAACGTTCAGTCACATGATGAACAAGGTCTGGGGATCTAATAGCCAGTATGGATGGTGATGGATGTGTCATTGATTATGGTAATCAATACATTATATATACCTACATCAGATCATCACATTGTATGCCTGTATGTATACCATCTTTATTCTTGGATTAAACATTAAATGAAAAAGAAAGAATTCTGACTCAGTTCTGTCTGACAGAAGCCAGCATGCTTCCCACGGAACCTTGTGCATTGTCTCCCTGAATTGTTATTAGTTGGTTATTTTAGAATAGCAACCTAAAAATAATCTAGTCAAATCTTTTTTTTTTTTTTTTTTTTTTTTTTTTTTTGAGATGGAGTCTCGTTCTGTGGCTCAGGCTGGAGTGCAGTGGCCTGATCTCGGCTCATTGCAACCTCTGCCTCCTGGGTTCAAGTGATTCTCCCAGCTCAGCCTCCTGAGTAGCTGGGATTACAGGTGTGCACCACCATGCCTGGCTAAATTTTCTTGTATTTTATTAGAGATGGGGTTTTGCCATGTTGGCCAGGCTGGTCTTGAACTCCAGACCTCAAGTAATCCACCGCCTCAGCCTCCCAAAGTGCTGGGTTTACAGGCGTGAGCCACCGTGCCTGGCCTTAAGTCTTAAAGAGCATATAAAAATGAAATGAAGCCTTGACTTAGTGATGGCAGCTCTTTCTAACTGAGGGGAATACAGACCCGAAATGTGGGAGCCTGAGGGAGAAGATGTTACAATCCTGCAACAGTTATTTTCTTGCAGTGTGAACATTCAAATATACTTAAATAAACTCAAATTATTTTTACAAATAAATATGATACATATTTTTAAAGTAGGAAATCATCTCAGAGAGATTATCTCTTGCATTAAAATATCTTGATAAGGAAGGAGGACAAGGCTTATTTTCTTTTTAAAAACACAACAAATGGTGTTGCTCAGAAGAAACTTTAAGAATTTTTTAGTTTGCTTTAAATGCCAACTGTGCATATGTCTAACAATAACACATCGAAACACCTGCACAGGTGCCATGTCCTGCCTGGAGACCTCCCTCTCCTTGAGTGCCCACAGATAACAGCCTGAAGCCGCCAGAGAGACTCAGGAGCCTTGACTTCCTCATTTGATTAAGGAAAGGCACAACTGTAAAACCAGACTAATCCCACCTGCCAAACAAATTACTTGCCAGCCTTCCTTTTCCTGAAATTGGAAGCAAACACATTGTTAATCCTGTAAACAGGTACCCTGTTGCTGAAAGGTGACCACTGGCTTCTGTCAGCACATGGATTCAGGTCCATTGAACTGGAAAGTGCACTAGCAAACACTCCTGGCAGAGAGTTTTGAAGAGAACAGAGAGGGTGTGATAGTGATATATTAACTGCATGTCTTCATTTAAAATGGTAAATATATTTGTCAAGTTTTGGAAGAACGGTAGGTATATTTTCACTTGCCTGTCCCAAATATGTCATTAGCAGAATCAGTTAATGTGTCCAAATGCCTTAATATATGGAAATGCAGCCTATTCATTTATTATGCACATATCATTATCTCCAAAAATGGTAATCTCACAATTACTTTTAATTTCCATCCTTGTAGCCTCTGGGTTCTTTGGCAAAGGGAAATGATTGCTATTAAATTGCCCTTGCATTTCTCAAAACTTGACTACACTGACAGCTTTTGCAATGTATATAGGTCATAGGTCAAAAGTTGTATATCCTTTTGGATGCTGTAGGAATTTTGACCTTTCTCATACCTCTGTCCGTATCATATCCTTTCTGTCACATACCATTTCTTTGAAGAGGGTTATTAATCTGGTTTTAGAAGTCACGATCTAAAAAACATAAAAGACATACACATAGAAGAGCTGCAGAGTCAATTCTAATGGAATTTGAATGTCCTTGAATGTCTATAAGGTGTCAGGGAGGAATGGGGCAGTAGACAGGTCAGAGGATCTAAAGGGCCGGTGAAAAGAGTGTGGATTCACGCACGTGTGTGTGTGAATGTGTGCATGAACACGTGCAGATTTGTGCAGAATGAGGTCATGTGTGACTTGAATCTAGATAATTTGGGCTTTCTCATTTGTAGGGAGTAGATTTGGGGTCTCTGTTACCATAACGGTGTCAGAAGGGGTCAATGTGTCTTTTGTGAGATATACTATTATAGGTGTGTGCAAATTCAAATCCCACATCCTGGCTAGAATAGGAGCCCCCAAAGAAGGGAACCCCGCTTAGCTTTGGATGGTGGCCTCAGTTTATGTGGCACGGTGTAATTGTTTTCTTAGTGAGTAAACATCTTAATCCAAAAAGATGCAGAACTAAGTCTAGAGATGGTAAAGAAAATTCTAGTAGTATTAATATTATAGTGATAAGTATAGGAATATTCTTTGTGTAGTTGATATTTGAACTTGTAAAAGTTTTGTTAGTTTGTTGAAGTAGATCTGACATATGGAACTGAAAATGTTCAAGTGATGTTAGATTTGTAGCTGTATTTCTTAAAAATAATGTTTCTTGTGAAAGAGTCTCAAACTTACTGAAAACTTGCCAGTACAGTACAATTTCTTTTTCTCCTGAGTCATTTAAGAGTAAGTAGCTAACCTAATGTCCCATCATACCTGGACACTTCAGTGTGAATTTTCTAGAAACAAGAGAATTTTCTCCAAAATCATAATACAGCTATCAAAATGAAGAAGTCAACATTCTCACACAGCTAGTCCTCAGACCCTATTTGCATTTTATTAACCATCTCAACAGTGTCCAAAGGAACTGGTTCAGAATCATGTGCTAAGTTTAGTTGCCATGCATAGCTAGTCTCTTTCTTCCTGAGTCATTTTTTCCAGTTTCTCAGTCTTTCTTTGATTTGTGTTATTAATGCTTGAAGATTACAGGCCACATTGTAGAAACTCACCCAATGTTGGCTAATCTGCCATTTCCTTAAGGTTAGATTCAGGTCACACATTTTTGACAGGCAAACATTTGTCTCATTGCATCCTATAAAGTTTCAAAGTTCCCCTTTACTAATGATGTATGGTTTGATTAATAAATACTTTATAGAGTAATATTTTTAGAATATATTGTATCTCTCATCAAGTTTTCAAACTATTGATTTATTGATGTATATCAGTTTGGAATTATGGTTTCCTGTTTAATTCAGTAGATTATCATCTGTTACGATCTTTATTTTGCTGCTTAAATTATTCCAGATATTGCTAGTGGAAAGCCTTCAAGCTGGCTTCTGGGTCCATTGACAAGTCTTCATCATTCTTGGAGCAGGTCCTTATATTTTGGCATGAGATGGTCCAGACCCATCTTATGCTTTTTTGTACCCAGCGTGGAACTAGCCACTTCCCCCAGTGGAATGTGGTACTTAGAAAACAAGATCTGAATTGCAATTGTGGTGTGCTAATCCCAGAACTTCCCAGACGACAGGGAAAGGAAATCCATTATGTGTATTCATGTATATACAAATATACACAGGCAAACTCAACCACAAACATGCACACCTAGAGTGATTTCTGTATACACACATATCTAACAGGCTGAAAAACACCAGGTCCTTTGATTGATATCTTTGGTTCCAACCCACCACAAAAGGGTTCATTTAGTTTCCTCTCTTTTCTGTGTTTGTAACCCTTATTGTTAAAGTGAGAAACCTGGCGTCCATCATCCTGAGGCTATTTGCTTGTTTCATCGAACACCCTGTAGGAGCCAACCACCCACCATGGCCTCAGCCTCTGTGCACACCCTCCTCAGCCTGCTTGGGCTCTGATACCTGTGAGGTCACTGTCATGGCTAATTTTATGAGTTACCTTGGCTAGGCTAAGGGATATCCAGATAGCTGGTAAAACATTGTTCCTGGGGGTGTCTTGGAGGGAGTTTCTGGAAGAGATCTGCATTCGAATCAGTGGACTGAATAAGGAAGGTCCACCTTCACCAAAGTGGGCAGGTATCATCACATCTCTGGAGGGGCCCCATAGAACAAAAAGGTGGCAGAAGGGTGAGTCCCCCCTCTCTGAGCTGGGACATCTGCCTTCTCTTGCCCTCAGACATTGGAGCTCCTGGTTGCTGGGCCTTTGTACTTAAACCCTGACTCACATCATGGGCTTCCCTGGTTCTCAGGCTTTCGGGATTGGACTGAAACTCCACCAATGGCCTTCCTGAGACTCCAGCTTGTGGGAGGCAGATCTTGGGACTTCTCAGCCTCCGTAATCATGTGGGTCAATTCCTCATGAGAAATCTCTTTCTATTTATCTCTATATATCCTCTATTTCTTTGAAGAAATGTGACTAATACAATTACCTCTCCACAGAGACCCCTCTGCATTCTTTCTGGCTCCAACACTACAGACCACACTGCCTTGCTCCCATGTGGGTGTCCTTCTCACCGCCACCCGCATCCCTGAGCCCCCATGCCAGACCACCTTTGCACAGAGTCACTGTCCTAACCCTCCCACAGGGGTCTCACATCCTGTACTAGGACCCCTCCTGCACCCCCTCACCACACACAGATACCCTCATCACCAGCTTGGCTTCACACGCTGCCCTGAAGCCCCTGTCCCACCTTGTCCCAGGGCAGACCCCTGCCTCATTTGTGCCACCAAATGACTTTAGTACTGAATTGTTTAGGAAGGGAAGGAAAGAGAAGAGGGATTGTGTGATTCTAAAATTGAAAAAGACATGAAAATTTTACCAAGTTTGCATTAAGTGTTAGAATTATTAGTTTTTATCAGAATTATTGAAATAACTAAATTTTCACAATTGAAATCCTATAAAAATAAATGATATTAAAATTATAAATACATTTGAAAATGTTTAAGAAAATATAATTAGAATAGGACTAAACATTAATCAAAGTCTCCCTTGAAAGTGATGTAATATATAGATTTATAAAACTGATAACAAGATGTTCAAGTTGAAATTAATAGCTTTAGAAAGACCAGCTTTTTTTTTTAACTTTATCAATGAACAGACTTACTTATGTAAAATTCTGAAGTGACAATAATACATTCCCGTTGTGAAATCCATCCTCAGGGACATGAAGGAGGGCCAGGGAGAGTGAGGGGTCGTCTTCCTGACCTGCTGTATTTGTTCATTCTCACACTGCTATAAAGAACTACCTGAGACTGGGAAATTTATAAACAAAAGAGGTTTAGTTGACTCACAGTTCCACAGGCTTAACAGGAAGCATGACTGGGAGGCCTCAGGAAACTTATAATCACAGCAGAAGGTGAAGGGCAAGCAAGCATGTCTTACCATGGCAGAGTAGGAGGAAGAGAGCGAAGGAGGAGGTGCTACACACTTTCCAACAAGCAGATCTCATGAGCGCTCTATCAAGAGAACAGCAAGGGAAAAGTCCGCTCCCATGATTCAATCACTTCCCACCAGGACCCTCCTTCAACACATGGGGACTACAATTTGACAGGAGATTTGGGTGGGGACACAGAGCCAAGCCATATTACCTGCCTCTCCCTGTCAGGTGAGCCTTGGGATGCCAGATCCATCTTCACAGTTGGTTAGGGTCTCAGCCTTGGAGCTGCTGAGTATTCATAGGCACTGGGCTCTGGAGGGTGGTCACTAATGTGCCACCTGCCTGCATTTTCTTTTCCCTCCCACATTGGTGACGACGGATCTTCTTTACTCAGTCCACTGATTCAAATGCTGATCTCTTTCAGAAACTCCCTCCCAGACACACCCAGGAACAATGTTTTACCAGCTACCTGGGTATCCCTTAGCCTAGTCAAGGTGACTCATAAAACTAGCTATCACTGTGACCTCACAGGTATCAAAGCCCAAGCAGGCTGAGGAGGGCGTGCACAGAGGATGAGGCCATAGTGGGTGGCTGGCTACTACAGGGAGGTTGATGAAACAAGCAAACAGCCTCAGGATGATAGACGCCAGGTTTCTCATGTAACAGTAAGGGTTACTAATACAGAAAGGGAGGAAACGAAAATGAACCTTTTTGTGTTGGGTTGAAACCAGAGATATATGTGTGAACTGATGTTTTCCAACCTCTTAGATAAGCATGTACCTAGAAATAACTCTAGGTGTGCATGCTTGTGGTTGAGTTTGTGTGTTCTTTTGTGTGTGTGTGTGTGTCTTTACATGTGTGTGTGTGTATATATATATACACACACACATATATATATACACATATATATACACAAGTTTTTTGGACACTGTTGTGTGGAGGTTGGTCAAGACCACAGTGGTTAAGAACCAACATTTCACCATGGCTGGGAGGTCCTGCCACCTCTTGTTCTGTGGCACTTTCTTTAGCTCAAAATCTAGGTTAAAAATCATTATCTTTTTGACATCTTCTCTAACAATCATGAGCAGAATGCTTTTTCTCAGCTTTAACTCCTCTTGGGCTGGGCTTGATTTTATTATAAAGTTTAACATACTTTATTACCAATTTACTGATTATGTCATTGCCTTTGGATGAATGGTTCCCAAGGGAAGACTCTGAGCCTCACTTATTCGTATATTTTCTCAGTGCCTAGAATAGGGTAGGATGTGCAGAAGTAGTTTACTGAAAGAAGAGATGGATGAAGGAAGAAAGGAAAGTTTTAATGCATTGAGAGAAGAGTATAGCTTAATGTCTTTGACCCAGAGTCAGTTTTGAAATTACTCTGCACTTTACAAAAAGGAATTCTCTACTTTCAGAAGTTACAGGAATAGAGGTTCAAGGCTGTGTGTTCATGGATTTATGCACTGGAGGGATGTCCTCACAGGCCCTGGGCTTCAGCCAGAGCATTGCAATGAGACTCCAGAGGCAACATTTGGCTGACCACTTTGAGCACCAAAACGCTAGAAAATAGATGTATTTGTATGTGTGTAAATCAGGCTGCAGCTGTGTGCATATGTGTGTGTGTGTTGTGCACATGCCTCTTTAAGTGAGGCCATGTGGGAGTCCAGGGGCTGCTGTTAGCGTCCAGCTTGACAGGCTCCAGAGGAAGCTCTGGAA
Source organism: Homo sapiens (assembly GCF_000001405.40). Classification (NCBI taxonomy): domain Eukaryota; kingdom Metazoa; phylum Chordata; class Mammalia; order Primates; family Hominidae; genus Homo; species Homo sapiens. The sequence goes on along the minus strand of NC_000002.12, from coordinate 8,049,305 downwards.
TGCGTGGTTCTGGGGCTCCGTTTTTCTATTGTGTGGGATTCTTGTGGGGACTCTGGTGCTCCAGCTGCATATGGGAATTTGTTGTCCAGGTGCCCCATCCAGGTTTGCAGCATAGCACAGCCTCAGTCTGGAAATTTCACACACAAAGGTGACTCAGCAGCCACTCCTTCCTATTGTGCTTATGGCGTGGGGCCTTGAGCAGGGACCCTGTCCCTGTGGCTCTACAACACCAAACGAGTGAGCAGAGGCACTGCTCTCCTTCCATGCAGCTCAACACGTCTTTGTGTTGGAATCTATCTTCCAAGTGGAGAGGCAGGTTCTGGCTGAGGGGACATGGAGGTGCTCTTGGCATTCGGCCCTCCCCAGCCTGGGGTTCCTCCATCTTCCTCTGCCTCAGGGGTGTCCAGGGTGTCAGTGGCATCTGCTTGGACCTCACAGCTCTCCTGGGCCTTAGATGCTCCCACTCAGAGTGGACTCCAGCAGGGTAGGTTTGCACTCAGAGCATACGTGCAGTCCACCGCTGGTTCCACCTGCACTGTGACGGGAAGTAGGGGATGGAGAACAGGAAGTAGATCTGATCAACTGGTGTCCAATCAAACCGAGCTTCTTGTCCTCACCAACCATCCCCAGGTAACGGTTTCTCTCCCACTCCAACTAGATTAAAGTCCTCAGCCATCTGCAGACCTGCCCTGAAAGTTGTGAAGTTATACTGTTCTTCTCCCTTCAAACATCCTCAAAATAATCATTTGAGCTTAAAATCACCTAAACAAATTACTGTACAACTATAAATATATATTTTGGGGGGGAGGGGGAGGTAGAGATAAAAGTAAAAAAGGCTTATAGTGTGAGATTGAGCTTGTCTATACTTTAATGACTAATGACATTGGGTGGGGTGTGTTTTCAGAGGCCAAAATTAGACTTTTTTGTTTATGTTGCAAAGCACGATTACTGTTATTGGCTTTAGTTTTCTGCAAGTTTTTAAATTCTCATTTCTCTAATCTTTGAAATTCTAGGTTATCTAGGTTAGTTGGAAATTCATATTGAGGCAGTCAAAAAAATGAACTCTGCCATTTGACAAATGCCAGACAAACATTCCACATGCTGTAGCTGAAATAAATGTGAGCCACAGATAGTTATATTCCCTTACAAATTAATTTTATTCTTTGGAATCTCCTTCCTGTCTGGTCATGGCCTGATCTTGATTATTTATGCTTCATCAAGGCTTAATTTACCCCATCTTTTCATATGATCCAGAGATTCCATTGGATCAAGGAGTTTTGGGCAGGGTAAATATCACCCCTAACTTGGGTTTTCATTTTCAGTTGGTGATCATTTAGAGTGTTGAATTGCAGGGGTCTGCTGGTGAGGTGTGTGTGTGTGTGTGTGTGTGTGTGTGTGTGTGTGTGTGTGTGTATTAGTCAGGGTTCTCTAGGGGGTCAGGACTAATCAAATGGATCTATATATGAAAGGGAGTTTATTAAGGAGAATTGACTCACGATCACAAGGTGAAGTCCCACAAGAGGCTGTCTACAAGCTGAGGAGCAAGGAAGCCAGTTCAAGTTCCAAAACCTCAAAAGTAGGGAAGCCAACAGTGTAGCCTTCAGTCTGGCTGAAGGCCCAAGAGCCCCTGGCAAATCACTGTTTTAGGTCCAAGAGTCCAAAAGCTGAAGAAGTTGGAGTCTGATGTTCAAGGGCAGGAAGCATCCAGCACAGGAGAAAGATGGAGGCCAGAAGACTCAGCCAGTCTAGTCCTTCCATGTCCCTCTGCCTGCTTTATTCTAGCCACACTGGCAGCTGATTAGCTGGTGCCCACCCAGACTGAGGGGTGGGTGGTCTGCCTCTCCCAGTCCACTGACTCAAATGTTAATCTCCTTTGGCAGCACCCTCACAGACACACTTAGGAACAGTACTTTGCATTCTTCAATTCAATCAAGTTGACACTCCATATTAACCATCACAATATATATGTGTGTGTGTTGCTTGTGTGAAACATTACATATAAAAAACTGGCCTCATACATTTTACTTATGACCTATAAATGGGGTCTATCACTATTACCTCATTTTTTGCTGCTAACTTGCATCAACATAGAAAGAGACTTGGTACTCGGTAGTGGCCTAATCTTGGGGAGATGGGGAGAAACTCTTTAAGGAAATATATATGACTAAGAAGCAGGAACTTACAGCTCAGGACTCACCCTCGCCTCCTTCGGAAGTGCAGGAGCCTCCTCACCATCTCCTGGTTCCCCACAGAGAACACACTTGGCGGGAGTTTGTTGAGTGGACACATGCATGGAGAGTGAATGAATGTGTGCTGTGCCTGGGGCTCACAGAAGTCAGGACTTAACGATTCTCTTCTATAACATCATTGGGACTTACTTTTTACAAGTTGGATTTCTTGAATGCAGTAACTTAAACAGGGTTCAGGGGATTGGCAGATTTAGGAAGATTATCTAGTCACTTTCATGAAGGTGGAGCTGGGTGTAGGAGATAGCTACAATTCCCTTGGATCTGTTATGTGCCAGCCACTTCATATGTATCCTTCACATCATTTAGATTCTGCACTGTCCAATAGCATAGCTACTAGCCACATTTGGCTATTTAAGTTTAATTCAAATTAAATGCAATTAGAATTCAGTTCCTCAGTCCCAGTCGCCACATTTTCAGTGCTAATAGCCACATGTGGCCAGGGGCTCCTATTTTGGACAGCACAGATATGCCCATTTCCCTTATCATGGAAAGTTCTGTTAGAACTGGCTTAGAAGTACATCCTGGTTTTATACCCAGTTTATCAATAATCCCATTAGTAATTAAGGAAACTGACCTGTGGTTATACAGTAAATAGAGTTAATAAACTCCTGCTTGTCTTGGATTCACTTGAACATCAGTTTTTCTGGAGATTAGGCTATAAGTGAAATCAAAGGGGTTAACTGAAAACCAAGAGATAGATTGACAGGCATGCCTCGTATGCGGGGTTCCTTTGTATGGCATTGAAAAGTTCCATGAGGCGCTGGGATTTCAGCTCCTGCAACATTTCACCAAGGTTCCTGTGGGTGGCTTTGACTAAAAAGATGACACCCCAGGGCTTTATAAACCCCAACCTGCAGCATCTTAGGAATGTCCTGGCTCTTCTGGTCCAGGTTCCCCAACTGAGCATTGCATGCTTTGTGTCCATTCCAAGGCAAATCAGGAAATCCTGTAATACCAACTGGACAGAACCTCAGGGGTCAGCTGAACAATACATTTATGTCATAGACGAGGAAGCTGGCAGTGGAAGGGACTCACCTACAGCCACACAGCAAGACACCCAAAGAGGTGAGGCTTGAAGCCACATCGATTCCTTCCCAACCCATTGTTACTTTTGCAATGCCATGCCAATTGACGTAAAGATATCAAATCTAATTTGTGATGTAGCATTATTGATTCATTCAGATGGGTTTCTATTAAGTATCTACCAATGTGCCAGGCACTGTGATATGTGAGCAACTTCAGATATAGTCCCTGCCCTGACAGAACTTTAGTAAGGAAGAGTACGCCTAATTAAATAACAAGCAATGAATGGAGAATTGCCAAATGAAAGCATTGTGAAAGAGAAGAACAGAGCTTTTCAAGTGCTACTAACTAGGTACTCAACAGAGGCATTGTCCCCTAGGAAACTTTTAGAGCTGAGATGTGAAGGGTGGGTGGGATTTATGCAGGTGAAGAGGAGGAATAAGAGGCATTTCTGTCTGAAGAATGAGCATGAGCAGTGCCCCATGGGAGAGGTCACACGGTCCTGGGTACTGAGAGTGACAGCATGCTTGGAGTTGGGGAGAGCCAGGGTGGTCTCTTGCAAGATGAGGCTGGGCAGTTGGGGGCCCAGGCCATGTAGAGCCTATAGACATGTTGGCTTCATTGTAAGAGCAGTGAGCCGGCATGGCAAGATGTGGACTTCTGGTGGCTGACTCGGGTGGCCTGTTTCGAGGAGGAGAAGGGGTCTGTGTGGACATGCTGGAGGATCATTGCTGAGGTCCACAACACAGATGCTGGTGGCTGGACCTGGGGTGCGGGATGGAGAGGGCAGAGGTGGGTGGTTTTTAAAGATATTTATGAGATTGCATTGGTAGGATTCTATGAGATGTTGAGTATGAAAGTTGAGGAAAAGGAGGGTATGGAAGATCACTTCTAGGTTTCTGACTTATGTCAAAGGATGACTGGTGGCGCTTAGATGACATGAGAAACATTGGGAGTGGACCAGGTTTGCAGGGAAAGGATTTATGAAGCTGCTATCTGATGTGATGGATTTGAGATACTTTTAAAACATCCCACTAAATGTCTTCAGGAGGAAACTGGCTTTGTGAATTCAGAGGAGAGACCCAAGTTGGAGCTTTGGTGCGACGAGCATTTGATGATACCTGGGAAAGAAAGGCAAAGGTCTGGACAAAATGATCCAGGGAGAGCATAGAAACTAAAAAGATGCTAGAAAACGAACACTCCAGTCCAAGCGCCATGGCCATATCAGGGAGAGTGGGCCTGTAGAGTTGGGAGGGAAGGCCGGCTTCATCCTGAAAGCCATGGGGATGGGTTATTTTAAGAAGGAGGGAGCGAGCAGTTTTAAATGCTGCTGAGAGCTCAAAATAGAAGAGGATTGAAATATGTCCACTGGATTTAGCAACACGGAGGTAATTGATGGCCTTTGTAAAAGTTGATTTGGTATGAAGATGGGGCAGATGCCAGATTGAAGTGAGCCTCAGGGTGTGGAGCTCAGAGAGCATGTCAACCATCCGCTCCCTCGCCTTTCAGGTGGGGACACCCAGGTCCAGGTGGAGAGAAAGTAGTGCTCAAAGTGTGTGGAAACACCCAGGGAGCTGCTCCTCCATGGGGCAGGACCCACAGATGTGGGCGTCAACCTGCCTGCAGGCCCCTGGAGCTCCAGATTCTCACTGGGGGTGTGGGGTGGGAGGGATCTGAGGGGACCTCAGAATGATGCTCTTTTCTGGGCATCTTCAGCATGCATGGGGCGTCCCATTGGCTGAGTGGAGGAGCTTTGGGAAACAGAGCTGGCCTGAGGCTCTCAGCACAGAGAGGAAGGGAGAAGGAGGAAGGGGAGTAGAGCTCAGTCTGAGGGGTGCTGAGAGCTCTCCCTCTTCTGCTTCCCCTGCCCAGCACATGCCTCTGAGGTGAGTGGGGTGTGAGGATTCTGTGGGCCTGATTTCAGCTGCAGCAAGGACAGAGAGCCAGGTGGATTTCTCCATCCCAATTGTCATGGGATGAAGAAATCTAAGATGACAAAAGTGTAGGGCCAGAGTTGCCAGCAGGGGTGGAAGTATGGGGCTGAGCCATGGAAAAGGGCAGGGTCCCAGGAAGATCCCCTGAGCCTCAGGAGGGACTCCTGTGTGTCTTAGTCCTTTTTGGCTGTTATAAAAATGCCATGGACTGGGGAACTTATAAACAACGCTGTAGATTGGGCAACTTATAAACAATAGAAATTTATTTCTCACAGTCCTGGAGGCCAGGAAATTTCAGACCAAGGCACTGGTGGTGTCTTCTGAGGATCCACTTTGTGGTTCATGGATAGCACCTTCTCACTGCATCCCTGCAGTGATAGTGGCAAATGTGCTCCCTTGGGCCTATTTTATAAGGGCATAAATCCCATTTGTGGGGTTCCACCTTCAGGATTTGATGCCCCCAAAGTCCTCACCTCTTAATGCCATCACTCTTGGAGTTAGGATTTCAACATGCATTTTGGGGACACGCCAACATCAGACCATAGTACTATGCGACCCAGTAAAGAAAAACAGTGGTGGAGCTGAGGCCCAGCCCCTATCCCAGGGCATGGCTCTGCCTCACCTGTGTCCTGGCAGCACCGAGCCTAGGGTAACACAGGTGTCCAGCCACAGGCTCAGGGGCTGATGGGATGGGGGCCAACAGTATATCTAGTCACATGGAGGGATCCAACTTCCAGTCAGCCTATAGAGCAGATGCACCTTTTCACTAAACCCGCTAACTGTAACTTAATTCATATAACTTTGTTACATGTCTCCCATCAATAACATCATGAATCATTCTCAGATCCTGATTTTCAATCCAATAAATATATGGTTTATTGGATAAATCTAGGAGCCTGTGTTTCCCTGCAAGAAGGCATTAACTTGAAGAACTCACTTAGGTGCCCAGGCTTCCCCAGGGCTCTCTGCCTGGGCAACCTGCTGCCTGCCTCTTCAGGCCCTGCTGCTGGAGTCCCGTGCTCATTGTCGCCCCCCGCCCCATGGCCCCTCTGTCCCTGCAGGCTTACGTTCTGCGCTTTTCCTGATGGTGTCATGCATTCCTGCTCTGAGAGATGATCTGGGTTTTTCCTGGCACATTGTAAGAAACCAGGGGCTGTGCTATGCTTTCCACCCCATTCCCAGCCTCTCTCTTCCCCTGAAGTCCTCCAGGCATATCAGGGACCAGTGGCATGCCCCCACTCATGCCAGTGGTGGGGGCAGGAAGGTGTTTTCTCTGTTATCCTGGGTCAGCCTCAATTTTGGGCAGGTCCTGTGTCCTGTGTCCCTAGTCTCAGGGATGGGACCTCTCAGCAATCATCCCCTCCCCAGAAGTAGGGCAAGTCTAATTCTCTAAGATCTGGGTTTTCTCTTGTACCTCCTTGCAGTAAGAGCAGGTTTGTTTTTGTTTGTTTTCTGTTCCTTTCTCTACCTGCAGTGACTTTTCACCTGGCCAATCAGGTTTGTGTCTTTCTGCCAGTGGCTTCAGCCTTTTATTCCATGAAGGAGGTAGGGGAGAAAGATCTGGGTGGGGCTTTGTACCTCTTCTGCTGCTGCTTCCCTCTCAGGAGCTGCCAAGGTGGCTTCCTCAGCTGCTCGCTCTTCCCCCAGCTTTCTTGTGAGTACCTGGAGAGGTTCATGGAGAAGCAAGTGGGACTTGAGCTCTGAGCTTGTGGTCACCAGGATTCTAGCCTCATGTTAGCCCCCACTTAGTTCTCAATGATCACTGAATTCCTCTTATTGGCCTGTCTGGCATTGGTCTCCAGGAAGCAAGTACATCCACTCTCACTTCTAGTTGCCTGGCTGTCCTTATATTTTTGATTAATTGATTGTACTGAGACCTCAGGTCTCTAATGGGTTCTAGGAGTGTTGTGAACTTGCAGGTTTTCTACCTTTCTGGTTATACTGAGGAGAGGAGCAGTGCTCTTCCCAGCTTTCTGCATCCTAAGTGGTATCCACAAGACCCTCACCTTTTAAATCCAATATTAAATGCAGCTAGTTGGTTTTCTTCTTTTCCCCTATTTTTTGTTAAATCCAATCTGACAATCTCCATCTTTTACTCATGAACTTAGATCATTTACATTTAATGTAATTATTTATATAATTGGATCATAGAAAATTGTAGAATTGCAGTTATGATGGAATTAATTATATGTTGTAAAGAGAAAAATGCTACACTTGAAGTCTAAGGTCCAAGGTTAATTATTCCATTTTGATAGTTCTTAGCCATGTGGCTTTGATAGTCTCTTATTCTGCATCTCAATTTGTTTGCTCTTAAAAGGATGATCATGGTACCAAATACAAGAAATGACTTTGGGGATTATAAAAATTGGTGATTGTATTGTGAATAATGCTGCAATAAACATACGTGTGCATGTGTCTTTATAGCAGCATGATTTATAGTCCTTTGGGTATACACCCAGTAATGGGATGGCTGGGTCAAATGGTATTTCTAGTTCTAGATCCCTGAGGAATCGCCACACTGACTTCCACAATGGTTGAACTAGTTTACAGTCCCACCAACAGTGTAAAAGTGTTCCTATTTCTCCACATCCTCTCCAGCACCTGTTGTTTCCTGACTTTTTAATGATTGCCATTCTAACTGGTGTGAGATGATATCTCATAGTGGTTTTGATTTGCATTTCTCTGATGGCCAGTGATGATGAGCATTTTTTCATGTGTTTTTTGGCTGCATAAATGTCTTCTTTTGAGAAGTGTCTGTTCATGTCCTTCGCCCACTTTTTGATGGGGTTGTTTGTTTTTTTCTTGTAAATTTGTTTGAGTTCATTGTAGATTCTGGATATTAGCCCTTTGTCAGATGAGTAGGTTGCGAAAATTTTAGACTTGGAACCAACTCAAATGTCCAACAATGATAGACTGGATTAAGAAAATGTGGCACATATGCACCATGGAATACTATGCAGCCATAAAAAATGATGAGTTCATATCCTTTGTAGGGACATGGATGAAATTGGAAATCATCATTCTCGGTAAACTATCGCAAGAACAAAAAACCAAACACCGTATATTCTCACTCATAGGTGGGAATTGAACAATGAGATCACATGGACACATGAAGGGGAATACCACACTCTGGGGACTGTGGTGGGGTGGGGGGAGGGGGGAGGGATAGCATTGGGAGATATACCTAAGGCTAGATGATGAGTTAGTGGGTGCAGTGCACCAGCATGGCACATGTATACATATCTAACTAACCTGCACAATGTGCACATGTACCCTAAAACTTAAAGTAAAATAAATAAAAAAAAATTGGTGATTGTAGCTCATATCACATTAAAAACTCTACATTGTATACAAATATTTAATGATCTTTTGATGAAGGAGAAAATCATGGGCAAATAGTTTCATAAAACTTAATAATTTTGTAGTTTGGTTCTGCCTTATACCTGCACTGATGGTGAAAAAGTGGTGCTTTGAAGCATTTCACCTCATTTGTATAATTCTCTTACAATACTTGTCACATACTTACACTTATTGCTTATGTTTCTCTTGCCAGACTAGGTTCTCAGGAAATAGAGTCTATTTATTTCCAGATTCCTGTGTCTTGTGGAGTGCCTGGCACACAATAGATGCTCAATATGGGTTTGTGGGATAGAATCGTGTTTCAAAAACAGCACCGAAGCACTCTGCACTGGTCTGAACACAGAGTATGTCCCAGCTAAGAGCATTGTTAACCTTGAGGCTCTTCCTTCAGGGCCCTGATGATGGTTGCCTTCAACATTGCCTCAATACTCAACATCCAAGACAGCCCTGGCTTAGCAACTGGAATCACGGATGGGGAAAATTTTTTCTCAAGCACATGTGAAATTTGGCTGTCAGACCACCTTCATCTGCACAGAAAGCTAAATGTATTGCCTAGTTTTGCAACTTCATATGACTGTTCGCCAAACTGGAATAATTGTTGCATTTGTGTGTGACTTCTCAGTATTCCTATGGCATTACCACCATAGCACCCCTATGTCAAATGGTGAAAGAATTAGGTGAGGTTTTGTGAACGTTTAGAGTAACTTTGTTTTTTTGCATCAACATTCAAGAAGCACTCCTTCCCTTCCACTGCAGTAGAACCTTGAGGTCCCTCTCAGATTTCTGTGGGGTGTCTGTGGTCTGCTGGAGCATGGCCAGGTCTGGGCAGCTGTCACTTTCCTTCTGCTTCCCAGTACAGAGGCCTATCTGGTGCTCAGAAAAGCTTCCTAAGTAAGAATGCAGGTGTCTCACATTAAGAAGGGAACCTTCTGTCCATCTCCAGCTTAAGTATCAACGTATCCAGCAGCCTCAAGTCTATCCAAACCTTATTCATTTTTCCCCACTTTGTTTTCATAATTTGACCACAGAACTGAGCGTCAAGTATATATGAACCCAAGTTGTTTGTTCTCTTGTAGTTTGTTTTAGTGTTGTTCTTTCAGATTATAATCTCAGGGCAGGAGTTCTGTCAAAATTCTCACTTGATCTTAAAAAGCCAATTACAGGGCAAGATGAAAAGTGGCTTCTTAGTAAACATTTGCTAGCTTGATACCTGACTCCACTCCTGCCTATTAAAAGCATTTCGCTTGAAAGTATGCAATGGTTAGAAGCATCTAGAAAGTCGAGGTCTGATGATTTCACACACATATTTTGGGGTGCTAAATTAAAGCTCTCCTTTGTAAAACAGTGCATGATGTCTTGGTGCTCTCAGGATTGAATGGTGAACATACTGGCAGAGGCAATTTCAGATCCAAGTGAAAGACAGTTTTCACCTGGTGGTAAGGGTAGATGTGTACTGAAACAACAATCTAGGGCCGTCTTCTTTGTACCACAAGCTTAATAATTTGTATGGCTATGCTGTCTTCTTAGCTGCTTGCTGGTGGTGAAAATCAGTTATTTTCACTGGCTGATTGACAGTTGGCCAGCACTGACCCTTCTGAAGACCTGTATTTATTTCTTGGAGGGGGTACCCTTGGTTTTATTTTATTCCTTTTGCGCCCTCACCCTACTTCATGCCTTGCTGGGAATAGGAACAGTGGTGCAGACTTAAGAGAAGAGGCCAAGGAAGAGCAAGTGAAATCTGCTGGTCACCGTAGATTTAAGCCCTTAGGAGACAGGGTTGTGTTTCTCCTCCTGGCAGAGTTGCAATGAGACAATGTCTATCAAATACAAGAAGAGTGGCTGAGTTCAAGGAGGGGTAGAAATCTGTCAATGAAAAATTCTATATCACATTGAAGTTTGGTCATAGAAGGTAGCTTCTGGTGTTCTGCCCCCTAACCATGGCATGCCATGATTTAGTCCGTAATGGACACAGCTTAGTGGAGTTTGTTTCATCTCCAAACTTCACTCATTGTTTAAAGATACTGGCTAGGTGTCAGCACAGCCTGGGCCAGGGAGAGACGATGGCCCATTAGTCATCATCTGTCATGCCTATGGACTGTAGGGACCAGAGCATTTACACTCAGAATCACAGAGATAATTAGCACATTGATGTCATTGTTCCTAACCACTGAGGCCATTGATCCTGTCCCCAGCCTGACTTGAAGGTCTTTGGGAGTTCAGCCAGCCTCCCAACCTGCCTACCACTTTGTTCTAAGAATCCTACTCAACAGTGGCTTGCATTTTCTGCTTCTAAGTGGCTTTGCGATTATGTAGAAATTCATGACGTGATTTTGTCCTGATTGAATAAAGTGCATCACTTGGTATAAGGCCTGTGTCTGCCTATTCCATTTGAGCTGTATATTTTTCAATGAAGTGGGATTGTGGTCTCAATTCAAATTTTTTTTTTCTATTGCTTCTACTGCACCATGATGGAGCTAAAGAGAAATGCCTCATTCATGATTATCAGCTATGCAAAGAATGTTCCTTGTGATGTCTATGCTAAGCTAGGTTTAGAAGGAAAGAGTAAAATTTTCCTCATGGTCTCTCCTTCCTCAGCACTTGCATGCTTGGCTGTTGGCTGCATTTCTTGCAGTGTGTGAGGCTGGCACATCTGGAAAAATCCTCACTGCCTTCTTAACAACACACCTTTTTGAGGCGCGACATTATCATTCCTCCTTACAGGTGAATAAACTGAAATTTAGATTCAGAGAGGTTGCACAACATACTCAAAGCACCAGACACAGAAGAAATGTAAATTTCCCAAGGACCTAAAAACTGTAAATGTTGGAGCCAGGACTGAACACAGGCCTCTGGGCTCTACAGTCATAGCCCTTAATACAGAAGCCTGTCTAAATGCTTTGCAAAATTAATGAAAAGATGGTCCATACCATGTCTTAGATGACTTTGCAATATATTTGAAGAGCTAGGATATATAGACCTTAGACATAAAAAAGATAGAATAATATATAACTAAATAAATATATTTAGTTATATATTTAGTATAATATATAACTAAAGTTGATCAGGAATAATGGATTTTATGCTCCAAGAAGCCTTTGTCGTCCAATCCCATTCCATGATCCTCATATTATCAATGAGGATGCTAAGGATTATTGAAGTACCAAATCTTGTCCAAAGCCACAAAACAACTACCAAATGGCCAAGCCACCACACAATTCTAGGTTACCTTACTGCCAAATCATTATTCATTTTGATACAGGCTCCTGCCTTGATGGCTTCTCAGAATCAAACATTATTAGTGTCCTAGTATTCCATGCAAAGGTTATGGCCAAAGAGTGTGTGGTTAGTGCATCTCAATCTAGGGAAACAAAACTGGCTTACTTATGACAATACAGCAAAATTGTTCCCCTTTCACTGTTCAACAAATATGCACCCATCTGTGTTAGTAGTTGATATGCTTTGGCCATGTTCCCACCCAAATCTCACCTTCAATTGTAGCTACCACAATTCCCATGTGTCATGGGAGGGACCCAGTGGGAGGTAATTGAATCATAGGGTTTGGTCTTTCCTGTGCTCTTCTCTTGATAGTGAATAAGTCTCATGAGATCTGATGGTTTTATAAAGTGGAGTTACCTTGCCTGGTGCCATGTAGGACAAACCTTTGCTCTTCCTTCATCTCCTGCCATGATTGTGAGGCCTCCCCAGCCATGTGGAATGGTGAGTCCATTAAACTTCTTTCCTTTATAAATTACTCAGTCTCCAGTATGTCTTTATTAGCAGTATGAGAACAGACTGATACGGTAGTAATGCTGAGGCTTAGGTTCACAGTGATGATGAAGACAGCTATAGCCTAGTGAAGAGGTAATGCAGAAACCAACAAGTATCCTGAAGGGGATGCATGAGGAGCCAAATGGGGAAGCGGTAATTCGGGTCAAGAAAGTCTTCATAGTGATTTTACTCCAAAGCCAAATCTTGAAAGATGAAGTTGGGCTCACCAGAGGATCCAAAGAAGAAGAGAATGAGAGGCAAGAAGGAAAGGTATTTGCAGCAGAAGAATTGTAATCTACAGAAGTAGGATATGGGAACATGTACACAACAGCGTGGTGCATGAATGGAACTGTGGGCCGTTCCACATGGCTGGGCTCTCTGAACAAGTGGGGTGTTGACTCATCATTTTCAGCCTTATGAGTGGTTCTCATCTCTCCCATTGGCATAGTCATCACAATTCCTAGGAGTTCATGGAAAGAGATGTTTCCATGTTATTGCTAAATAACTGAATTCTTCACACTTTTGATGATTTGATTCATTTCAGTGTAGCAAACTTTACAAAATAGCTACAGGTGGGACTTTCTCTTCTTAGTTCCTATTTGAAGCTCATCTCATTCTCTTTATATATGTGGTCTTGCATTTTTATTTTCCCCTTTAAAGGGGGAACAAATCTCATCTTGCTCAAAACACTATGTCTTTAGTGCCTCTGTATCTTCTAGTTGTCTATGGTGATTTTAATGTAACATTTTAAAATGCCAGTATGTTTTAATAACATAGTATACTTTTTGCTCTTGCAAAAACATCACATTATTCAATGTATGCAACTGCAAAAGGATGTGACTCTTATATAATTTATGTGTCCTTGTGGTGTGTTATTAGTGTGTGCATTTCATAAGGGCATAATTTTGGAAGCGATTTTCCATAAAATTGTTTTAAGTGTTATCTTATAAATTTGAGATAATTTGGCACAATATTCATTTAATGAAATTGCTCCACTAATAACATCTCTTCATTTGTAAATACCAGTTCAGACTGACACTACAAATTTTTGGTAAGATATTGAGCCTTGTAGACTCATCCACATATTGCTGCATAATTTAGGGTGAGGAACAAGTTGCTCTATTATCATAAGTAAACCAGCTTTGTTACCCTAGATGGAAATGCACTAACCAGACACTCTTTGGCCAAAACCTATATCTTTATGGGGAATACTAGAACACTAATAATATTTGATTCTGAGATGCCATCAGGGCATGAATGATGAATGAATGAATGAGTGAGTGAGTAAGTGAGTGAATGGAAAGTAAAGCAAAAAGCTAAATGGGACCCCAAAGGGCATAAAAGTTGTAACTCTGAACACCAGTGCTTGTTTGTGTGTGTGTGAGGTAGATCAGATGTCCTTCTGGCTTCTGGTACCTTCTTACTGACCCATAACTAAAGCATCTTTCTGGTAGGCTTCAATTTTGGATCGGCTGACTTCATTTTTCAGAGTGGAGATGGTAACTGCTATAAGTGGGTTTTCATTTTGATATAGAAATTTATAAAAAGACCCCTGCTCAAATCACACCAATTAAGCAGGCGTTTTCTATACCTGTGTAAAAAACCAGCTTTGGGGCTATAAAAACAGCCTTTTCTCTCTTCCTCAATCCTTCTGTCCCTCCTTCTCCTTTTTTCCTTCCTCAAAGATTTACTGAGAGCCTGCTGTTCAGGTCATAAAGTTAACCTATGTCCAATTATTATCAAAATCAATACAGGAGCAGCAATAACAATAATAAAATTCTTTTTCTCTTTAACAGAGAAAGCAAGTGCTCACCAACATCTGTGCGCCCTCTCTTCCTGGGTCCACAGCTAGAAAACATTCCTAGTACTCTTGCAGCAAATGACTGGGTTTTGGCCAGTGCAGTTGTAGGCAGAAGTGATGAATGCCATTTTCAAGTGTTACTTGAACTGGATTTAGCAGATCCAAGGAAGAGTTCTGGGGGCCCCAGAGGCTTGTGGAGCTCCAGCTCTAGATAAAAGGGTCCCGGAGCCCTGGATGGAACACTGTGATGTCCAACACCTCCAGTCCCAACAACCAACTGTGATGAGAGCCAAGAAAATAACAACAAAAAGACTATTAGGAGAAGCCAGTGACATTGAGGGATTACTGTTAAAACACTTAGCCTATGCTGAGTGATGCAGTCTCCTCAATGAATTCACAACAAACTCTAGCATTTACTTTTATAAGCATCGTTATTTCTCCTCCTTTCCCATTATATTTAAGAGTGGTCATTCTTCTGATTTTGTACCGTCTCTCCCCACTTACCAAGGAAACTTATTCTCTTTTCAACCTCTCCTTCTATTGGCGTTGAAGCTTGTCTAAACCTTCATCATCATAAACAAAAATAAAAGAAAGAAAAAAGGAAGAGAGAAACTGGGCATGGTGCTGCAGTTCCAGCTACTCAGGAGGCTGGGGCAAGAGGATCACTTGAGCCCCACCCCAAATAAATATAGTGTTAATTGCTTTTTCCCCCTGAATATCAAATTACTGTGTCAAATATGAGGGCATTTTTTTTTGTATATGAAAACTTAAAAGAAAGGAGTAAAAACCAACCCTAAATCTTATTTCATAGGTATAACTACTGTTAAGCACACGGCGATCATTGTTCTAGATTTTCCGTTTGCACGAACACTCGCACACATCCAAACCCATGCTAAGCACACTCAAAAAACCTTATAGATGCAGATCATTTTTGAGCTATGGCTGGTGTCCCTCCCTGTCTTTCCCAACCTGGAACCAAGTAGATTTGGATAACAAGGCAGCTCTCACTAGGCAAATTCACTATCTAAACCCCTGACATGAGAGAGGCTTTGGATATGTGTGTGTGCCTGTCCCAGACTTTCCCAGAATGGCTCCATAGCAGATGCAGTCCTCTTAGCTGTGCCCTTTCAGTCAATGATATGTTCTGCTGGGGCAGAGATGCCTTCCTTTCCACCGTCATTCAATCCCTCCCCTCCCTTTCAAATAAAGTGGAGCCACAGAGGAGAAGCAGCCTGCCAAGTCAGGGGCTGTTTTCTCAGCACTTTGTGTCTAGCTGGGTCCCCGGGACTGAGTTCTGGTTGACGAATTGTGGGTCAAGATGCTGCATGTTACTTCTAGGCCCATTACATAACAATCGCCCCCGTGACCCTCTCCTTTTCCTCTCCTTTCTCCTATTTGCTGGGCAGATATTCATTCTGCATGTCCCAAGAGCCATATGGTGAGGGTGACGGGCCTCTGGAAAGCTGGGGCCCACAGGGCCGTGTGGAGGGAAGCTCCCACTCCTGCACTTCTTCTATTGAGTTTGTATGAGTGAAAAATAAATTTCTATCTTCTTAAATCACCAAAATTTTGTGCATTAACCTAATTAACACAGTTAAGCTTGTTCCATATCCATGAACATAGATTCATATTATTATTTTTATTAGTTGCTTTCTACCTCATAAATGAGGAATATGCCATAATTTTTTAATTCCATTATTGATGGACATTTCAGTTGTTAATGTTTCTGTTTCTTTTATTTACTTCTTCCCTAATAGCATTACAGTGAATATTTTTAAACATAAAGGGATAAATGCACATAATAAAATCATTGGGCCATGTGATATACATGTTTTAAACACTGATATAATTTTATAAACAGACCCCCAGACTTGCAGTAATGGTTCATAAAGGTGTCGATGTTTTGAATCCTCTTCCAGCATTGTTAAGACTTTCTCTGATATATACAAATATATTATTTGAATTGTATTTCTTTAATTAAAAGAGAGGTTAAAAATCTTTTTACACATTTATTGTCTGTGTAATTATTATTTTCTTCAGGAATTATTCATCTTTTTGAAAATATTTATCTTGTTACTTTTAAAGCACTCATGGCATATTAAGAATATTATCTTTTTATGACGATTACTTTTTCCAATAGTCATTTTTCTTTAAGCTTTTTTGTTGTGTTTTTTGACTATGTAGAATAAAAAAACATATATTCAAACTTATAAATCTTTTCCTAAAATATGTTTCTAGCCATGATAACATACCATGTCTTTTTATACCACAAAATTATAAGCACATTCACCCAGATTTTTAGGAATAATTTTAATGTATGTTTTTTACGTTATTGCTTAATTCCATATGAAATTTATTTTGTTAAAAAGGATGAGGAAAGGATACAGCTTTATTATTTTTTTCCCAAATGATTAACTACGTTTTTATTTTTATTAATTTTTTGGAGTACGGAGTACGGGGGTACGGAGTTTCGCTCTTGTGACTCAAGCTGGAGTGCAGTGGTGTGACCTTAGCTCACTGAAACCTCTGCCCCCCAGGTTCAAGCAATTATCATGCCTCAGCCTCCCCAGGAGTAGCTGGGACCACAGGCGTGCACCATCACACTCGCCTAATTTTTTTTTTTATTTTTGAAATGGAGTCTTGCTCTGTCGCCCAGGCTGGAGTGCAGTGGCGTGATCTCGGCTCGCTGCAAGCTCCACCTCCTGGGTTCATGCCATTCTCCTGACTCAGCCTCCAGAGTAGCTGGGATTACAGGCGCCCGCCACCACACCTGACTTTTTTTTTTTTTTTTTGTATTTTTAATAGAGACGGGGTTTCACCGTGTTAGCCAGGATGGTCTTGATCTCCTGACCTCGTGATCTGCCCACCTTGGCCTCCCAAAGTGCTGGATTATAGGCATGAGCCACCGTGCCCAGTCCTAATTTTTGTATTTTTAGTAGAGACGGGGTTTTTCCATGTTGGCCTCCAGTGATTAGCCCGCCTCGGCCTCTCAAAGTGCTGGGATTACGGGTGTAAGCCACTGTATCCTGTCTGGTTAACCACATTTTCTAATAATCATTTTCTAGTGACTAAAAGTGGTCAAATGCAATGCAGGTTTCTGGTCAGCATCCTCACCTGTGCGGCTGAGCTGGCAGTTTTCTGAGCTGCTGTCGGGATTTGATGGGCAACGTCCAGAGGGGCCGTGCTGCCCTGCAGAGAATGGCTGTTCTGCTCCCCCCCTCAGCCCTCTGTCTCCTGTCTGTGAAACCTGGGCTCACTGCTGCGACTTTGGGGCTCACTGGATCATCATGGAAGTCTGAAGATTGGGAGAGGTGGCCTTGGATATTCTTCAGTTCTGTAATTAACAGGGAGGGTGTCTCGTCGGGGGCAGGTAGGGCTGGAGTGTGCACTGAGACACGTTCTTGTGCAGGCTAAGGGGGTTCTTGGGGTCAGTGCAGGTGTGGCTCTGAGGAAGACTTACTTGTGCTACTTACTCTGAGTCTTGGGGGCTTCTTTGAGCTTCATGTTCTGAGGGCAGACATCAGGTGACCATGGAGACAGCATCGAGTGATGTGGTCACAAGCCAAGGGAGGCCTGGGGTACCATGAGCAGGAGGAGGCTAGAAGGCCCCTCTCTCAGAGGCTTCAGAGGAAGTGCGGCCCTGCTGACACTTTGCTTTTGGGCTTCTGTCCTCTGGATCTGTGAGAGAGTAAGTTCCTGATGTTTAAGCCACTCTGTTTGTCACACTTTGCTAGGACAGCTCGGAAAACCAACAGGACACCTAGCTGGGCGGCTGCTCCTTCCCCAGCTCTCTGTATTTCCTTCACCTCCCAAATGGATCTTCTGTAACTGATCTGCTTTGGAAGTAGCTGTAAATGACACAGTAATAGTGATAGGACTTGTTGCTATTTCTGCTGCTGTTCTTGTTTTATTATTTTCACCATCGTTGCAGTTGCTTGGAGGAATGAAGAATTCTGCCCTTGACATGTAGATCCTTCTGGAGAATGCCATCTCAGCCATTAGTCACTGGAGGCCTGCTTTCACCTCCAACATTCTGGAACATTCTCAGGCAGGCTGATAACTCAGGGTGTATGTGACTCTCAGTGCAGCTTGACAGAGAAAGTGATTCAGTGTTCCTGGTTTCTGTTTGAGGCTGTCACAAGTCACAACAAACCGTGCTACAGCCCAGTGGTGCAAGCCCCATCTTGGACCAAGAGTGGCTTCATCCAGCTGGAGCAATGGGTTAGAGGCAAGGGGCACCTGGCAAGCTGGCAAGATGCAGCTCTGCTTGGGACTGGCAAGTTCCCGAGGCTGTCAGAGCATGACTTAAATCATAGCAATGCTTGCAGACATAGAGGCAGAGGAGTCGTTAAATATAATCTTTGCAATGAAGCAGGTTCCACGTGGGTCTGTGCTGAGCTGAACGGTGATGAATACAGCCTTCCTTGCAGCTGTGGGCATTAGGTGAGCAGACCTCCTTCCCTGGGAGGCAGTAACCACCATCCTCCTCTGCTTGCCCTGAGGATGAAAGCTGTCCCACTGCTATGACTGCAGGCCGAACACATCGCCTGCCTATAGGAGATGCTCAGTACATGGAAGTACATGACCCAGTTATTAAATGGGTGAGCAAATGAATTAGGGGAACAAAATAAAAACGGATGACATAACAACAAACATAAATTGTGGGATTCTAACATTTCAGTGTCAAGTAAATGGATTTTCTCATCACTCCAAAATAGCTGAATAAAACGTGTGCGTTTGTTTCTCAGCCCTTTGTGTCATTTGACACAGCTGTCTGTCCCCTTCAGTAGGTGACATTCCGCCCATTCATTTGAGCTGGGACTTAGGGAATCTTCGCATGCTTACATCCATGCTGACCTTTTCACTGAATTTGACAGTCCTCCATCATTCTTTCCCCAGGAACACCAAGGACCCAGTTCCATTCCTTAATTCCAATGAGCACATCCTTGACTCATGACATTACAGGTTCTCCATGAAAAGACCAGAAGGCATTTGGAACAATGGTATTGATGGGTTCTCAGTATAGAACTTGTGGGTTGAGGAACCCACAGAACAGAAGTGGCTTAGAAAGAGATCACCATGATGAGGCTTCGGGCTAATCAAACCATTGGTTCATGTTAGCATTCTGACAGAATTCCGTATCCTCAGTGTGTCCTCACGACTCCCCTCAGAGACAGACGAGGGGCGTCTTTAAGAACTCAGACCTTCTCGTCAGCCTTAAACTTGCCATCTGAGTCCCCAGAGAGTAGAGATGATTATTGTTCCTGATTTGAATAAGGATGCTGAGATTCAGGTAGGTTAAGCAAAATCTCCAAATTCAAGCACCCTGTTAGCACTGGGGCTGGAAACTGTAGATGTTCAGGGCTTTATGGAATAGGCCATGCTGCCTCTACACAGAGCCAATCCTCTGAATGTAGAATATTCTTTTAAGGCACTTAAACACTTTTCATTCATAATAAAAGGGGTTTGGATGTCAGAGTTAGGGAAGAGGTGCCAGTTTGAATCAGTAAGAAGTTTTTATCACAAAACACTTCCTAATTGACAAAATACAACTCTATAGCACTTAGGCAGGTAGATAGCATATTGAGAAATTGGTAACAAAGAACTATATGTTCCAAACTGATATGGGACAGTAATGACCACATAATAAATGAGTTCGCACGCAAAGAGGTTCTTCTGCAGGGCCTGAGCCACTGAGACATCTGCCAGTTTAATCCACACAGAAACTACACTTGGTTATGCTTTTAGCTTTCTTGTGACAGGCTAGGAGCAAAGTAGATTCTTCACAAATAATCACTGGGTGGACATTATTAAGAATGATCACCTCCAGACACCTCTGACCTGGACAGGTTCTGCCTTTAGTTCCTCCAATGACAACTGGCTGCCCACAGGCTAATCCCCCAAAGCTTTATTTAGAGTGAAATTCAAGGCTCTTGCAAATCAGCCACAGATGCCTTTTCCAGCCTCCTCTTCAGGTTCTCGAGGATCCTCATCCTATTGTCTAGCCACGTTCACAGCTGCTCCTCACCCTGGGCCACGCCTTCTCTGCTGCTGTGGCTCAGGCCACGTCATAGCTCCTTCTGCCTTGCTTGGCCTTGGCCAGGGAGGCAGGGAAGGGCAGTGATGCCCCCAAAGTTAAGTCTCTTCAGAGGAAGAGCTGGGGCCATGGGCTGCTCCAGCACCCCCGTGAAGGGTCGAGGGGGACAGGTGATTCTGGGTCTATGAGGCAGTTTTCCTGGGGAAGTGGCCCAATTCCAGCCTTTTAGTGCAGGGTCCACCCTCAGGCCGTCAGAGTGATTAAATCCAAAAGGCTGTGAGGTGGGACCGAAATCACTGAGCAGGTTCCTAGCCAGCTGGAGGGATGAGCCTCTTCCCCGAGCTCCACATATCAGAGGGGGCAGCTGGGACGGGCCAGGGGGAGCCAGGGCTGTGCTGTCTGGGGTTCAGTGGCTTCTGGCTCAGTGGCTCTCTGCTGTGCCATGACCGAGTCACGTGGAGTCCATGTTTCTTGGATCCACCTGAGCTCAGATTCTCATGGGTAGGAACCAGGCTTAGGATTTGCCTGTGAGAAAGGAGATCCTGGAGGCGGTAGAGGAGACCATGGTCCTGCGCGCTGCCCGGTCTCAGCCCTCCCTCTGTCCCCTGGAGCCAGCTCCTGCAGCTGTGGCAGAGAAGCTGGACCTCAGTGTGCCTCCCTGGGTTTTGGCTCCAGCAATAATCAGGAACAAGCCCAGCCAGCCCAGAGTGTGACGGTGTGGCCAGGGGACCCAGCCCAGAGTGTGACGGTGTGGCCAGGGGACCCAGCCCAGAGTGTGATGGCGCAGCCGGGGGACCAGCCCAGAGTGGGGTGGCGCGGCCGGGGGACCAGCCCAGAGTGGGGTGGCGTGGTCAAGGGACCCAGCCCAGAGTGTGACGGTGTGGCCAGGGGACCCAGCCCAGAGTGTGATGGTGCCACTGGGTAATCCGGCTAGAGTGTGACGGTGCAGCCAGGGGACCCAGTCCAGAGTATGATGGCGCCGCCGGGGGAACCAGCCCAGAGTATGATGGCGCAGCCGGGGGACCCAGTCCAGAGTACGATGGTGCCACCGGGGGACCCAGCCCAGAGTGTGACGGTGCAGCCGGGGGACCCGGCTAGAGTGTGACGGCGCAGCCGGGGGACCCA
This sequence comes from Homo sapiens, assembly GCF_000001405.40. NCBI lineage: Eukaryota > Metazoa > Chordata > Mammalia > Primates > Hominidae > Homo > Homo sapiens. The sequence goes on along the minus strand of NC_000002.12, from coordinate 8,028,008 downwards.
GCTAGAGTGTGACGGTGCAGCCGGGGAACCTGGCTAGAGTGTGACGGCGCAGCCGGGGGACCCGGCTAGAGTGTGATGGCGCGGCCAGGGGACCCAGCCCAGAGCGTGACAGCCCGGCCAGGGAACCCAGAGGACAGGAGTAATCCTAGACTTCCCGTCAATCTCAGCACGGGAGCACTGGAGAGCCACAAGTGGGGACACATTTCCAGACCATAAAGTGGGACACTCAGTATATCCACACCATTTCTTGATACGTGGGCAGTAGTTATCTCAGGCTGCCTAACCTATTATCCTAGCACCCAGTGCCTGAAAGCATTGAACACTTATTGCCTCGCAGTTTGTGTGGCCAGGGGTTGGGGAGACTCGAGCTTTGGTTCAGGCTGTGGAGGACCAGGTGCACCCTCGTGGTTGACAGGCCTCGGGTCCTCAGGGATGTTGTCGGAGGCAGCAGTTTAGTGTTACATGGGCATCTCCGGAGGGCTGCTCACAACGTGGTAGTTTGCTTCTCCTGGAGCGAGGTTTGAGTGAGAAAGAGAGAGAGAGAGAGAATGAGAGTGCCGCTTCCCAACGGAGTCATAATCTTCTTATAACCTTATCTTTGAAGTGATGTCCCAACACTTGGCCATGGTGACAGTCACCAGAAGCTGGTCATGGAGCTCTCCTAGACTCAAGGGGAGCAGGTCGTGGGAAGGCATGAAAGTGGGAGGTGGGCATCGCGGGGGCTTCCGTAACGGCAAGCATTGACTGAGCAAGGATCCTGCTCCAGGGAGGACATCTATTTCTGAGGATGAGACATGAACAGTCCTCGTCTCTGCTGACAAGGGGTACTCAGGGTGGACAGGAAAGAGGTGTGAACACACTCTTAGGGTGTGCCAAGGCTGGCTTTGATGAGGGCCCGTCTTGAGTACAATGAGGGCAACAGAAGCATCTGGGTCTGCACCGGTGGAGGGTCAGGGCTGGACTCCAGAGAAAGCAGCCTCTGAGAGGAGGTTTGGCGACCCCACGACTTTAACCCAGTGGATTACTGAAGCATCTGGGTCTGCACTGATGGATGGTCAGGGCTGGACTCCAGAGAAAGTAGCCGCTAAGAGGAGCCTTGGCGACCCCATGACCTTAATCCAGTGGATTACTGTTGCCTGGAAGAATGGACGAAGATACACAGCTCCACTTTTCACCAGCCTCCACCTGAAAAGCTCTACCTGAAAGACTCTGCCTTTTGAACAAAGGGATGATGATTCATGGGGAGGGTCTCTAGAATTGAATAGTCTCTGATTTGTGGCTGGGAGAGGGACCCACAGTAGCACAGACCACCCTTGGCTATGGCTCTCTAAGGCCATGTGTGTCCTCCACGGTGTACTCTAGGGGTTCTGATCCCACTCTGTCTTCACAGCTGCCTCCAATTCCAAAGCATTGGGTTTACAAACACAGCAAACTGCACACATGGCTGGTCTGTGCTTGGCTGAGAGCTGACACTTGAAGTCCTGGTCTTCTTAGTAACTGCTTCCATCTGGGCTCACTTTCCATTCTCACCCTGCATGCAGAGCTGTGCATTCCAGGGTACATAGAGAGGAGGGCCATGGCGAAGGTGTCCAGCACACGTGGTGAAACTCCTTGGACTCACGGTGACTATTCCGCTCATCATTGCTAGGGGGTGAATCTCAGGTGCAGTTCTCTGGAGGCAGTTCAAAGTTATGGGAAATTGCAAAGTGGCTCAAAATAGAATTGGGGACGTAGATGGTGAGAACGTGGGGTGTGGCTTCCAAGCAGGGCCGGATTGCAACCCTGCTCCGCCACAAGCTAGACTTGTGCCCACCCTTTGCTCCTCCATGTGCTGTGTAAGGGCAGGATCAGGAAGCTCCACAGACCTGCTGTGGAAGCAGCTGAGGCCACGTGTGCTGATGACCAGGATGTAGCTGATGCTTTAATAACATTATTCCTCCCACCTGGAAGACAGGATTGGTTTTACATCTGCATTTTGATTCTACTCTTACTTGCAGATCCCTTCCAGGTATCAGAACACAGCTGGGCAAAGGGAGGTCTTCAGTCTGCCATCACCTCACTCCCCACATTTCCTGAAAGTCCCAAATAGTGTGTGGTTTGCTCATTGCGCCAAAAGCTAGTTAGAGGGGTAAACAAATTTTTATCTTCATAGTTCTAGATTTGCAAAGTTGTTTTTTTTTCTTTTTTTTTTTTAAAGAAACATTAATTCTAACAACAAACTCTCCTCAGAGGCCATTCTGTCAGATAATTCTCCCTCCACTCATTATAAAATATAAGTTCAGTGAAATTCTAAAATTGTACCTATTATCATGGCTTATTTGGGGGGAGTATTCTGTTTGTTTTAGCATCAGCTGACATGCAGCTTTCTTAATTGTGGCTCATATGTATATTATTGAGAAAACCACCACAGGCAATTCTGTCTGGTCTAACTTTTGCAAAATCATGGTACACAGGTCATCACTATCCTCCTTTACTTGGACGAGGACCCTTTTGATCTGGAAGATCTTGTTTTAAGTTGTATTAAGTATGCAACAAAAATGGTCATGAATCCATTGATATTAATGTAATCATGGGTAATCAACTCAGATGCCTTCAGAGCACGGAGAGTGGCAGCATTGCGGGAAGTTGCTGCAGGTAGCATAGTGGGGACAGGAACCAGAGAGTGCAAATCCTACCTAGAAACATCCAGGTTTGCATGAAAATAAAATACGACACTGGTGAAAACATCTGCAAGCCAGGAGACAGAGGCTTCGGTTTGTAAAAATTGGTTGGAATGTATCACGTGGGGGAGGCTGTTTCTTGCCTTGTGTTACTGCCGATTTGGAGTGACGCAAATCCACAGACAAGGATACCTCTGCAGACCTGCACACATGCATCTAGGTAATGGATCGAACCTTATAGGCACAGCCATGCAGCCAGTCATGAAACCTCAATGAAGTACCTGAAAGGCTACAACGGAGGGCTCCTTTCAAAGCCTCAAGATCAAACTGAGTAGTATGCAGAGTGTTAACTGAAGGATGGAGTCAGACTCTGGGACAAATTAGGTCTCATTTCTGTGCCTCTGTTCACTGGGACCCCAGTGAAATTTCTGAATCTTGGGTAGCCTCAGCTCCCTCACTGGAAAGCAGAGATACCATCAGCAGCTCCCTGGTGGACTTGTCGAGGGGGTTCAGCTGGGTGAGGCAGCCCGTGGTCAGTGCTCAACAGAAGGACGCCTCTGCGACTGGGGTTCTTCCTTCTGTGCTTCCAGGAGACCTGAGAGGCCAGCGGAGAGTAGAGGTGGTGGGAAGGCATGGAGGGGATACCCAGGGTTTCACTGGACATCAAAGGACGTCCACTATTCTCTAGATGGCTCAAACCCTCTTCCCGGCTGCCTGGGTTTTCTTTCTCGGGGTTGCCCAACCCCTTTGCCTCTCTGCTGTGTCACTCATTGTTGGTTTCCTGGCTCTGGTCCTCACCCACATTAGCTGCACCCAGCATGGGGCTGGCATGGTATTTGCTGGATGATTCCATGAGCCAAACACAGTCTTCCTGGGGGCCCATTCTCTCTGCAGCTGCCCAAGATGTGACATTTCTCCCCATCTTGTGAGGCACTCTCAGCCTGGGTGCTGTGTCCTTCCTGCTTTTCCCTGGTGTCCTGAACCTCAGACTTCAGGCAGCTTTGGGCTTACACTGCCAGTGCCTCCACTTACCCCTCTGTGCCTGACAGTCACCTCCCATAACTTCTGAATTTAAGTGGCTCAAACAAGTCACATGCATCTGTCCTCACTTCCATCCAGCCCTTCATTCTGTCTCTGGGAGACACACTGCCCAACTTGTCCTCACTCCTCAAGGTCATCTGGTCACCCTCTCTGAGCTTTCCTCAAGTGTCAACACTTGCTACCATTGCCCTTTATTTCCAGAGCCATCTGGTGACCCTCTCTGAGCTTCCCAGGCTGCCTGAACCGGGACCTCTGCATATGGCCATTCTGCCCCGAACTCTCCTAGCCAACTGGTCTCATTGCTTCCCACCCCACCTGCACCCCTATCTCATCTGCATCCCCTCTCAACTGTCCATGGTCTGCCTCTCACCAGGGAGCTGCATGCGCACTGTCCCTGCAAGACCCTTGCAATTACAGAAAACACGCAGCGTGACTTCATAGAGAGTCAAATTTGCTTTAATTTGGGGGAAATGCAATGCCACTAATTTTAAATTAAGACATATATATACATATGTCTTAATTTTATATATATATATACACACACACACACACACACACACACACCCCTACCCACACACGTATATATAGAATACACCGATCTAGACTTTTTTTTTTAAAGAAGAAAAGATTTGAAGTAATGTCATGCTTGTAGTTTCCAGTTTAGGCTGTGCACCCCGATTCTTAGAGCTGGACATTTACTCTGCTGTGCTGGTGGCGGGGAGCTTCAGATGCACAAGGTATGGGGTGCCTCATCTTGAAAACTAATGGCAAAAATCAAAATAGTAATTTCCTGCCTATGAGGGAGCTCCCCCATCACCTCTAAGGAACTTCCTGCCTTGTGGCTCACTCTTCCGTGTGCCAGCCCCTTGGACACACTTCCTCTTTTCTGTCCCTAATGTATGACAAAGTTAACTATGAGCTATCACCTCATAGCTCGAGGATTTGCCTATTTATTTTTCACTTCCCAAACTGCCTAAGTTCAGGCCCTCAGAATCTCACTGTGTTGGTCTGTTTTCATCTGCTGATAAAGACATACCTGAGACTGGGCAATTTACAAATGAAAGAGATTTATTGGACTCACAGTTCCAAGTGGCTGGGGAGGTCTCACAATCATGGTGGAAGGTGAAAGGCACGTCTCACACGGCTGCAGACCAGAGAAGAGGGCTTGTTCAGGGAAACTCCCCTTTTTAAAACCATCAGATCTCGTGAGGTTTATTCACTATCATGAGAACAGCACAGGAAAGATCTGCCCCCATGATTCAATTACCTCCCACTTGGTCTCTCTTACAACACGTGGGAATTGAAGATGAGATTTGGGTGGGGACACAGCCAAACCATATCATGCACGCATGGATCCCTTCAGCTTCATACTTGCCAGTGTCTCTGCTCCTTCTCAATTCATGTCACCCTAAAGCTTGTTTTATGTTCTGTTCTAGGTTGAAACCAAAAGACATAAAACAAGCAGATATATGTATTTTTAGATTTCTTGAGGAAAGGGTTAATGAGTTCCCCACCCCCCGCCAAGGTTTTACAATCATACAGATGAAGCTCGGCTTTTAATATAAAAAGATTGTAGATTGTAGCAAAGCTGAGAACATTCTGCTCTCCCACAGCTTCTGATCGAATTCTAGGCTCCCAACAGAAGAGGAGAGCTAACTGGAATTTGTGTAAGGACTGAGAAAGCAATGGTGGTCAAGGTAATTCCTGTCTTCGTGAAGCATCTATGGTTATTATCTTCTCTCTCCCAGTGACACTCTATGATAACTGATGTCTCATACCATCCAGAAACTGAGGCCCAGAGAGCTTGAGTCACGTGTCCCTGGTCACAAAAACTGTTCCAGCTCCGAGCCCATTATCTTTCCTTGGAATCATGCCTTCTCTCCTGTGTGACTAGGATAGTTGCCTTAGCACCTAGTCAAGTGTCTATCCCATGTGAGTTGCCAATATTTGTTTACTGAGTAGATAATTTAGTTCACATAAAGTCCTACATGCACATGGATATGTATACTGACATATTTCAATCTTCTAAGAATTTTTCTTAACAGGCTTGGAAAATTAAGTCAGTTCAAAACTACGGTAACTTGAGAAGGCTAAATGTTTTTCTTTGTTTCATTTTCCTATAACTGGAAGGATATGAACATGACCACAGGAACACATTTTTTATAGAATTGTTCAAGTTATTCTTTGCTTTGACATTTGCCAAATACTTAAAAAAAATCTAAGGTTATTATGCGTGTGGACCATTCTGTCTTAATCAAGATCTGCTCATCACTGTTGTGATGGAAAAGAAAATCCAGCCAAAGAAAAGATTACTAACCAGTTTTGATAAATGGCTTGTGACTGTCAGCAACATTGATTCCAACAGATCTGAGACAATAATTTGAGGGCATTTTATCTTTGTTGGGTATTGGAAACTTTTTAAAATTATTTGACCAGGACACTTACATGGCACACCCTACTGGATTTAATATATCTCTAATTTGGCAGGAAGTAGTCAAGTTTCCAAAACTTTGGAAAGTAAAGTCTTTGCTACAAAATGTATATTTCACTTAATCTGCAATTTTTGGAGGTCTTTGGGGCTGAGAAAGCACTCATGAAGCACATACTCTCAAGACAGACAGGACCTCACCTTTCTGGGTCACTGCTTTGCTAAGGAGACGCTCCCCAATGTCTTGCAGGTGGATTGTGGGGTGAACAGCCAGAGGCTGCCTGGGTTACACATGTTTCTAATACTAAGTTCTATCCCTGACTTTAAACTGGTTCCCACATTTTAAAATCACAAGCAGGTTTAGCAGACATGTTCCTGCAGTAGGGAGAAAAAAATAGTTTTCTCCCTACTGCAGACGTTATGGTGGCTCACATGGCGCCATATTCATTTTTTTCAGAGAGCAGTGAATTGTTAAAGTGTGATGAGTTTTTCTTGGGCAACCCCATGGCAAGGTCCAAGCCATCCTGAATCTCCAAAATGTAGCCCAGATGATGCCCAGGAGCATCAGTGTGGTCTTCTTGTGTCCTTGTTCCTCACTCAACAGTGTATCCAAATGTTGCTGAGTCTCAAACGCATGGGCAGGTGCATGAGTGCCCCTCTCCATGGAGTTATGATGACTTCCATGCTGCATTAAGATCCTCCTGACAGCCTCTCAGGCTCCCTCATTCCTTCAGCTCTTATTTCACTTTCTTGTCTCAGCTTTTGCTCTTTGGTGCTGCCTGGTTTGAAGAGTACATTCCTTTGGCCCAGGTAAGACAGTCCCCTATTCTGGGCCCTGCGTTTTAGAGAATCCCACTCCAGCTTCTCCCACTATGCCCCTCCTCACCTGATGAGGCAAACATGTGAGGCTGGGCCCACTGGGAGCCCACTCCATCTTCTCCACTTTCTAAGCTCTGAGTCCCCATGACTCCAGAATTCCCTAACCAACCAGCCCTAAGTCTCCTCTGAGGCGTGCATCAGCTCATCCCAAGGAGGAACCATGGCACTGGTGTCACCCCACGGTAGTGTCTTTCTAAAATTCTACACGCCAGGCTGCACACCCCTCATCACAGGGCAGGCATGGCCGCAGGGGTGGTTATTGGGAAGGGGAGGTTGCAGCTTGACTCCCAGGCTGGGGGCTCCACACTCAGGCTCGGAGGGCCCCTGCACTGTGGAAACGAGCAGAAGCTGGTGGGGAGAAGGCATACGTCTGGGGGCTGAGAGCCTCCAGTTCTCCTCTGGTCCCACAGTGTCAGAGCCGGGCCTGGGCTGGAGGACTCTCCTGGAGGCCTCAGCATCCTCACAGGTCAAATCTTCAGCCCCCGGTGCTTCCCTCCTGGCAGATGAGAAGCACCCGGGCCTCTGGTCTTTGTGCCAGTGACACCCGAGGAGTCCCCCCATGGCCTGGCCCCTCCCTACAAGGGCACCAGGAAAGTGGAGCCTCTGGGCAGGGTCTTCCCTCTGGGGTCAATGCCAGGCTAACTCAGGACTGTCCCATAGTCTCAGACTATGCTGGAGTGGGGAGTGTGATAGGCCATTCTTATTCCATACGTGACTTATCACTGAGGAACATCTGCCGAGGGCTGGCAATAAGGTCACTCCCAGCATCTCCCGGCTCCTTAACTACGTCTCCCTTCATTCCACACTCCCATTGATTCCACAGGGATGACATAGTTGAGAAAGCTGGACCATGCTCCTGACTGGCCAGGCTCCTATCAGCAGAGAATGGGCAGGACAGGGAAGAAGGATGTAAGGAGGCTTGCTAAGCACCGGGAGCCCTCCACAGACAGTGCTGCACTCGCTCTGCACAGCACTTGCGGGGCAGGGCTTTCCTGCCATTTTACATGTAGGTAAGTGAAGTCCCAGGTAGCTGTCCAGGCTACTCTAGGGACCCGCTGCTTGGGAGCAGCTGGGATTGAAGGCAGCTCTGTTTTGTTCCATATCTCTGTTCTTTCTATTGCTTCAAACATCTGCACATGACGTTGTCTTTCTAAAAATCTATGTGTCTCAGGAGACAGACATTCATCTTTCTTTCTTTAGACCCCGCCATGGGCCACACAGACATTGGGTTGGGTGGCCCACTCATAGGATAAAGCAATTTAAGAGAAACAATGATATATTGTGTTTATAGGGTAAGGCACAATAATGCAGAGATGGCACACAGCACGGGCATACACACATGTACACACAAACATGCACTTACATGCACACACATACATACACACACACATATACACACATGCACATACACATACACCCTCACACACATACATGCACACACACACACAAACCTACTGCTTGATTGACAGAGTGGTTATTGGCTCTGAGGTCAGAAATGTTGGTATGTATTTGTCCTAATCAACCAATTTGCAGAAATCCCAGATTTTCTGACCAAACAAGGCAGTAAGATCAGGTTTCACCAAATTTTTACTGGATTCCACTTATTAAGATCCAGAATGGATCTTTGATGTTTCCACAAAGAATCAGGGTTAAGATGTTAGCCTTCTCTGCCCATGTTCTGGCATTTTCCAGCCACATAGGAGCCAGTATGCTCCACTGATGTGACCACGATGTTGGAGAATATTGAACACATTACCGAGCTCCATCGCCATGAGTGAATGTATGGCATGCATTTGGGCGGCCCTAATGGAACACAATTGGAGTCCTCCACTCTCGCCAAGGCAGGCTCCACCCATCCCTGTGGCCTGGTTCTAAATTGCATTCCTGAACCTATAATCATCTTGCGCTTGTCAGGACATATGGCGGCTGTCCTTGACTTCCATTTGGGATTTCTCAAAGGTCACCATTGTGAGGAGCCATCAGGAATGTGGTTCCTCTCTCTAGCCATACTTCTCCCAAGCCCTGGGGTTTGAGCCGCATGCCCTCAGCCCCCTTTATGTCCTGCCTTAGCAAAGTCCTTTTTCTTCTTTTGAGTTCAACAAAGTGGAAATTCAAATTCTTCTCTCTCCACTTTTCAATTGCCAATTCCCAAGCCAACTCTTACCTCATTTAAATAACAGAGTCCTTGGAACCTCTATTTACTCCTCAGTCAGCCTTCAGTGCCTCCTTCCTCAAGCAGTGTCTCAATTGCAGGGTGGCACGCTTTGGCCCTAAACTCCTCTCCCAAGTCCAACCCTCTTCCTGGGAGGTGAACACAAGCTGTACAAACTTCAAATAATAAATGATTATATTTGGTAGGGATCCTATTGACAATCTAAACAACTCTTCCCTTTTTACCCTTGGTGAAACTGGGTTCAGGGGAGATGAGATAATCAGTTCAATGCTGCAGGCATCTGGTCACTCAACTGGGAAGAGGATAAAAGTGTCTTGGCACCCCATGCTCTCCTTCTCATGCCCTATTTTTGGGTTCCAGTTGCATTTAGAACACTCATTAATGCTTTTTTTTATTTTCAAATCTTGCTGGCCTACATGCATATATTCCTGCCTTGCTTTGTTCCAAAAATTTTTTGATGCAGCTTGTGAGACTATAATGCAATAAAATAGCAATATGTAGATGGATGTTTTAAGTCAATATGTGAGAAAATATAGATAAAATGGTATGATAAAACCAGAGGGAAAGTTAGTTATAGGAATTTATTCCATAAGGTGTTACTTGCTTAGTGAAGTTGAATTGAAAATTAAAGCATGGGCTCCCTGGCAACCAAAGCAAAAAGGGAAAGCCTACAGTTGAAGATTCACACTGTCCATAAAAGAAATATCAATTACTCAGAAGTAAGCTTTTCCTGGCCACATTTTGTCTTATTTCTGGCTCTTTTTCTTTTGTCTGATGACATACATGTCATATCTGTCATTCAACAAAAGGTACATTTATTTTCCTTCCATTCACTCCATCCAGGCTGCTGAACCATTCCCTGGCATTATTCCAAACTGAGGCCACTCTCCATGGAACAATGGCTGGCAGCTCCTCTTTGGTAACACAGCCTCCTGAGCTTTCCTTGTTGTTCTCTCTCCTTGTTTCTGCCCAAGGTTGTGTTCTTTCCTCAGAGACTGGCCAAGGGCGAACTGAGGGATGGCAGCTGCCATGTGACATGTTTGCTGTGGTGCATTTACATTTGCCTTGATGCCTGAACAGCTGGACGCACAGGCAAGAAACTCCCATCGCTTGTGTCCATGTGCCGTTCCCTGCTCCCTGGCAGATGCAGAGGAAGACAAGGCAGGGAATCAAGGTCTCCTGTCATATCCACCTCCTGCCACCATCACTGTCTGCAGACAAGACAGCAGGAAAGCCCTGTCTCCCTGTCCGTCACCAGGAGCCAAGAAAAAACACTCCAGGTGCAAGTGGCAGCTCAGGAGACTTGAGGCAGGGTGCATCCTGTCCCCTGCAGAAACCAGCTGTTTCTTCACAGTTTTTATATAACATCTGTTTTTATTATCTTTCTATCTCTTTGCCTGTTTGTCATCCATCCATCCATTCATCCATCCCTTGCCAGTTTCCATAAATTACTTGAAGTGACATAGAATTTCAGATAACACAAAAGGATAGAGTAAGGCGGTCAGGGCCAAGCCTACTTGCCTGGAACCAGGGGCCTAGTGGGTAGGATAACAGAGCCTTTGAGTGCCATTACCCTCTAATGATGAGAAGCTACTGTTCTTTCTCTAACGACTTCAACTTTGAACTTCCTTTTCTCTTGGGTATCTTGTAGATTGACAAGCCGTTTCTTAGGACTATCCAGGTTCCTATTAGCATGCTCAGCCAGCACATGCCAGATGATTGTCCAATAATAGTACAACATTTGTGTAATGCTTTACAACAATCACTAATTGATTCTCAGGAGGAGAGGATTCCTACTGCGCTTAGGGATTTTGGTGTTCTGTTTTGTTTTCAGACTTCTACTGAAGTCACTCAAGAAGAGCTAGAGGACTTCAAAGGTCAAACATCGCAGGTCACAGCTCTGCCCTTTTCTCAGACCTTCTCATAGCTTGATCAAGGATGGAGTGGGTGGGAGTAATGTTTGAGAAAGACAGTTGAAGGGGGTGGAGGGAGAGACTATAGTACCGGGGAAAGAACACAGAGCTGGAGGTAGGCTTAGACCTGAATCCTTGCTCAGCAACTGGCTTGCTCAGCAACTGGCTTGCTGGGTGATCACAGGTAGGCCTCTTTGCCTCTCTGCGCCTCTGTTTCACCAGCTGAGAAGGATGGCATTGAATTAAGTGAATCTCAGACGTTTCTTTAAGGCAAGCATTGGGAGTCTGTGCACTTGCTAACAAAAGCTTTTCCTGAAGAAACAGCGCATGGTGCCCAGCTTGCAAATCTCAGGACTCTGCTTCATGTCAGGTTCTCAGTTCCTCTCTGCCTCACACTCCTTTATAGCCCATTACAAAAGCTGAAAGGACAAAAATGAAGATAATGAAACACAATGCAAAGAGTGAATCAGTCACTAAATCCCTCACTCCATACACAGAAAATTATCACCAGCTGTTGCCCAATTAAATGCAACAATCCAGTAGTGCTCAAGCAGTTCACAGGAGATTTCAGTGCATGCTGTGTGCCCAGCCGAACCACTTCCACGAAAACCTGGAGGATTTCAACATAAAGGCACATTTTTCTATAAACTACATTTGTGTTTTCACTAGAAGCATTCCAACACAAAGACTTGGTGAACAGCAGTGGACTCTGTTAGCAAACTTTGCTCTGGATTTTTGTACACATTCTGCCTTTCGCATCATGTAGAAGGGAGTCTGAAAGGAGAGCTTCTCATTACAAGTGCAGGAAAGACTATCTTAAACTCTTAGTAATGCCCTGTAAGATGAGCAGATAAATGCAACGTCATCAGTAGGTGCACTCTTGCATTTAACAACTCATCATCCATTTATTGTGCATCCTCCAGGTGGCAGGCAGTTTGCTAAGTTTCAGAGGATAAAGACCAATAAGACAGAGTTTCTGCTATGAGGAAACTCAAAGTTCAGTGTAATTGACAGGTGTGAAAATTATAAGACAACGGTACAACGTTATAAGGGTGGTATTAGGATCTGGGATCAAAACAGCAAGCATTAAGATGCTCAGAGGAGTCAGAGGAAGCTTCTAGAAGGAGCTGTGTTAGAGCTGGGACAAAGGCATGGCTAGCTCCTAAATTTAATATAACCCATTTTTTCCCTATAATGTAGGGGTTGTTTAAGAAATGGTTTTCTGTTGGCATGGATGTGGTGAAAAGGGAACACTTTTACACTGCTGGTGGGATTGTAAACTAGTACAAACACTATGAAAAGCAGTGTGGAGATTACTTAAAGAACTAAAAGTAGGTCTACTGTTTGATCCAGCAATCCCATTACTTTCTACCCAGAAGAAAAGAAGTCATTATACAAAAAAGACACATGCATGTTTACAGCAGCACAAATCACAATTGCAAAAATATAAAACCATCCCAAATGCCCATCAATCAATGAGTGGATAAAAAAGTTGTGATATATATATATATCATATATAAATATATATGATATATTATATATATTTATAATCTATAAATGATATATGATTTATATGATATATATGATATATGATATATATGATCTATACTTATAAGTGAGGGCTAAGCTATATTTTATATCATATATGTTTATATGTATATATAATGTATAATGTATATTATATAGAGAGATATTTTTATATATATCATATATGATATAGATTACATACATATATATTTATATTACATATATATCATATATGATATATTACATATATTATATATAAGGTATATATCATATATGATATATATATATGCATGTGTGTGTGTGTGTGTGTGTGTACACATCATGGAACACTACTCAGCCATACAAAGGAATGAAATAATGCCATTTGCAGCAACCTGGATGGAATTGGAGGCCATTATTCTGAGTGAAGTAACTCAGGAAAGGAAAACAAAACATTATATGTTCTCACTTATAAGTGGGAGCTAACCTATGATATTTTTCTTTTTAAACATATGTATTTAGAAAAAGATCCCACAAATTCTAAAATGTATTTTTTAACATTTCATTTAAAAATATTTTCTAATTTCCGTTATGAGTTATGATTTCTCCATAGGCTCACGGATTATTTATAAATGGAATTCTTAATTTCTAAACATATATGTATTTTATAATTATCTTTTCTTTGTTCATTTTGACTTCTATCATAATTGCATTGCCATCAGAGGGCACACTCACTATAAATTCACTCTTTTAAAAACTGGTCATTATTTGTTTATGATCCAGTATATAGTTAATTTTTGTTACTGTCTTTGGTGTGCTTTAAAAGTCCCTGTATTCTGTAGTTTGGGAGATAACATTCTATGTACTTATAAGTCAAGTTTATTAATCAAGTTCTTTAAATCTCTATATTCCACTTTGTTTGTTTGTTGTTGTTGTTGTTTTGGTCTGCTTGAATCAATCAGTAATGAGAGAGTTGTGCCAAAAGTTTTAATATGATGGTGAATTTTTCTATTTTTCCTTGTAGTGGTAGCAATTTTTGTCTTACGTATTTTGTGACTATATTATTGACTGCATATAAATTTAGAATAGCTTTTTATCTTCTGGGTGACTTTAATGTTCCATTGTTGTGATTTGATCCTCTTTATGAGTGAGTTTTGCTCAAAATGTATTATATCTAATATACTAGGTTTCTTTTGGTTGATGGTTGCATGGTCTGTGCTTTTCTTTCTTTTTACTTTTGACAGTTCTATACATTTTGTTTAAGATATGATTTATATGTATAGATTATATTTGGATTTTGTTTTTTTCACTCTGTGGCATTTTTTAGCTTTCTGCTGGGTCATTTAGTTCATTTATATTAAATGAAATTACAGATATATTTATATTATTTTGTGCTTTCTATCTATCTATGCTTCTTTTCCCCTTCTTTCTTGCATTCATTTAGTGGCTACCCTAAGAATTGTAACACTACTACTTAATTGATCTATATTAACAAGTGCTTTTCTCCTCCTCTTGAACAATACAGTACCACATAAACTAACTCCATCTCTTTGCCTGCTGACTCACTGGCTGCCCATCTCTCTTGCCCTCGGGAATGTCAGGTTCAGCATCTCCACAGCTAACTGTGGGCCAGGGTCCCTGGATACCACCCTGCCAATCATTACAATCATTGCACCCACCTTCCTTTTAATGATCAAGCATTGCCACCTGGCTTTTGATTTTGGGGAATCCTATTGTGTTATGGATATCAGGGGACACAGTTCTGTATCAGCATTCCTACTGTCGGTCTTGACTTGTAGAAAGCAGCCGCACTGAGTTTTCCCGTGAAACTGATGCTCTATTCAACAGGACATTCCTTCTTGCTTTGGAAAACAGCCTCCATGCTCTCTTGTGATGCTTAATTGGCTGGTATTCCACTCCTCCCTGTTAAAATCAAGTGGTCTTCTATAACACATTAGTGCCAGCAACCCCATTTCTCTGAGACTTTTGATTTCTTTTTTCATGTCTGAGATGTTCTGAGATTTCTGCCTCACTTAGTATAGGCTGGTGCTTTCTCCTGGCTTCCCAGTGCCTCCACAGTGTGTTAGCATCCTCCCCCATGGCCCTAGCCTGCATGCTCAACCCTTGATCACAGGAGATTTTGCCCTTGTCCTCCTATGTCTCACCTTGACCTTGATCCCAGGCCTTCAGGCTCCACTCTCCCAGCTCCTGCTGATACATGTTGGTAAGGGCTTGCAGCTCTTTTGGGGAACAGTCCTTCTCCTTTTCAGCAGGCCCAACATGTTCCCAGCCATATTGTGCTGAGACGTAAGTGTTGACCTGGTAGCTAGGAGAGCTGGTGGGATAGGTCTTAAGTAGGGGTGAGGGATAGGGAGGAAGTGGTTCTGGCTCTCATTCTCTTGTAAGGCAGTGGTCACCAGATCTTAGCAGAGAGGAGTGGGTTACTTCTGCTCACCCATAGGTTTGGACAGATGAAGGGGCGTGAAATTTTCAGAAGCACTGATGTCTGTGCTCCAGCCCCAAATCTCAGCACCCAACTTCCCAAATAGGGATCTAATCTTGGCGTGGTAGTAACTTTGCTGAAGTGGAGATTCTACTTCCACTGGAGCTCTGCCACACTGACAATGAACTTCTGGACCTAAATCTCAAATTTTCTGCCCCAAAGTATCAATAACATTCAGCAATGGTCATTGGAGTTTCACGTCCTCAGAATTATCCTATCCCTTGAATTTCTCAAATGTGTGGGGCCTCGCGCCCTGTGCATGCCCTGCTGAGTGTCCCTTCCTAGTTCGTGACTGTGAAACGGACAATTGCAGTGCAGCATGCTGGGGCTCTTCATGCTTCTGTCCCTGGCTCCTAGTGACGGGGTCTTCACTGCCTGTCGGCCGAAAGGCTGCCCAGTTCCAGAATTCCATTTTAGAGTCAAATTCCTGAGACCAGGCCTGGCACCTGCTGCTCTAAGTCAGGTTCCTCAGGCAGCAGATACAGATAGAAATCTGAGTCAGGGAGTTGATGGCAGCGTGCCTCTATGGAGGAGTGAAATGAGGACAATTGAACAAATGAAAGAGTTTAAGTGAAATGTAGTTAATGCAAAAGCCTCACAGATCCCACAGGGAGTTCTGAACTCAGTGTTGTTCTATCTGGAGGCCAGGAGGCCAGACCTTTCCGCTCTTTGCACAGGATGGAGGCTGTCCCTGTGGAAAGGGAAAGGGTCTCCTGCAGAGGCAGCTGTGTTGCATTGCAGGCAATTGGGATAATTCCTGGAGAATAAGTTAGCCCTGAGCTGTCAGTGTTGGTGGAGCTCCTCTGGGGAGGACAATGGAGCGACTGCCCGAAACGTAGTGCTTGTCACTGGCTTTCTTAGTTTGAGGGGCTTGGGCTGCTTGAGGGCAGGTTCAGAAGAGTTATTATGGACTAATTTGTTTTTAAACTGGTAACGACATTTGATCTGCATGGACCAGGAGGTTCCACATTCCAGAGATTCTGCTAGAGAGATGTACACCAAACAGGTTGAGACTTTAAATAAGAAAGAGTCTCTCTGTTCTCCCTCATATACTCATTATTCTTGTGAATGATCAGGATGAAAAAAGCGGGCATTGAATTTCCATTGAAGAGAAACCAAGCTCATATCCAAGAATATCATCCAAGTATATTCTTACAGGGAATGTGAAAAATCAGAGAAGCTCCCCAAAGAAATTCTGAGTCTTGAGTTCTGAAAAATGCGGCCAGGGCGGTGGAGGGTGGGCAAATGTGCCAAGCTGTTCTTCTGTGTCTCAAGGGCGGTGATTTCATGAAACGTTGTTTCAGGTTTGCTTATTTATAAATCAGCAAGATTGTGGAAGGCAGAAAAGATGACTAACATGACACTGTGGACTGAATTGTGTCCCTCCAAATTCATATGCTGAAGCCCAAATCCCCAACATGACAGTTTTTAGAGATAGATCCTGTAATGAGATCACAAAGGTGGGACTTTAATACCACTAGTGTCCTTATGAGAAGGGGAAGGAACAGGGATGCAGGTGCACAGAGACAAAGCCATGCAAGAACACAGCCAGAAGGTACCATATCTAAGCCAGGGAGAAAAGACTGAGGAATCCAACCTTGTGGACACCTTGATCTCAGCCTTCCAGCCTCCAGAGCTGTGAGAAAATAACATCTCTTGTTGACATCCCCAGTCCATGGCACTTTGTTATGGAGCCCTTGGCTGACTAAGGCGCTTGGCAGCTTGTAAGTCGTTCCAGGCACACCAGTGTGCCCCAGGACAGTGGTTAGAAAGCCCTCCAATACAGAAATGTGGAAATATAGCTTAGGAGCACATGCATATGTAGGAAAAGTTGAGGAAACAAATAAGAAAAGATACAAAGAAAACCATGGAAATGATAAAAATCCAGTTCAAGCCAGTGGTTACCTCTGGGAGCTTATCCCTGGGGAAGGTAGAAGAGAGAGGTGGGGGAAGAATTGGTTGAAAGTGGGCTTCGACTCTGTTGGCAATATTTTGTTTCTTCAGCTGGTTTTAGGTGCATTGTTATTGTTTATATTTTTCTTTATTTCTTTATATCATTTTGTATGCATTTTCTCATTCATATAATATTAGAAAAAAGAATAGTAAAATATTTCCAAGAGACTGATTAATAAATATTTACTCAACCTGCTTTTCATGGTACTGATAGAATAGACAGAAAGAAGTAATCCAACACATGCTTGGCTTTATTTTTCAATGAAACTGTGTTGCCATTCACCAAGCCATCCTTTCTGGTCTGGTTCTGGACCCAACTTATAATTGGATTTTTGCTTTTGCAAGGTGAACGGAGTTATGGCTGCAGCGCTTGCATATTTATGGATCATACCTCCACAGTGTGATGTCTTTAGTTAAAAGATGCCCATTTAACATGAAGGTTTGATTTCTGCCATGAGGCCAGCCATCACTAAGACTTGCTGCAGATTCCATTCGGTTGTGCTTGCAGAAGTTTTTATGCCCCATGATGTTCAAAATAATGTGAATTGCTATGGTCTGAATAAAAGAGGCTCAGCAAGATCCCACACCCCTTCTACCATATGAGATCACATCAAGAAAGTACCATCTAAGGATCCGAAAGCAGGCCCTCACTAGACACTGAATCTCAAAGCACCTTGATTTTGGGCTTCCCAGCCTTTAGAAGTATAGGAAATAAATTTCTGTGATTTATCAGCCACTCAGTCTGTGCTATTTTGCATAGCAGCTCAAATGGTCTAAGGCACTAATTATACCTGACATTTGTTATTTACTTCACCAGTATCAAAGTGCTCCCAAAGACCTTAATATAATAATAACTCACTAGACCCTACTATTATGAGACGGAGACTATTCCATCCACTGAAGTTCTCCTGAAGGCAGGGCAGGCTATGTGGGCTGCCTGCTGGCCTGGGAAAAGCCCCAGCCTGGGGAATTGTACATCACTCCCTAGAAGACTCGACTGCAGGAAGACTTAGAGGAAAGGGGTGCAATTTACCAAATAGCAGAGACTATATGATATAGGATGTGATGCTTCCAAACAGCACCCACACCTTTAGTAAAATTGTGAGGCTGAAATGCCAAAGGGCGTTGGATTAAAAGATGCAGCTGAATAGAATGAATGAGCACAGAACTGGGGGCAGAGGCATTGAGGTGGGAGGACTTGCAGAAATTATGGAAATGGCGTGAAGCTCCCATTCCAGATTCTAACCCGATTTCACAAGCGGAGAAAGTCCCATCCAACATCTGATTCCACAAACAACAGAGACGGGAGATAAATATGGCAGGTGCTGGGACTGTCCCATTGCAGGGGTGCAGAAGCAGAAACCAGAGCCCACGGAGGCGAAGGAACAGATGGTGCCAGCAAGTGGCAATGCCAGAGGTTAAGACTAAGGCTTCTCCCTCCACATCGTTTCTCTTCATGAGCCCAAGCTGCCCCCAAACCCCAGGGACCAAGCATGGCCTGTGAGGGTTCTCCTCCAGGGTGCAGGTACCATTCTGTCACCAGCAAGGAAAGCTGATAGGAAGGAGGTGAGAGCCGTAGATCAGGAGGACGTTTCGGTGGAATCACAGGGTATAAGCGGATGGTGCTACAAGGTAGGTTTCCGCTCCCATTTTCTGGGTGTCAGTGACATTTCCTAAGGCTTTACATTATCTCTGACAATCAGTCCTAATGACAGCCTTTGCGATGGGTGGCCTGGCCGGCCTGACTCAGCTCCAGCCCTGTGCTGAGGCAGCAGGAAGTGATCTCATCAACTCTGTGGGAAGTTCCTACATTATACTGGAGAGAACAGAATCCAAATAAATTAGATAGAAAAGAAAGCCCTCATCAGCAAGAATGGGAGTTTGAAACATGAGAAATAACTACGGTAGGATGTTGGGGGCATTTTAAGTGGGAAATATTATTAACTTTGATTTAGGAGCAGATAACTTGGTGTAAAACAAAATAAAAACAGGCAGTCAGTTCAAAGTCTCTTTTATTTAGCTCCACTTGCTATGTGTATTACTCAAAACTTATAAAATAATATAATTTTCTCTCAAATAACATTTAAAAACTCTTTGATTAAGGAAGGTGTAAATGCTCCTTAATGAAATAGGTAACTACCAGGCCTGGATTTGATTTTGTTTTTTTTTTTTTTTTTTTGGTCTTCTCTTTAGCTTCCTGTCTCCAAGGGGATTTTTTCCCACAGAAATATATTGCTGATTGGATGTTGCCTCTCTAATTTTGGAGACCATATGTTCTAGGTATTCCGGGAAAAATCTGCATTTCAAATCCTGGATCCATTGTTCCCAAAAGCCATGTAAGAATCCCAACAGAGATAGGTCCCTCTCATGGATATGTCCTATGTCCCAGGGATACCGCTCAAAGCATTTTGTGGCTGAAGACATTTAATCTTTCATAGAAACTCCTGAAGAAGATGTTATTGCTATTATAATCATATGTATTTGGAAATGAAGACTTTGAAAGGTTCTAACTTATTCAACATTTCTCAACCAGCATGTGGCAAAGTTCTGAAAGTCTGTTATTCTAACCAACATCCTACCTTGAGGAGCAATGATGTTCACCTGTCTGGTTGCCACAACTCACGTCCTTCTGTGGGCAGCAGAGTTCCAAGACGTTCCCCAAGATCTCATTTTCTGGAGGTGCATGTCTCCCGTGACCCCCTCTTTGGATTGCCCGCAGAGCCCGTGAAGATGGTGTTATCACTCCTGTGATTACTTTACTGATCAGGTGACTTTGAGTCAATCAAAAGGTAGATTATCCAGGTGTGCCTGATTTGATCAGGTGGTCCCTTAAGGAGGCTTAAAATGACCCTTTCTGAAGTAGAGTAATTGGAAAAGTAAGAGGGTCTATGGGTGGGGTCACCTGGCAAGGAACTGAACTCAGCCTCCATGAGCTCTGGCCACCAGCTGACCTTTAGCAAGAAAGCAAATCTTTCTTTGGTCAGTCTCCACAACAGGACGAAGCTGGCTGAGCCCTTGCCTTTGGCCCTGTGAGATGCTGACCCGAGTATCCAGCGAACACGTGCCAGAGTCCTGACCCATGGAAACTGAGATGATGAGTCTGTGTTGCTTTAAGCCACTGTGTCTACAGTAATTGGTTAGACAGCAATAGAAAACTAATAAACCTCCCTCTTTTTCATTTACCATCTTTCTTTCCTTCTGTCCACAAATATTTATTGATCATTTATTCATCTATTAGAACATGTGCTAGGAACAGTAGCTACAACGGCCAGCAAAGCCAGATAAGTTCTCTGCCCTCACGTAGTTTATAATATCATGAGGGAGACAGACATAAATCAAATAACATGGATACATGAAAAGCTGCAACTTAGATGACTGAGGAGACCCCCATAGCACCATGACAGCTTGGTCTAGCCAGAGAGCATAGGAAACATGTTCCTCGTTGCATTAGCAATTAAGCAAGAGCTGACAGATGAGCAGTAATTGCCAAGGCCAAATTGAAGGGAAGGACAATGCAGGCAGAGGGAACAGCATGAACAAAATCTCTGTGGAGGCAAAATCATACAAGTGCAAGGGACAAAAAGAAGGTCCTCTGACTGCAGCTTGGCCACTGGGACAGGAGATGAGGCTGGGCTGGTGCATACAAAGCCTAAAAGCCATATGAAGTGCGTTTCCTTTGTAGGAAGAACAATGATGTCTTAGTCAGTTTGGGCTGCTATAATGAATTACCATAGATTGGGTGGCTTGAATGACAGACATTGATTTCTCACAGCTTTGGAGGCTGGGAAGGCTAAGATCAAAGTCCTGACAGATTCAATGTGTGGTGGGTCTGCTTCCTGGTTTGAAGATGGCCTTCTTTTCCTTGTATCCTCACATGGTAGAGGCAGTAAAGAGAAAGGAAGCAAGCTCTCTCCTGTCTCTCCTTATGGGGGCACACATCCACCACGAGGTCCCCAACCTCAGAACCCATCGCCTCTCAATGCCCCCACCTTCTAATACCATCCCATTAGAGCTTAGGGTTTTGACATATGAATTTGTGGAGGACACACACACATGCCATCCATAACAAATAGAAAGCCAATTACAGGAGAATGTCAAGCAAAAGGAATGCAGAAAGGCAGGAAATGGGCAGAACAGTGTAAAGTAAGTAGTATAGACCCCAGGAGAACAGTGAGCCTCTACCTGAGTGATGGCACAGGGAAGGAGAAAGGCGGGTCAGGGGGCAGAGAGGAGGCAGGGTGTGTGGTTTGGAAACTGATTAGATGAGTGGAGCAAGAGAGAAGGGTAGCCAGCTTTGGCTTTGCTGTCCTTAGAGAATTCAGAGGAGGAGGAGGAGGGGGAGCAGAGGGAGGAGGAAAAGAAGGATGGAGGAGAAGAGAGAGGAGGGCAAGGGGAAGCCAGGGGAGGAGGAGAGGAAGGAGTGAGGGTCATTGGAAGGAAGGGGCAAAGCCTGGTTTGTCCCTCCTGGGGTGAAGGGTGGAACTGTCACACATATCTACAGCCAAAGGCACAATCAGGAACATTTACTACATAGCAGAGGTGGCTGAAATGATGACAGTGAATGGAATCTTGGATGATGTGAAAGCAGAGAAAAAAGGCCAAGGACAGAACCATCTGGACAGCCTCCATATCTTTCTCACCTCTTTGGGTGACTCAAATTTTCTGTTTCAAAAATAAAGGAAAAGTGGGTAGCATGTACTTCCTTTCATTAAGTATCCAATCAATAAAAAAATTGAATAATAAATAATAAAAATTATATGTATAGACTATAAAATAAAATTTAAATAGTTTGAATTTTAGAGACTCTGATGTGATATAATAAGAAATGAGGCTGTATTATAATGACCTTGAGATAAGAGAAGGACTCAGATACATTATTACAGATTTAAATTGGGTGCTTTTATGAAGTTTAAGTCAATGATGTAGCCAGCTGTGGTCAGAGGACCTATGATTGTACTGAATCTATGATATACTATTGAGTTTGTTTGTTTTTAGCTGAGATTCAATGTATTGTTAATTTTTCCTTCAAGCAAATCCGGCAGATATAGTTTTATTTTTCATCTGAAAATGAATGGAAAGATTTTGTACTTTATGGACTCATCAAATTATATGAGAAAATTTACATTTAGAAATACAGGGTGTGTTGGCTTATACCTGTAATCCCAGTGTTTTGGGAGGCTGAGACAGGAGGATCACTTGAGGCCAGGAGTTGAAGACCAGCCTGGGCAACATAGCGAGACCTCGTCTCCACACACACGCACACGCACACACAATAGATAAAAATAAAGGCCGGGCGCGGTGGCTCACGCCTGTAATCCCAGCACTTTGGGAGGCCGAGGTGGGTGGATCATGAGGTCAGGAGATCGAGACCATCCTGGCTAACAAGGTGAAACCCCGTCTCTACTAAAAATACAAAAAATTAGCCGGGCGCGGTGGCGGGCGCCTGTAGTCCCAGCTACTCGGGAGGCTGAGGCAGGAGAATGGCGTGAACCCGGGAGGCGGAGCTTGCAGTGAGCCGAGATCGCGCCACTGCAGTCCGCAGTCCGGCCTGGGCGACAGAGCGAGACTCCGTCTCAAAAAAAAAAAAATAAAATAAAATAAATAAATAAATAAATAAATAAAGTTTTAAGAGACACAGTGGCTCACATTTGCAGTCCCAGCTACTGGGGAGGCTGAGCTGGGAGGACTGTTTGAGCCCAGGAGTTGGAGGCTGCAGTGAACTACGATTGTACCACTGCACTCCTGGGAAACAGAGCAATAAGCAACAACCTGTCTCAAATAAAAGAAAAAAAAGAAAAAAGAAAGAAAGAAAAGAAAAGAATGCATTTTTATCCAGAAGATGGCGTGGTCAGTATCACTGGAGCCTGTCATTCTACCCAGATCCTTTCCCCAGCATATGTTAGATTTCCATTTGGATTCAGGCAGAATGAGTTCAAATCCCAGCTCTGTACGGACCATCTCTGTGACTCTGTGGAAATTGTTTATTCTATAATATACTTAACTTCTCGGGCTGCTTGTGAAAATTACAGGGGATAAAGTAAGTGAAGTGTCTGGAAAGTGGTGGTTAATTGGTCAGTAGTAATTGCCTTCCCTGGTTGTCAGGGGTCACCCTTTTTTTTAATCTAAAGGGGATGATCTAGACTCCAGTTCTGGGTCTATTTTCCCCCCAAATAAAATCCTATCCTCTCAAGAAGTAAAGTAAGAGAACAGTGAAAGTGTCGATGTCTATAATATTACCTAAATGTCTCCTGGGATACTGTGAATGGAGTGAGGGAGTTCATAAAAAATTCTAGCATTTCATTCATTTTCAGCTGCTGTCTCTGATATATGGAAGGCTGTAATTTCACAAGGAAGTGAAACCTTACCTCCTACCAGGTGTCAGTATATTTTAAGCAAAGAGATATTACAACTCGGGAATTATTGAAAACCTATGTTCTTTCCCTGCAATTGCTCGAGGCAGATTTTGAAAGCCACATTTTGAAATCAGCCTATGACGTCATCAGAACTAGCTGTAATCGAGGTGACACAGTTGATGACTCTCTGGGTAGGGCTGGTGTGGGAGATAGTGATAAACATTTGGCCTGAAGAAAGCTGGAAGACAGATCTATTTTTAGATTTTTATTATGCAGTTTTATCTTGAGTCTCTTTAAAATTGTGCAACTCTCAACTCTCCAAACAAATGAACATTTCATTGCTCTGTATTCTAAAACAATTTCTTAAAAACTTGCTTTCTGTCTTTTTCTCAGCTCTCTATCTCTCAAAAGATTAAAAATCAGAAGGTAAATTGCTTGTGTCCTTTTCATGCACCCAATTTCAGCTCATTTTAAGTGTTTAATTTACTTAAATAGCCTTCAATTCATCTTGGAACTATTTCGACTTAGCAAGAAAATATAAGAACATATACGATTTACTGCCGTAATAGCGTCTTGGAGAGGTATGTAGTGTGTGTGTGCACGTGTGTGTGTGAGTGTGTGTTTGTCTCCCCCAAGGAGCAGCAGCAGTGCCTGGTATTCACTCTGTTCCTATTTTTGTCTTTTGTCATCACTGCTGTAACTGAGCCCACTGTCATCTGGTAGGAATATTTACCCGCTGGATCTGACTTGGCTGGGTAGCGGTGAACACACATCTGGAGTCTAGACTTGGCGGCTCTGTGGGCAGGCTCGCAGCCCAGGGCTCCATCAGCCCCAGGGCTCCAACACTCCGGCGCCCTGCTCTGTTGACATAGCTGGTGGGCTGCCTCATCAGTTTCAGCTGCCTGACCCCCTGGTCCCCCAGCCTCCCCCATCCCTGCCATATCCCAGCTCTGTGCACTTTGGAGAGCCACCAGAGGAGCGCCTCTTCTGCTTCCTTCTGCGAGCCCCCTCTACTCAGGATGCTTTGCTGGAGAAGAAGGGAAGGAGGAATCCACGTTAATGTGAAACCTGCAGACAGTGATTCTGCTTCAGAGATAAGGGGTTGCTTTGGATGGGAGAGGAGCTCTGATAAAAGCACTAAGCGTAAGAAAGAAAAAATCTGATGGGGTAAAACAGATATATACCTTGGAATATATGATTTGGGTTTAAATCTTATACCCAGCTGTTACACCAGATGTGTGGCCTGGAAAGTCTTTGAGGCTCAAATTCATTATCTATAAATTCAGGGGAAGAGTGATGACCGCAATAAGTTGTTGGGCAGGATACAAACCTGAATAAAGACAAAAGGTCTAGTTCAATGTCTGCCTTAAAGCGACAAATAAAAATCAGTTCCCTTTTTCCTGGTCAATGTTTCATTTACACAAGTCAGAGTGATTCTTTGACCCAAGGCAAGCAAAACATCCTTGAGATTTGCTGAAAATAGAGGGCGCTTGGGGGAAACATTCATGTGAAATGAGAAGTTTTTGAAAAAGATCCCACAGCAATATCTGCTTTTAGATAGAAGGTAACAGAGACAGAGGCGATCACATTCTTGTGGCGGCAGCATTTCCCATGTGGGATCTTGTTTTCTCTTGTCTATTTTTATAAAATGATACTAGCGTGAGGCTTTGATAATGGGTTGGTGACTTCTATAGAATGAGGCTGAGCCCCCTGGGAGTTGAGGCTCCCCTGAAACGTCAATTTTGAGATTTGAGAGATTCTTAATACACATGCATTGGTCTATGCGTTAACAGCAATGGGTTCTTAGTGTATTTCCCTCACAAGGAGGCTAAATCACACTGTTTACAGTTATTTGCATATGTGTCTAATCAGTTATATCTGCAATAAAATGATACCTAAATCAATTTCTTGCAAAAAGAATTATTTGGATGTCTACCCAGCAAACAAAAGTGTTTGAGAAATTATAAGTTTCTTTTGAAAGTCTATTTTATTATACTGTGGTTGGCAAACCACGGCCTGCAGCCCACAGACAGAAACTGTGGATCTGCATCCAAGCCTGAAATATGTATCCTCTGGTTCTTTACAGAAATGTTTGTTGATGCTTGTAATTGTATAAATAAATAACAATAAAAAGTGTAGTTTTCTCTTTTAAAATTGGGAATACCTGTTGGTACTGTGTGACCATGGTATTTTCTGGTTTACAATCCATCCTGCATGCTCATTTTACTACAGTATTATGAGTGTGTGGGGGCTGCTGTGACAGAACACCAATAGACTGCCTGATGGCTTAAGCAGCAAACGTGTATTTCTCACAGTTCTGGAGGCTGGACAGTCCAAGTTCAAGGCCAATTTGACTCCTGGTGAGGGCCTTCTTCCTGGCTTACAGATGGCTGCCTTCTCATGGTGTCCTCACGTAGAGAGAGGAAGGACCTCTGGTCTCTGTTTCTTTTCTTTTTTCTCTTTTTGAAATAGAGTTTCACTCTTGTTGCCCAGGCTGGAGTGCAACGGAATGCTCTGGGCTCACTGCAACCTCCACCTCCCAGGTTCAAGCGATTCTCCTGCCTCAGCCTGCAGAGTAGCTGGGATTACAGGCGCTCCCCACCACACCTGGCTAATTTTTGTATCTTCAGTAGAGATGGGATTTCACCTTGTTGACCAGGCTGGTCTTGAACTCCTGACCTCAGGTGTTCGCCTGCCTCAGCCTCCCAAAGTGTTGGGATTACAGGCGTGAGCACCACACATGGCCTTTCTTTTCTTATAGATTCTAACTCATCAAGGAGCCTGGACCTCATGACCTCCTCTAAATCTCATTTCCTCCCAAGGGCCCTATCTTCAAATCCCATCACATTGGAGGTTAGGGCTTCAACATATACATTTTAGGAAGAAGGGGAATACAAACATTCAGGCTGTAACAATTACACAGTAAGTTATTTACCATGGTGTAGAAATCCCTTCCTTTTCTGATCTTAACATAGCAACTTCATTCCATGGCACTCACTTCTACCCGCCTCACGTTCCAGACAAATGATGAGGACTCACAATAGTCTATGGGAACATAAATGGGGAAACAGATAATTCTGTCTGAGGCCACCAGAGACATTTAAGTGAAAAAGAGTATATATGACTTGGGCTTTGAAGAATAGCAGATAAATAGGCCATGGGTGTTCTAACCAGTCAAAGCAGCACAGCCCAGGCCTGGCTAGAGGCATGAAATGCTATAATGTGCTCCAGGGAACTGAGTCATGCCCAAGAGCAAGAGATTGGGCATGTGAGGCAAAGCTGGATTCACAGATCCACTCTATTACTGACCAGACTAGTGTCTTTGGGAAAGTACTTAGATTCCTAAGTTTAAATATTCTCACCTGTGAAATGGGAACAATAATGGCATCTGCCTTCTAAGGCTGCTGTCCTTGTCATTACATATGGTATCTCCACCATGATCCTCCCTCATTTAAGCAAACTCAACTCAAAGAAACATAAACCAAACAAGTCGCCAACCCAAACAGAAACCCATCTCCATGCTTGTTGCCACCTGCTGGTCAAGGCCAAACTCAAGGAGGTCTCCTTGCACTTTGGAATCCTGATGATAATACTGTGTAGTGCAGTTTGTCTTAAAAGAATTATACCCCCTAAAGCAGCTGAAATCACAGTCAGCAAGCTCTCTGCCTGCTACTTCAATACAGATGTATGCTTGTTGCTATAAGGAGACATTTGACCTTTAACAGTGACCAGGAATCAAAGAGTTTTGATTTATGTTTGGTTTGGGTTTGGTTTAACCACCTATCATGTTCCAGTTTGTTGACTAGTAGCGAAAACCTAGCAGGTTAACCAGACTAGCATTTCAGTTTTAGCAACATGAAAGTATATGAAAATGTAATCACTTAAAGGGCTAACTTAGTCTTTATTATGTTTTAACATCGTTGACTTGTACAATTAGTTGTATAAATAGATTTTAAAAATCAGGTGCCTTCAATATGAGCCCGTCAATCTTTAGGATTCTATTTTAGATTTATAATATTTTAACTCTGGGGACACATATATTCTTTAATATTTAAAGTGAAAATTTCTAGCACCCAGATATGTACTTATTTTTGTTTTTTTCTGCTTCATATAAGTGGAAATTGAGGCCAAATAAAGAATAAGTTACCTAGTAGATCTTCTTCGTGTAGTCACCAGTCACCAGAATTCATCAATGCATAAGTCAAAGACTGTAGGATGAAGGACTTGGTGTGTCATCAATCAGTCCAGAGACAATAGCTGGCATTGTTCAGTGAGTGTGGGCGTATGTGTGTGTATGCATGAGTGTGTATATATGTGTGCACATGCCTGAATCTGTGTGTGTGTGTGCATGCATGAATGTGTGTGTGTGCATGCATGAACGTGTGTGCGTGCAGGAGTGTGTGTATATGTGTTTACACGCCTGAGCATGTGTGTGCTTGCATGAACATGCACAAGCCAATAGGCTTAAGCATGATATAAGCTGATGTTTGCAGATGAGGAAACACTTGTGCCTTAAATAATAGGCAGCATTGGCGCCACTGAAAATTTCTCAAGGGATAGAAATCATGTGGAAATCTTGTCCCTATTGATTAAGACAAGCTCCAGGGTCCCCTAATGACACTGTTGCCTTTGGATGGAGGTCTTGCTGCATTAGCAGCAGGACGTGATTTTGAGTCATGAGCTGCTCTCCCCAGTAGCTGCGCTCCTTCTGAGCCGATGGGCAGGAGCCAGGAGTCTATGGAGAAGCTGGCTCACACCACGCTCTATCTGTGACAAGCTGGTTTGGCACATGAAGAGGGAACATCTTCATTGTCACCAGCAAGGCCAGTGGCAGAAGCAGATTCTGCTTTCCTGTGGCATGCCCCTCCCTGCACTGGGTTCGTTTGTTTTTTTTTTTCTTCTTTTTTCTTTCAAGGAGCCGAAAACCAAACCTCTCTTTTCAGGAGCTAGTTTCAGAGAAGGTCAGCATTGGGGGGGGGCGGGGGGGGGTCTTTTTTTTTTTTAGGATTATTATAGTTTTTTTTTCTTCTTTTTCTTTTTTTTTATTATACTTTAAGTTCTAGGGTACATGTACACAACGTGCAGGTTTGTTACATACTTATACATGTGCCATGTTGGTGTGCTGCACCCATTAACTCGTCATTTACATTAGATATATCTCCTAATGCTATCCACTGGGGGGGTCTTAAAGTGAGTTTATCAGGTCTCATTGTTTTATAAATGAAGGATTCAAGGCCCAGAAAAGGGTCTTTCCCAATACCAACCAGGCCACATTGTCACTGATACAGCCAGAAACAGAAATGCCATCTCCAGACTTCCACCCATCCAGGGTTCTTTCTACTACCAAATTCTTTCTTGTATTTTTACATTTCAATGGTCTAGAGAAAGTATCAAGAGGGAGGGAACTGTTCATGCTATTTTTCTGTAAGAAGAGATCATTTTGTTATTACACTGAACACATTTCCTGGCACATGGTACTCAATGAATTCTAGCTAAAGAACTCACTATTGAGATTGGCTGTCTTGTTCTTTTCTGGGGCAGTGCTGTTCTGCCTATATCTAGCTTTGCTGCTGATATTAGACTAAGAAGATTCTGAATGAATTCAGTAAAATAATCCAGTTGAAACAAGCCCTAGAATTCTTCCCAAGGTAGGCACTCAGCTTCTGAAGCTTTAGAGAAGGTTCAGCATCCTGCACATAGCCATGGGCTCTGCTCTTTACAAAGGTGGGTGAACTCTCTAGGTTCCACTGTATCATCACCTACAAAGGACCTGATGACATCTGCTGCTAGTAAGGCCAATGCCACTGAAGACCCACTGGTATTGGGGAGGTGCTTTCGTCAGAAGGTATCAGCCCTGACATCTTTTCATTGCCATTGCCATTGGCGAACTGCTTCCAACTTGGAGCATTTGACCAATTGTATTTCAATTAGTAAAATCCTAAAATCTCCATGCTGATTTAGAAAATATTTAAGGGATTTCCAGAGCCTATATTTGTGTAATAATATGTAAAAATAATGGAAGTGAATAGGTGACTTTCTCTATAGTTAAAAAATGCTTTTATGCATATTATCTCCTTGATTCTTCACAAATCTTAAGAGATATAACAATCTCATTGTACAAATTAAACACTGAGGCTCCAAGAGGTTGTGAGTAGCCAAGAGTAGAACCCAGGCAATGCTTTATTTGTTTTTAATTCTTATTTAGTACATTGTCACAGTGAGCTCGGTTTCTAATCATGCACAGGCCATTGCTGGATGAGATCTGGGCTAATGGTACCCAGGGAACCATAGTGTTATTTCCCCAGGCCCTCACTGCTTCACACACAGCTACCCTCCGCTACATGAATTGCAATACGGGCTTTGTCCATTCACATCGTCTGTGGTTAAAATGGGGAAGAAAATGGCAGCTTTTGGAGAATATAGATGAAAGACAAAATATTTATTTATTTATTTTTTGAGACAGTGTCTCGCTCTGTCGCCCAGGCTGGAGTGCAGTGGCACGATCTTGGCTCACTGCAAGCTCCACCTCCCGGGTTCACGCCATTCTCCTGCCTCAGCCTCCTGAGTAGCTGGGACTACAGGCGCCCACCACCACGCCTGGCTAATTTTTGTATTTTTAGTAGAGACGGGGTTTCACCGTGTTAGCCAGGATGGTCTTGATATCCTGACTTTGTGATCCGCCCGCCTCGGCCTCCCAAAGTCCTGGGATTACAGGCGTGAGCCACCGCGCCCGACTGAAAGAAAAAGTATTAATCATATGTATTCAGAATAGTTGGTAGACAAAAACTCTACCCTAACCCCAGCTCTGTCAGTTTATGAGGTGTGCACAAGGTGCTTCCATTTCTAGAGAAGTCTTCTCATCTACACATTGCAGAAATGGTACTTGATAATTACTCAGGTTAGTCAGCTCTAAAAGCCCATCTTTACAGATGCTGCCCCTTCTATAAAGAATTGGGTCCTATTAAAGTCTTTATACAGCAATCCCAGGTTATGCCTTCATATCTTCTATCTAGTTTCGGTCTCTCAAAAGCCAAACTATGAGAATCAGCATTTCTAAAACATCTGTATTGGCACTTCCTTCCATAAAAGAGAATGAATGTATACAGCGAGACCACATGGCACATGGTGGCCTGGGTTTCAGTTCCAGCTCAACCACTCTTTAGCTGTGTGGCTTTGGACACATTGTCTAACCTATCTCTGTTTCCTGGTCCCTGAATTGGAGATTAAAATAAAATAACACTTCAGAGAGTTGTTGAATGAATTAAAAAATTGGTAAATGCAAATGCTTGTAATTACTTCTAACTTGTAATAAGTACCATATACACTTTAATTGGAACTTTTCCTCCTCTGCGTGGTATATTCTCGTTTTCCTGCCAGATGGTCACTCACTACTTAGCCCAGGGGATGAGTTATGGTTGGACTAAGGCAGTCCTGGCTGTCTTACGCTTTCCCATCCATTCTCATGGTGTGATGGGATTTGGGCCCGTGGGATGTGAGAAGAGCTCTTCTTAGGGACTTTGGGGAAAGATTTTGCTCCCTGATAACAGAGGGAGGCACTGGAGGAGAAGGCGTTATGGCTCCAGCCCTTCTTCGTCTCACTCAGAGCTGCTCAGTGAGAATAAGGTATTAGAAGCCACAACAGCTGTGACTTTGAGAGGAGACATTCCTGACAGTACTGGGACAAAGGAACAGGAAGGAGAAACAACTTGGGTCAAGTTTGTTGAGCTTCGGAACCAACTCTGCTACCAACTCTATCCGGTCCTTATTTCCCATGAAATAATTAAATGTCTTTGTGCTTAAGTCACAGCTGGTCAGTTATTTTGTTATATGCTCCCCAAAGCATTCTTAAGACGGTCTAAACATGCAGTAACCTTGTCCCTTAATCAAATCAGACCATAGCAAGGAGGAAAGACACAATGAATACTAAATGGTCCTAGCATAGTTGCTGCAAACAAACATGAGATTTAGTTCTGGGCTTCCTGGCTGCCAGGGGGAAACACACACACACACAAAATTTTGCATGGCATGCAAGATCAGAAAGAAGAAAACAACCAACCTGAGTAGCCAAAACTGTTTTGGCAATACATTTGAAAAGCCATTTCTTACATTCAGCATCATAGAAGTGAAACTGACAGCCTGAACGCGCACCTTCTTGACAATTTTACATCAAACTGCATTTGTTTTTATAAATGGCTGGGTTTTTTTGTTTTGTTTTGTTTTTGTGAGGAATCTGTCACTTAAAGCACAAACAAAGCAAGGACAGCATGCTAAAGTGAAACCCTTGCTGTTTTCTGTGTGGCTTCCTGCTCTTTTTCTTGTTTCTAATTTTCTACCCCTACTTCATTAAAACTTTATCTCCACCTGACTTTGTTCCTTTGATGAAATTGCTTCACATCCTTTCAGGACCAGAGAGAAAATGTATTTAGTGGTATGAAAACATCCTAAGTTGAATTACGTGGATTCATGCCAGCATGTGTAGTTGTCAAGGTGTATCACGATGTTCTAAGATCTGGACAAAAATAAAGTGAGACCTGCCCTCAACCAGGTCCCCTCCCTGCTGACAGCAGGAGCTGGGACAGGGGTTTGGCAGCATCCGTGGGGCTGTCCTGGGTGGAGGGAGCCTCAGAAAGCTCCAGGATAAAGGCAGTGGGAGGGGGTGAGTTGCCAGCATGGATAGAGCACGCGTCCTAGGAATCCATTCTGTCCTGAGAGGAGAGTATTGGCAGGAAATGCATATTGGTTATTGACGACCAGTTGCTTGAGTAGTGATTGCCTGGTACAATTACACTTATGCTTTCTTTTCAAATAATCTCCAGCTTCTAGCTCAGACTAATTAGTGTCTGTTACGGATGCAGCAACAATCTCTGTTCCTGCCTGGATAAGATTAGAAATGACCAAGGAGGCACAGGAGAGATTTCAATGTTTCTGAACTTTAGCTTTTCTAGTACCTGCTGGGGGAAAAATGTAACTTTTATCCCAGAACATGTGAACATTTACAGAAAGCTTAGGAGACAGACAAGATGTTACTTGTAAAATAGGCCCCAGGACTTGGAGCCAGAAAACAAACTCTGAGGAAAAGGGACCTTTGGGCACTGTGGCCTAGGTGTTACAGAACCTGGGCAGGCAGGGGCAGGCCCATTGCTGAAAGGAGGACTCTTAGGATTTTGGTGAGTTTGGAAGGGAATAAGAGGCCTCCACTGGATTTTTGAATTAAAAAATGCTTCAAAATAATCAGCCAGATGAAAGAGCTGATGAAGTGGATATTTGCAGGCCTGAAGCAGACAGATGGTCAGCCCCCACAAGGCTGCGTGAGTTAGGATGTGCACTGGCCAGGACAAGCTTGGGGGCTGCTGTGGGAGAGACCTGCTGCCCGGGCAACCCCAGGGGTCAGTCCACCAGGTAGATCACAGGGAAGGTGGAAGAAGGCACACTCATTCTGGAAAAACCTTGCTCATCCAAAAGAAATCAACACCTGGCTCAATCATGTTCTGCACGATTAAAATTCTTGCTGTTGTTTATTCAACTGCAGTTAGGACTTAAAGTTTCATGAGAAAATGGGAATGAGGATAAACTCTGGGAGAGGGGGTAGAGGTGGTATCTGACAACATCCGACGGAGAGGGAATGTGGAGGGGTCCCAGGGAAGGCGTGTGACTGTCCCCCAAAGGTTACCTGTGGAAACTGCTGCTGTGTCTCTGTGCTGCCAGTGAGACAGAAATGTTTTGCTGGCAGAAAGCTGACCCTCACACCCTAGCAGGGTGTCCTTGACTAGAAGCTCCCCTGTCTGAATCCCTTTCTTTCCATCGCTGAGGTCAGGATAACCACCGTCGCCCAGCTGAGCTGTGGGGAGGATTAGCAATAGTTCCTGTGTAATCACAGCACAGTGTCTATGCATACAAAGTTCCCAGGAAAGGAGCACGGATGCACGATGGCTGTGGCTGGTCTCTGTGGTTGGCACATGGCCAGGCAGATAAGTGCTGTGTCCCAGGTGGCATGGCTCTGCCAGGGTAGCACGGGGCTGAGATATCTGTACTGTGGCCTGCCCTGGATTCCTCTCCATGCTTCATGCATCAGGTCAGCCTGGACAGGGCCAGCACAGCTTTAAAGCTGAGGCCCTTGTGGTTCAGTAGAAAATAAGTATTTGGTCTTTTTCCCTGGTTCCTGACACAGAGGTCCTAAAATCCTTGGAATTTACTGTCTTGGAGATTCTGGTGAGAGGACTTTTAGAGAAATAAAAGGGGGTCAGATAGCTTCAGGATGAGAAATTGAATTCAGTCACCAATGGCAGTAGAACCTTCATAAAACCCCTGAACAACAGGCTTCAGGGACCTTCCAGACTGGGGAGCACACTGAGGTACCGGGCAGGTGGCACCTCTGCAGAGAACTGGAAACTCTGTGCCCTCTGCCGACCTTGTCCTGTGAGGCTCTTCCGCCTGGCTGTTTCTGGGTGGTATCCTTTACAATCAACTGATAAACATAAGTAAAGCTCTTTTTCTTAGTTCTGCAAGTCATTCTAGAAAGTTATCAAACCTAAAGAGGGGGTTGTGGGCAACCCTGAATTTGTAGTTGGCCGGCAGAGTGTGGGTGACCTGGACATCCCATTTATGGCTGGTGTCTGGTGTGAGGGCAGTCTCGTGGAACTTGGAGCCTAACTTTGGGTATTTAGTGTCAGGATGGAATTGAACTGTAGGATACCCAGTTAGTCAGTGAGTTGGTTGGCACTGGAAGGAGAAGCCGCAGAAGTGCCCTTGATAGAATGAGCCCTTCGTTATCCAGGGCAGAAGACCTGGGAGTGAGATGAAGTCAGGGAAGGCAAGGATTAACAATCTTCACTTGGGTGAAACCAGAATGTCCCTTGGGCACTAGTATCAGATCATTTAAAGTTTATAATAACTCCCTACCCATAAAGTCTGAAGTTAATATGAAGCATTTTAGTCTCAAAAAAGTAAATCCACATTGTTTGTTTTAATAAAGAAAACAAAAATCACATACAACATTTATTGGGCACTTTCTAAGTTTCAGGTACAATTCAAAGAGTTTCACATGGATAAACTCAGGTTGTACCCCCAAAAATCACCATGGGGGAGCTACTATTATTGTTTCCATCTTAGAGTTGATAGAACAGAAGTTTAAGGAGATGAAGTGACATGGCTCCATCACAAGGCCAGGAAGGGGTGGTTAGAACTGGAACCAGGAAGAAGGACTTCTGTGACTCACCAACAGTATCCTCACTGAGAAGGGCTGAATGTTGAAACAATGAAAGAATATGCAAAATGTGGAAAAACATATATATAGGGAGCAAAAGCAATTCTTCAGCTTTTGGTGTGTTTTAGCTTATTTCTCTTAGATAGGATCTGGGATATCTAATATTTCAGTATCATAAATACCCAATGAGAAAAGTATTAATGCAACTAAAGTGACTAACATGAGCAGCACAGAGATTCCAAAGGTCTATTGTTTATTCAATGTAATTTTCAGGAACGTGAAAAGAAGCCAGAGGCAGGAATCCAGTGACCTGGTTTTAGCATTGACATAAACTGAACCTAAGTAAACTGAACATGCAGCTCATTAGTTATCTGAGCATCCTGTCCGTCACCATATCACTATAGAGACATTTGGGAAATCTGGTTTCAGGATGCTGGTTTGCTGGGTTGATATGATTTGAGTGATTTTATGCCTTTTATCTTGCCTTTCATGCCTTTATTCACTTGTACATCCAGTCAACTCCTGTTTGTCCAGGGAGTCTCAGTCCAAGTCTGGCCACCTTCATGTATTACTCCTTGACACCTCTGAGCACGTTGGCTGTGTTCCAGTAACCCTATTAAGTGCTTCCATGAGTGGAGTGACATATTGCATTGCAATCATTAGTTACAAGCCATGACTTCCGGGTCTTCCTTGAGGGTTCTATCTTTGCATCTCTGATACCCGGCACACTGTGCAAATTTTAGCAATTGCTTAGTAAATATTTGTGGAAAGAATGAGTGACTTTAATTCTCAAAATGTGGAGAGTGTACAATAAGAAGCATGACAATTAAGAATATAATGACTTGGACACATTTCTTGGCTTATGTTGCATATTTCAAAACCCAGTGCGTAGAAGACCTTTCTTCCATGTACTGGGTTTTGTATTTATGTTTTTTAAATTTTTAGTATTTTGAGTCTAATGCTGCAAATATGGCAAACTCTGGAACACACATGAGATCATCAACTTGAGAGAATGATCATTTATTAGCTACAGGAATGTATTTTGAGTGAATTGGATCTCGATGAAGAAAAGAAGATAGAACATTTCTCCTCCTCATCTCTTACCCAGCTCAACAAAGAAATGAGACCATTCCAAAGGTGTATGTCAAATGATAAAAGGAACCACAAAAATCCTTAGTAACTGGGTAAGAGAATATGAAGAAAAAGGCAAAATAAGAAAATCAGAAAGTTGCACATCCGAGAACACAGAGTTGGTGGTGAACAGTGTTTCACTAGCTTATTTGCAGAAATGAACTTGACTGCAGGGAGCAGGTGGAAATTCATAGAACATGCAGGCATTACCAGGTCTGAAAGGTAGAGTGGGAAAAGACTGGGGATGAGTGACTAACTCCAAATGTGTCTAACACATCAACATTGAAGTAGGTGCTCTTGATTGGTTTGGATGAACATAGGATTTTCTGTGGCTGGGATAAAGGGAGAAGAAAACCAAGAGTGATAGGATAAAATCTGAGGAATCATTAACTGAGAATTTTGTGGGAAAGTGAGCTTGGGGAGAATGACGAAATCCATCTCATTCAAATGGAAGTGAAGGGGACTGAAGGCAAGGCTGAAATACCATCAAAGGAAAGGAAAGCATGAGCTTTTGGAAGCAGTAAATGGAAGACCCTATATTTATTCCTATAAAGATCTGAGAGGAGAGGAT
Source organism: Homo sapiens (assembly GCF_000001405.40). Classification (NCBI taxonomy): domain Eukaryota; kingdom Metazoa; phylum Chordata; class Mammalia; order Primates; family Hominidae; genus Homo; species Homo sapiens. The sequence goes on along the minus strand of NC_000002.12, from coordinate 7,991,694 downwards.
GGGAGAGACACAATCCCCCTGCCTAGGTGACTGAGCTAATCTTTCCAAATAACTGTTGGAAACTCTCTCCTTCTGTATGTGAAGAAGATGCTATATCCTTTTACATAAAGGATTCAAGAAATGGACATAAACTTATTGGTGAGAATAAAAGTACTGCCGGAGTTGAAGAAATATATACATAAACATGGCAGCCAAAGCCAAGAGAATAGTAAGAGTCCATATTTACTATGAAATCAGTTGAGTTGGAGAGAAATTATTACCTTGATTTACCAGCTTCCTACTCTTAAGGATTATATTACATGTTCTGAAAGGTCTTAGAAATGTAAGTTGGATGCAAAGGGATTTGAAGAAATGGAGTAGGTCTCCTCCCACTTTTCCATTAGAGTTATAAATAATTTAATCCAAACAAGAATTGGTACATGCTTGCTTGTGCAAATTAATGAAAACTTCTCCAGCTCAGACATTTTGGTGTACTAGCTAAAGGGTTTTCCAATTTTAGGTTAGGGAAAACTGTATGTCATACAAATTATACGTTCAAAGTATTGGTTGCATGGGAGAAAGCTCATTTCACAGATAAATATTATTAATTGTTCCATGTGTTCTTGCTTAGGGCTTAAAACTGAATAAAGTTATTAAGAGTTAAACAGTCTTTGAAAAAGAAATAACAGCAAAGAGCTGTTTGTAATTATTCTATTCTGTTAAGGAGGACTTTCTTTAGCAACTAAATACAAACCATCCCAATTTTAGGTAATCTTCAGCTTTTTACTGCAATCCACAGAAACTACAACCAATTTTTAAAACCCAATCACTGAGTAGATACAGAGAACATAGGCTAGTAATACAGGACACATGGTTTGGCCACTTTGATGTCTGAATTCTTTGTAATTTTGCATTTGAAATACTACCAGGTATTTCTGAAGCAGAAACAGAATGTACTGAACTTGCCATGGCTCTTCTTAGTTGCAATTAGAGCTGAACCAGATAAGCACATCTGTTGGAGGATGAAAAAATGAAGCATTTACATATTAGAGTTTCTGGGTCAAAGCCCCAGGTAGTGAACTGCAGAGAAATATGGAGAGGGATGGCGCGAGTCACCAGCAGACATCTTTGGGAAGATGATCACATGTTGGGGAGTAGAGCACAGGAAACCAGAACTGAAGCTGCCTCGTACACCATCCAGGTGGCTTTCACCGTTGATAGATGGAGAGATGGGCCCACAAAGGTTGAATGATTCTCCCCAAATACACAGGAAGTTGATGGCAGAGCCAGTCATAGACCCGGAATCTTCCCTCGTCGCTCCTCTTCTTTCCCTTCACAATTAATGGGAATATTTTCATTGTTTACTCTGTAACATAGACTTGCACACCTGAAAGTTGTGCTGTTCTCTCAAGCATCTCATAGGAGGTGAAGGGGTGGACTTGAGAACACTGGACGTTCTTCACATCTCCCTTGAAGGGGGGTGAAGTAGAAGGGGCCCCTCTGAAACTGGGGGAGGTAAACTTTTCCTCCTGGCTTCTGAAGCTGCAAGCCCTGGGGCCTTCCATGCCCTCAGAGCAAGCCTGCCTTTCTTGGGAGGAGCAGATCACACTGTCACAACGTGGATGCCCTCTGCTCAGGGCTCTGGGCCGGGGTGAGCCCTGCAGTGAGCCAGGGTGGCATCTGTCCAAGAGTAACCTCTACTCTCAGGTAGCAGCTTGAGACCCTGTTCTCAAGCCCAGCTCTGCCTGGACAGGCCAGTTGCCTCCCACATCCCAGACCTCTACTCGGCCCCTGGCATCTGGCATCGCTTGTCCCTTAGGCATTTACCAGACACCTGCCACATGTCAGGTGTTCTGCAGGACTCACATTCTGGGCCTCCGATGAATACAGCACCAGCTCTTGGGAGGCTCCCCATCCAAGGAGACTGTGACCCATGACAGCACGCTGTGTAACACGTGCCCTGCTGAGGCCTTGACTGCTGACACCATGGTGGCTCTTGACGTTTTCTGGTCCCTGTTTCTTGGCTGATACAGCATCTCAGAAAGAAACAAAACAAAACAAAACAAATCCCTTTTGTTCCCTAGGATGAGACAGCATCTATCACGAGGAGGGGAGCCAGAGAGAAGAGCTGGTCCTCGGACTCCTGCAGCACGCTTCTCCCATTTTCTATCCCCAACCTCACACACAAACCAGCTATGTTTTATATGAGTGGAAATGGGAACTAAATGCCATTACTGACAAGGACAATAAAGTGCATTTGAGCTGGAAATGACCCAGAGACGTCAGTAGCACATCCTCTTTATTAAAAAGTAACACATAAGCAAACATGTTTGTGATAAAACATTCAGACAGCAGACAGGGTTCCAAGTTGAGGGCCCCTAATGCATGCTGGACATTCTGGAAGCATGGACACAGATGAGTTTAGAGGTGAGGAAGCACAGGTCGTCTGAGGCTGTGAATCAGTGGGACCACCCTGAGGCCTGTTCGCAGATGCCCTACGCCCAGGTCGACTCTTGCGATAATATTGGGTTCAGTTGCATCTCATGTCCTTATAGAAACCTTCTGCTTTTATTAGGTTGGTACAAAAGTAATTGTGATTTTTGCCATTTACTTTTGCACCATCCTACTTTTTGTCATCATGTTTGCCTGAGCACAATTATACCTTTAGTGGGATATTATATGCCATGTATTCCCCCAATGGGCCTTCCTACTCCTTCTCCAGAAACTGTCCTACCTGCTATTTTAATTTTAATCCATTCAATCTTCATAACAATTCTGTACTACACTGTTGTTATTATTATCATTATTATCGATATCTTGATTGTATGGATTTGAAAACTGAGGCTCAGAAAGTTAAGTAAATTGCCCCAGGTTATAGAGGTAGTAAAGAATAAAGCTGTGTGTTCCTCCCATAATTACAAGCTCCTTTACTGGTAGAATGATGGTTTCAATCTTTTCTTGGAGACCATAGTCACTGGCATGTAGAAAATGCTCAATTAATGTTCACTGATTGAATTAATAAATTCCTAAGGAGAGGAGGTCTTTCTATATTATTCTAGTGCTTTGTCACATACTGTTTGCTAGAAGTGACTCATTCATTAAATTGACTGAATGCTCCACAGTCCCCAGTTTCTGCAGATCTGGGATGAAAAGCAGGCAGTTCTGGACGTGATTTATCTGTGTTTGTTCTCCTCTTCCCCAGATGCATGGGAGATAGGATTTAAGAAAAGAACACCACTTTCATCTTGGAGGAAAATATTAGTTCAGTAATTTTCTGATTATTGTACCTTGGAAATAAGAGCTATGGGAATCAGCTGGGAATGGGAAAGAAAGATTTCAGAAAAAAATACTCATTTCCAATTTCTTGGCATAGGAAAGTTGGCCACAGGTTTTGAAATTAGATAGGGATCAGGGATATAGGAACACCCTCTTTCTCACCTTCTGTCTTCCAACCATTTCAAAGTCCCTCACCAACCTGCACATTCCAAGTGTGCAGCAACCTTGTGCCAAGGCAAATATAGGCTTTGGATTAGCATTTGAACTCATGGGCACTCCTCTGGCCAGTGTTGATAAGGTTATACAGCTGTGTTCTCCCAGCACAATGGGCCCCATGGTGAATGAGGCCATGAATTGGTATTTAGACAAATTGGGCAGTATTTTCTAAACTTTCTGTGCCATATGTCCATTCAAGAATGGGATAATGAGTGCATGTGCAGAGGCAGCAGCACTAGACTTCAACAAAAATAACATTTCCAAACCAGCAAAACTGCAAACACATGAAAGGCAAACGTTTCTAAACCAAATCTTATCCCCCAAATCAGTTGAACTATAATAATAAGAATAACCATTATTCTCATTATTACATAGATTTCTCATCTGTCTTTCATTACTGAGAAACAAGGAAGCCCTTGTAAAGTACTTTTTCTGATAAATGAGGCTTTCCATTCCAAATATCAATGAAGATCATTATAAATAACCTACTGTCTTCTCTGCCTTCTTAAACAAAGTATCTGAAGAAGAAAAGCTAGTGGAGTTCACCAACACCACTGGGGGGACTAATGTCTCCCAAAATGCATGTTCACTGGTGTATTCGTCAGGGTTCTCTAGAGGGACAGAACTAATAGGATAGATGTATATATAAAGGGGAGTTTATTAAGGAGTATTGACTCACAGGATCACAAGGAGGTGAGGTCCCACAATAAGCCATCTGCAAGCTGAGGAGCAAGGAAGCCAGTCTGAGTCCCAAAGCTGAAGAACCTGGAGTCCGATGTTCTAGGGCAGCAAGCATCCAGCATGGGAGAAAGATGTAGGTTGGGAGGCTAAGCCAGTCTAGCCTTTTCACATTCTTCTGCCTGTTTTTATTCTGGCCAAGCTGGCAATTGATTAGATGGTGCCCACCTAGACTGAGGGTAAGTCTGCCTTTCCAGTCCACTGACTCAAACGTTAACCTCCTTTGGCAACAACCTCACAGACACACCCAGGAACAATACTTTGCATGCTTCAGTCCAATCAAGTTGACACTCAGTATTAACTATGACAACTGGGAATCTTAGAATGTGATTGTATTAGTTTGTTCTGGCTGCATAACAAAATGCCACAAACTAGGTGACTTAAACAACAGATATTTACTTCTCATAGTTCTGGAGACTGGAAGTACAGTACCAGGCTTGGGTTCTGGTGAAGGCTCTCTCCTAGGGCTGCAGATGGCCGCCTTCTTGCTGTGTCCTCACATGGCAGAGAGAAAGAGCTCTGGCATTTCTTTTTCTTCTAAGGGCACCAGCACTACAGGGTCAAGGCTCCATGTTTACAATCTCATTAAATCTTAATAACCTCCTTGGGCCTTGTCTCTAAATACAGTCACAACAGGGTTAGGGATTCAAAATACGACTTTTGGGAGGACACAATTCAGTCCATAGCAGTGATCTTATTTGGAAGTACAGTAGTGATTTTGCAGATGTGTTTAGTTAAGATGAAGTCATACTGGATTAGGGTGGGTACTAATCTAATCACCTGTGTCCTTATAAGAAGTGAAAGCAGAGACAGGCGAGAGAGAGAGAGAATACCAAGTGAAGACAGAGGCAGAGACTGAGCTGATGCCACTACATGCCAAGGCATGCCAAGAATTGCTGGCAACCACTGGAAGCCAGAAGAGATGAGGAACCGATTCTCCCCAAGTTCCCAGCCAACACCCTGATTTCAGACTTCTGGCCTCCAGAACTGTGAGAGAATGCATTTCTGTTGTTTTGAGCCACTTAGTTTGTGACGATTTGTTATGGCAGCCCCAGGAATCTAATCCACTGCTGTTCCATTACCGTAATGACCATCACTGCTCTTCAACATGGCAACTTAGCAAGATGTCTGCTGGGCTGTTTTTGTATTGGTTTCCTGCCATGCAAGTGTGGGTCTATGAAAACTTGAGCTCTTCCCATCAGTTTTCTTCCTCCACACTGCTGTAGGCATGAAGACACCTCATTAGCCTGGGGTGGTTGGAAGGAAGAGGAGGCTGGAGGTGCAGCAGTCCTTGGCACATGCTAAGTGTTAGCTATTATTGCATAGAGTGGGGGCTGCTGGTATTTTCTCTTTTTATTTCTCTAACCAATATATATCTACCTGTTTAAAGCATTTTGAAATTTATAATGCTTTTTCATATTATCTCAATAGATCCCCCTTGCATCACTAAGAGCTAGACAAGGTGAATATTATTACCCCCATTTTACAGACAAGGAAACAGAGGCTTAAGGAGTTATTTGATTAAAGTCACTTGGCTTGAATATGATGCTGCTGAGACTCAATCCGAGATGACAGGCTCCTTTCTTTAACCCGAACTTACAAGAGTATTGAATGAGGAGTCTCAAGAGAAGGGCTCTGATTCTAGCTCCATCCCAAATTTCCTGGGGTTGCTGGTGGTGTACCTTCAAGTTAGATAGCACATTGCATTTTTATGAATGGTATTATGCATTTAAAATCCATTTGTTCCTACAGGTAGATGTAGTACTCTGATGGTGAGAAAGCCACAGAGCCTTGTCTCATGGAGTTTTTGGGTCTGCGGGGAAGACAAGCAACCAAACAAGCAATGGCCATCACGTGAGGCAGATGCTGTGACAGAGAAGGCCCACAGTGTCTCACCTCACTAGAGGAGGGGACAGGGAAGGCTCCCCAGAGAAGGACACCTCGAGTCCAGAGCTTGGAAGCTGCATCTCAGCTGGCTAGGTCTTTAGGAGGCGTGGCTAACCCAGGCCGAAGGAAAAGGCAAGAGACACATTCTGCTCTGACAAAAATTGAAGGAAGGAAGGATGAAGGAAGAGAGAGGAAGGGAGGGAATGAAGAGAAAGAGAAAGGGAAAAAAGAAGGAAGGAAGCTCATTCTGGCTAAAACTTAGAGGGTTGGGGTAGTGTGCAGCGAGAGATGAAGTTTGCAACGGAGGTAGAGGCTAGGTGAGAAAGAACCTGGGGGCCCTTCTCATGGATTCAACATGACCTAAGAGCAAGGGGAAGCCACTAAAGAGTTTCCTGCAGGGGCAACGTGTCCAGATGTGTTTTAGAAGGCTCGCTTATGCTGCTACGGGGAGTCTGGATTGGAGTGGAAGCGGAGTCTATCAACTGGCTACACGGGAATTCAAGTGGGGATTGGGGTAGTGACAGCAGAGAGAAGTGGACCCTTGTAGAGGAGTAGAATCGACAGGTCTGGTATTTAATTCAAGGTAGGATGAGGGGGAAGGAATGTCAAAGACAACTTCTCTTTCTGGCTCAGGAAGCAGCCCCGAGATACACTTTACAATAAATCATGTCTCTTAGTAACCACAGGAGCAAAGTGAAAATGAGTTAGTTTAGAAGTGAGAATGAGGTTCTGCTGGGTTTTAAGTGAAGTAGTGTTTATATTTGAATCATATTTGAATCATATTTTCCATTTTCATTTCTTCACTTGTTTCATTCACACAATGCATTTCTCATGGTTCTGAATGGACTTTTTAGTTGGGATGTTGATTTGGGATTATGATGAAAATAATTCCCTTACATATAATAATTGGTTATATAATACCTTATTCAATGAATTTTCTCAGATGCATGTAGCATGCTGAAGGCTGATGTAAATACATCTGAATGAAAAGTATATTAAAGACAGGCAAGATGGTGCCCAATTATTTACTGGGAAAAGAACAGTGTCCCTGGGAAGAACCTTGACTACTTCACAGTGTCTACTGGGGCTAACTGAAAATATTCATTAGGAAATACATGAGGGGGAAAAAAGAAAAGGAAAACAAGATGTTAACACATGTGTGCATGAGGGACGGAAGGGTGATGAAGATGAGTGGAAAGAACTCCTTTTGTTCCATTTTTAAGCTTTATTGAGGTTTAATTGGCAATTAAAATTGTATATATTTAAGGTGTACAATCTGATGTTTTGATATAAGTATATGTTGTGAAATGGTTGCCAAATCTAGCTAATAAATATATGTATAACCTCACATAGTTACCATTTGTTTGCAGTGAGAATACTTGAAATCTACTCTGTTAACAAATTTCAAGTACATAATACATTATTATTTACTGTAGTTACCTGCCATACATTAGAACTCTAGGTAGTGCTCATCTTTTATTTATTTATTTATTTATTTATTTATTTATTTATTTATTTATTTATCTGAGACGAGGTTTCTCTCTATTGACCAGGCTGGACTGCAGTGGCACGATCACAGCTCACTGCAGACTCAAACTCCTGAACTGAAATGATCCTCCTGCCTCAGCTTCTGGAGCAACTGGGCCTATAGGTTCATACCACCATGACCAGCTAATTTAAAAAAAAAAACTTGTAGAGATGGGATCTCATTATGTTGCCCAGGCTTGTCTTGAACTCCTGGACTCAAGAGATCCTCTCATATCAGCTTCCCAAAGTGTTGGGATTACAGGCATGCATTGCCGTGCCCGACCCTTATCTTATAACCTAAAGTGTGTGCCCTTTTGATAAATATCTCCCCATTTCTCCTGTCCCCTAACCCCTGGTAACCATCCTACTTTCTGTTTCCAAGAAGTCAAGTTGTTTAGGTTCCACATAGACGTGATATGATGCAGTATTTGTCTTTCTGTGTCTGGCTTATTTCACCTAGTACAACATCTTCCAGGTTCAACAGTGTTGTTGCAAAACGTCAGGATTTCCTTCTTTTCTAAGGTTCAATAATATTCCATGACATATATGTATGTGTGTGTGTGTGTGTGTGTGTATCACATTTTTAATCTATTAATCTGTTCACAGATACTTAGATTTTCTCCATATTTTGGCTATAGTCAATCATGCTATAATGAATGTGGAGCTGCAGACATCTTCTCTAGCTACTGATTTCATTTTCTTTGAATGCATACTCAAAAGTGGAATTGATGGATCATGGCGTAGTTCTATTTTTAATTTTTTGAGGAATGTCCATACTGTTTTCCATAATGTCTGTATCAATTTAAATTCTTACAAGCAATATATAAGGGTTCCTATGACTCCACACCCTCTCTAACATGTATTACCTTTTGATTTTTTGATAACACCCATCCCAACAGGAGTGAGGTGACACATCACTGTGGTTTGATTTACATTTCCTGGTGAATAGTGATGCTGAGCACCTTTCCATATAACTGCTGGTCATTTGTATGTATTGTGTGAAAAAAGGTATATTCGTGTCCTTTGCCTGTTTTTTAACCAGGTTGTTTTTCTTGCTGTTGAGTTGTATGAGTTTCTTACATATTTTCAATATTAACCCCTTATTAGATGTATTGTTTGCAAATATTTTCTCCCATTCTGTGGGTTGCCTTTCCATTTTGCTGATTGTTTCCTTGGCTGTGCAGAAACTTTTTAGTTTGATGGAGTCTCACTTGTTTATTTTTGCTATTGTTACTTGTGCTTTTGGTGCCATATACAAAAAGTCACTGCCAAGACCACTGTCAAGAAGCTTTTTCCTTATTTTTTCTTCTAAAAATTTTGCAATTTCAGATCTTACATACAACTCTTTCTTTTTCCTTTCAGTACCAATCAGCCTTTTTTCATCGTATTTTCCCAGGGAAAGGAGAAGGGAAGAGAAAAGAGTCAGCATGCCTTACAAAATGATTAGAAAATGGGAAAGGAGGTTCCAGGTACAGCAAAATCAACCATCAAATAAACACAGCCAGTGATGAGGTCACAAAAGCATGGAGGGGCTCAGTTTCCTGCAGTTCAGGAATGAGGGGAGGGTATCAGGAAAAGAAAGGGCAGGTATGTCTTAAATTCATTTTATGTTTATTTTTGTGTATGGCATAAAATTGCAACTTTATTCTTTTGCATGTGGATATCTAGCTTCCCAACATTATTTGCTGAAAGATGATCCTTTCTCTATTGTTTATTCTTGGTGTCTTTGTGGAAGATTAGTGGACTATATACGCCTGGATTTATTTCTGAGCTTTCTATTCTGTTCCATTAGTCTATGTGTCTGTCATTATGCAAATACCACACTGTTTTGATTACAATAGCTTTGTAATATAATTTGAAAGCAGGAAGTGTGATACCTTCAGCTTTTTCTTCCTTCTCAAGATTGTTTTACCTACTTGGGGTCTTTTGTGGTTCCATATGAATTTTAGGATTTTTTTTCTATTTAAAAATGTCATTGAAATTTTGATAGAGATTATTTATGTATAGATTCCATTGCATAGTATGGACATTTTTACAGTATTGATTTTTCTGATCCATGAATACAGAATATCTTTCCATTTATTCGTTTTTTTTTTCAATTTCTTTTATTGTTTTATAGCTTTCAGTGCACAGATGTTTCACCATCTTGGTTAAATGTATTCCTAAGTACTTTATTATTATTTTTTTGATGCTATCTTCAATGGGCTTGTTTTCTTAATTTATTTTTTGGATAGTTTGTTTTAGTGTGTATAGGACTAATTTATTTTTGTATGGTGATTCTGTATGCTGCAACTCTACCAAATTCATTTATTAACTCTAACAGTTTTTTGGTGTAGTCTTTAAAAGGGCATGGGATGTGAAGTAGAAATGTTTCGGTTTTATTTTTGCCTCAATTATGGTATGATCTAACACAAGTTATAAAATTTATCTGAATCTCAGTTCCTACATCTGTAAAACAGAGATAATAACATTAGAGTTAAAATATTTTAATCATGTATAACCTGGTGCCAGGCATATAATAAACTATTAAGTGCCTAATAAATAACTCTCATTATGATTCATTTCTCTAAATTTTTAGATGTCAGCAGCATCTCCAATTTGAGGCAATGGGATCCCCCATGTAATGGCTTTTACCAAATGCCTTCTAACATTCACAAAGCAAAGAAACAAGTCAAAACTCTTCCTAAGGGGTGGAAACTTCTCAAACGTAACCCAAGCCAAGAACATTGACTTATTTTGGAAAGTTTCTTTAAAAATTCATCAGGCTATTGTTTCTGGGTTTGAGTTTGATTTGGTTTGAATTATGTTAGTACAAAATAAATATTGTAAATAAATAACAGATATACCCTTTAATTTCAGAGCTGAGGAAGAAAAGTACACTTTGTGCTGGATTTGCAGCCAGCCAGTTTCCAGACAGAGTTTCTGAAAATCAGGCCTCTTCCAATAGTCTGATTGTGTGTAAACCAGTCAGCATAGGAATATCTCTATAGCCAGCACCTGGCCAAGCAGTGGTCAAAGAACAAATCATTGCAAGTCCCCATGTGGAGAAGTCATAGTGTCACAAACCTCTTAAGGAATTTTACAAGTCATCACCAATGTGCATTTGGGTCCATCAGCTGATAAAGCTGTAAGAAATGGCCTTAGTAACTGTCAGATATGGACCTCTCATTGATATTGAAACAGTAAAAGTTCCCTTGTCCCCCAGGCAGGGTGTGTGACAGGGGGAGTGGCTAGCTTCCTCAGTGCCCCACTGCACAAACCTCTAGGGGAGCATACAAATGGTCAGGCTGTGGGGTGACCCCACAGCAGTGTCTAGTGATGAATGTTTCCCTTTCCTGAATCCCCAGGGGGGGTGTGTGTGTTACAGGGTGCTCTTTCAGCTTAGCCATCCTTGGGTGGCTTGTGTTTAACCGTTCAATCCCAAGGACAGGGGGCTTTCTGTATCCTGGGGTTTCTTGCCTTCCTGTACCAGAAGAATCGGATCATACGTGGGCTTGGAGAATGAGTGCAAGGTTTTATTGAATGGAAGTAGCTCTCAGCAGATGGGGGAGGCAGAAGGGAGATGGAGTGGGAAGGTGAAGGTGGTTCTTCCCTGGAGTCGAGCTGCTCAGCTGCCCAGGTTTTCCTCTGCCTGCCCCGGCCAAACTCCGCATTGTTTTGCCGGTCAATGGCCTGCCGGCGTCAGTCGGTGTGCTCTTCCACCGGCGTCCTTTTGATGCCCAGCTACTTGTGTCTCTGCCTGCTAGGGTCTTGGGGTTTTTATAGGCACAGGTTGGGGCTGTGGTGGGCCACGCTGGTCTTGGGAAATGCAACATTTGGGATCGAAAACAGGAGTGCCTGTCCTCACCTAGGTCAATGGGCACAGGCCCAGGGGTGGAGCCCTAGCCAGGGACCATGCCCTTCCCTTCCCAGCACTTCCCTGCCCCGCTTCCGTATCAATACTGCAAGGTATCATGATGACTTAGCAGAGTGGTCATGCTGTTTTTTGCTTGTATAGCACTTTGCAGTTTGTAAAAGGGTCCCATTTACAGGATCTCCCTTGAACTTCAGAGAGATTAAGTCACCTGCCCACATGAAATAGGCTCTCATTGTCCAACCAAATTTAGCTTACATATTTTTTGAACACTGATATGGTTTAGATTTGTGGCCCCACTCAAATCTCATGTCAAATTACAATCATCAGCGTTGGAGGAGGGGCTTGGTGGGAAGCCACTGGATCACAGGGGCAGATTTCCCCCTTGTTGTTCTCATGATAGTGAGTGAGTTCTCATGAGCTCTGCCTGTTTAAAAGTGTGTCGTACCTCCCCCTGCTCTCTCTTCCTCACCTCCCCTGCTCTCTCTTCCTCACCTCCCCCTGCTCTCTCTTCCTCACCTCCCCCTGCTCTCTCTTCCTCACCTCCCCCTGCTCTCTCTTCCTCACCTCCCCCTGCTCTCTCTTCCTCACCTCCCCCGTTCTCTCTTCCTCTCTCTTCCTCCTGCTCCAGCGGGTAGGACATGCCTGCCTTCCCTTTGCCTTCTTCCATGATTGTAACTTTCCTGAGGCCTCCACAGCCAGGCCTCTTCTAGAGCCTGGGGAACCATAAGCCAATTAAACTTTTTTTCTTTACAAATTACCTAGTCTCAGGTAGTTCTTTATAGTAATGCAAGAACGGACTAACACAAACACTTTCTATGTGCCAGGCATGTAATAACCATGCTCATATATATGCCCTCATTCGATCTATTTGACCATTCCTATTTTACAGACAAGAAAATGGAGGCAAAGAACATTGGAGTCACTCCCTGGCTACACACACTGAGGTGATAACCAAGGCAAGACTTGAACACCACTCTCTTTCTGATTGCAAACCTGGTTCTTTTCTTATTATAATGTTATAGTAAATAGCAAATGTCATAAATTGTTATTTACTTACTTTCATGCTGCTCCCACTGGGCAAAAAGAACAAAGAAGAAATAAGAGGAGGAGGAGAGCAAGAGATAGAGGCAAGGAGCTGTACTGGAAATCTACAATAACTCATGGAGGGAGGAAATGTCTTACAGAAGAGGCATTAGATTGAACATCCCGTGGTGTTTTCTCCCCCTCGGTTTCTGGAAAACCATATACTTTCATTTATAAACTCTATGCCCAGATCCCAAAGTAGGAATCAAGAGCTCCTTTGAGGACATGCAACCCTTCTCAGAAGTGACTCACATAACAGGATGAGGTAAGATGAAGGCGGCACTGCGGGTCCAACCCTGGTTGAGGATCAGGGTCTGGTACCCTTTGATTTCTCCAGGGAAGATTCAGGTAGGATAGGGGAGAAAGAGGGGGATGAGGTGCTCCCTGCCACCTGGGAGACCCACTGCTTGGTCAAGCCTGCCTGGGCCCTGCCTGAAGTCAGCCACAGCCAAGCAACACAGATGATCCTGGAGAACTGAGGATGCCTGGCTTGATTGACAGGAAGGTGGTGGGTTCCAGTAGCATTACTGAGGAGCCCAAGAGCAAGACTTGGGGCACCGCAGTATCCAGGCTGATCAAGGAGCATCTGGCCAGATCTCAGATCAAGGTAGCCAGGGAGCGGCACTTCCTGTGCCTTGAGGGTCTTTTGATAACCAGCCTTTTGTGTGAAGCTGGTTTCTCTAAAGGAACAGAAAGCATGTTGAGTATGGTGAGCTGCAGTATGGAAGGAAACATCTTGTTTACAAATGTCAGGCAGTAATTAGCCTATTTTAAAGAGAGGAGCCACCACTGATGGCTTTTGTTAGCTGAAAACCTTAGTGCTTTCTTGTGGCTGTGCTTGAAGAGGCCGGGTAGACACGGAGACTCTGAACCCAGTTCATAAATCGTTGATTTCATATTTTAAAATCTTGCACTAAAACTGTCACCCCCTCTCGTGGATCACAGATGGTGAAGAACTAATTTGTTACTGTTTGATAACTGCTTTTATGTATCAAAGCTCTTATTTACTACTCTGTGGGGGAAATGACAGACTAAGAGCAATTGTGTGTTTTCTTTCCGTTTATCTTTAACCGCTAGGCTTCTTGTTTTTACCCTGACGTGTTTCTTCTTTGAAAGATAAAATGGTGAAGCTTTTGCATACGCCAACTTGGCTGAACTCAGTTTTGGGGGGATTGGAAGATGCCTCTCCCAGCACAGACCAGCAGCCTTTTTTTTTGGATCCTTTTTCATGTCCCCATGCTCCATAATAACATTCAGGCCAGCCTCTCTTCTCTCTTAAGTCACAAAATGTTTCTAATTATCTATGCAAAGTGAGGCTTTTCTTGTAAAAACTGTCCAGCAAATGTAAGTGCAAGAAGATGGGTAAGGTGAATCCAGTTCACCTGCTCCTAGGACGCAGGCAGACTTTCTTTCCTATAACCACTCACTTCATTCATTCATTCAGTTCATATTTGATTCACTTTTTCATTCAATTAGCCAGTTGTTAATTCTTTCAGACTTTTTGGCTAGGTCAGAGCTTAGATTGCAGGCACAGTGGAGGCTGGCACTGGTATGTACTCACCCCTACCACTCCCACCTATGTCCTCGGCGTGTCTTGGACATAACATGAAATGCTTAGAGAAAAAAATCCAACAATTAGTTGGCTCAGTTTAGCAAACTATAGACTGTGAGCTAAGAATAATTTTTATATTTTCAAATGGTTGGGAAAAGTCAAGAGAAGACCAGTAATTCTTGACATGTGAAAATTATCAGAAATTCAAGATTCAGCTTTTTGGAACACTGCCCCACCCACCCGTTGATGTATCATCTGAGGTTGCTTCATGCTGCAATGGCAGAGTTGAATAGTTTTTACCAGGACCATTGTCTGCAAAACCTAAAATATGTATTACCTGGCCATGTGCAGAAAAACCTTACCAATCCCTGAGCTAGCTCATTCCCTGCTTTCTTTAACAGAGCAGGAACATACTTGAACCACACCCATGGTTCAGGCATAGGCAGCCTTGTCACTTGCTACTTACCCTTTGTTCACTGTGCCTCAGTCATCCTGCCCAAGGTCACCTCCTGCCCCGCATCTTTGCACCTCCTATTCTGCTTGCATGCAGAGCTATTCATATTCTTTCTCCACATCAACTTTATTAGTTCTTTTATTTCAGATTTTATATCAAATACAACTTTATCAGAGAAGACTTCATAACTTAGTGTCATTATTTAATTAATATCCTTACACTAGCCTTTAAGATTTCCGAAAGCAAAAGCAATGACTGTTCATTTTGTCTTTGCACCCAGGTGCTCAAAAAGGGCCGGTGTGCCGCAGTGAGTGCCAGTTTGAATGAAGGAAGCATGCGTGGCCTGAAGCCTCACCGTGTTCCAGGCGTCCAGTTAAGTGCTCTGCACATAATATCACACATTGCGCTCCACGATAAGGTATTCATCTCATTTTACAGATGGAGAAAATAAGGATACTTTCTAGAATTTGGCAGAGTTCTGTCTGGCAGATAGAAACTAGTTCTATTTGACTCCAAATCTCTCATCTCATTCTTATGACTATTTTACAGATAAGGAAATTGTGTGTAAGGCATCATGATTCAAATCAATTCTCACTGGGAAAGAAAAATGCCATAGAAAACATTTTATTCTATACACAAAAAGGTTTTCTCAGCATGTTTTATCAACATAATCATCGTCACATTATCATCATTAAGACATGAAAGAGGAGCGTACAATGGAGAGGCTCTCCTTCCCTCCTCAGTCACTCAAGAACGTGATGGTAAATGGGGTTTTAAGCTGTGTTTTGCTCTACGTTTAATCGTGTTTCCTTTCTTGAATAATCACAAGATGCTACAGTGTTAGAAAGAATATTAGAGAGAATCTAGCTCAGCCAGTTTCCTCGTGACACCCAGAAGTCTGAGATCACTTCCCCTGGTCGTAAAGTGTGGGTTGATGTAGATTCCCAGGACAGACCTCCTCCTGCAGTGTTTGTTCCCAGGACCTCTCCTCCACTCTGCTATTCTAAAAGCACAAAAGAAAATCTCTCCAACGCTTTCTATAATTGAGAATCAATTGCCCATTTGCAACTTCATCATGTCGTATTTTGAGATTTGAGATTGTAAATGCATTTTCATGCATGTTCATTCAATGATGCCCCCACACTTACCCTGTTGCCATGTTAGATTTTGGAGCGCTGAACATATAAAATCAAGAAAACAAATTTTCCCATGTCACTCTTTGGAAAATGTTCATGCCTCATAAATATTGGAATGTGGATTTCATTGTAAGTCAGTCTATGTTGGGTGCCCACTCTTTTCTGAACTCACACCTCCCTGTTACCCTTTGTTCAAGTGAAGTTTAGAAGGGTTAAATGTTATATTATCAACAATTTGATGACATTAAAAATGAATATGAACAGAGATCAATAATTCAGCATGTAGTTTCAGAGTGTCCCTTAGCTTTCATTAGAGTTAGAAGCTGATAATGATGACAGCTACGATGACGAAAACAATAGACGTTTAGGAGCTATTTTACATTTGGCAAAGCCCCTTCATCATGAATTTTCTCATGAAATATTCACAACTTTTCTTGTTAGTATCATTCAGTATTATTACTGCCTTATGCAAATGAAGAAATAGAGCTACAGAAAGTTTGTAGGAATTTCCGCAAATCATATCATAAATACATGATAGAGCTAGGGAAATTATTCTTTTGTCTTCTAAGGAATAGAGGGAATTTCTATGTCACCAAACATATCTTTTCATCTTTTCTCTAATTCCTAAAATTGCAGTAATATGAAGAAAATCTATAAAAGAAAAATTCCAGTGAAAGATTAAAATACTGGAGTCAACTCACGTTGGAGCAAAAATCAGTGGCTGCGTATTTGCCTGAGAGGGTCCAGCTCCTGCTGCGGTCTCACGTCATAGTTCATCATGCCTCCCTTGCTGTCCCTAGAAGGTCCCAGTTTGGACAACAGTCGTGTACTCATGTGATCTCCCCAGAGACAAAGGACTGAGCAGGCTTGCATGGGGGTCAAGGAAGGAAAGGACAGGAGAGGTGACCAAGAGCAGGGGCCCAGGGTCACCTTCTCCCCAAAAGCTGACTCTGAAGTGGTGAAGGCACAAGATGCATTCTGCAGCAGCCACTGACTTGGTGATGTGTATCTTGACAGGACTTGGTGTTTACACAGCATCCAGGAGCTCTCCATCTAAGCCCCCTTTGGACAGCCTCCATGTGAGCATCTCCCATCTCCCCAGTACCCTGCCGGCCCCTCCACACTGCCCTGTCCATCTCCAGCCATTCTCAGCTTTGCTAACATTTCATGAAAAAACACCTTCTTTCTCTTTGAGCCATGGTCTTTTTCCTTAATTATACCAGAGCACCTCTCAGGTCAACTAGTCTAAGCATGTCCTACAGACATCCCAGCCTTCTTTCAGCATCACTTGTGGAGAATCTGCAGCCAAAGTCAGTGTCCAACAGAGACCCTACGTCTGGCCCTGTCAAGCAAGATCACATTTCTCCCCGACTCTCAGGAAAGGCCCACATGGATCCCACAGAATTCCAGAATCCTCAGCCCTCATTTCCTGGATTCCAAAGACCCACCAACCCAATCACCCAAATTTTTCTCCGCAGCTTTGCACGTGCAGCTCAGGTGTGTGTTTCTCTCTCTGTGTGTGTGTGTGTGTGTGTGTGTGTATGCATGTGCACCCATGCATGTGTGTATGGGAGTTGGGGAATAAAATAAAAACCTCAGATAACACATTCTGAAGTCATCCCTTCACCATCATCTCTCATATGTTTTTGTTTTTCGGCTAAAAGTGACAACATGTTTACTATTACTCTGAGCCCCACATGGCAAGAGAAAGGCTCATTTCCTACATTCCTCCTTGCACATTCTTCTTAGGAAACACTAATGTACATACTTTTCACCAAAAAAGAATCAACTGTGCCTTCCTAAAGTACACTTGGTGCCTGCAAGTGAATGCATTCAAATCTTAAATACATGGAAGTATAGAAAAGGATTTCTGTATACTTCTTGAATATGTTTATATTCTAACATGGGAAACAGATGTGAATATAAAGAGAGGAGATGTGTTTCCACAAAGCCAAAAGTATGTGAGAAATGTTTAAAATGGTCACAAAACTGCTCGTATAATCCCCGACAGAGGAGTTCAGGCCGGCACTTCTCTTCGGCCCACTTTCTGTATTACTCTGGCGGCCGTATTGATTTGATTTTTCGAGTCTTCATGCCCTGACCAAGGTCCTGCCTTCTGAATGGGCATCATTAGGGCTTCTTGGTTTGTTTCTCTTGAGGCAGAGGTTTTATGACCTTGAAGATATCAGTTTTCATTTAAGTGGAGGATTTAGAGATGCCAGGCTAAGGCATTATTTGCCTGAATTTTAACTTAATACACAAATAAGTTCTGAATTTCTGCTTGGAAACAGGAAAAGGGTCATTTAAACAATTTAAATATTATTAACTTGCTTAGGAAAAGGAGAAAAAAACCCTCAAACTATAATGGCATCTACAGCTGACAGGATAGATTTATGGAAGTTTTTATTCCATGGTAGAAATATATCTACAGATGCCCCATGGTAAAATTAGGTAGGCTTATGGCACTTAGAAAACTGAAATCTAGAAACACATGGAATGAGTAAGATGATATTTCCAGCAATCAATGCATTCTATAAAGTGATTGGAGAGAGCTTCCTCTACACAACAATTTTGGACTTGAGGTTCCAATTCAGTGTTTCTTGCCCTAAATTATAGTAAAGGCTAAATCTCATTATGACAAACCGTAATAGATCATCAAAATTCTTGAGTTAGACCTAGAAATCTGTTGCGTTATGCGCCTTGATCTAAATGTGACTGGGACTTGGAAACCTTGTTATACTGAAAAGTCTGGCTATACAGATATTTGGCTGATGTATTCAGTGATTCTCATTCCTAGAGCAGGAAAGGGAATGAAGTATAAAAGTTTCAGATTGTTTGGTGAGCCGGATCAGATCACAAAGTTGGTCATGAGTCCAGGATGGGGGCACTGGCAGCTCCTAGGAAGCTGCTGTAACACCTGTTTACTGCTCATCCAGCAAGCAAACAAGCTTCGAGAACTCTTAGAGCTCCCTGGGTGGATTTGGTCCCTGAGGCTGACTGTGTTTCTCATGGACGTGGGACTCAGGACTGGATGATCGCAGCCTAGCCTGAGCAGAGCATAGATTCTTCTAGGTCGCCAGAGCTGTGGACTGACAAACTTCCCCCAGGCAGGGCAGGTGCGGGTGTCCATTCAGCACCCAGCTGGCCACTCATTGTCATACAAAAGAGTTCTTCATGCGTGGCCATTATATAGGTCTACTTAAGATTTCAGTGCAGGAGGACTAGCTACAAATGAAACTGCTAAAATAGTCTCCTGAAATAAAAGATTACGCTGATACCTGATGTATTAGTCTGTTTTCACACTGCTGGAAAGAACTACCTGAGACTGGGTAATTTATAAAGGAAAGAGGTTTAATTGACTCACAGTTCCACATGGCTGGGGAGGCCTCAGGAAATTTACAATTATGGCAGAAGGTGAAGGGGAAGCAAGACATGTCTTATATGGTGGCAGAAGACAGAGAAAGCAAGCGGGGTATGTGCCACACTTTTAAACCATCTTGTGAGAACTCACTCACTATCACGAGAACAGCAAGGGGGAAATCTGCCCCCAAGATTCAATCTCCTTCCACCAGGTTCCTCCCCAGACACATGGGGATTACAATTAAACATGAGATTTGGATGAGGACACACAGCCAAACCATATCACCTGTGTTTGAGAAAACACTCTCATCTGAAGGGTAAGATAGTAAAACAACTTTATTTTAAAAAATTAAAAAAGAAACAGAAGCTAGCATTTTAGAACCCAATACTTTCTTCCTTTTTGATGATAGACTGCCAAATTCCTTTGGGCAAGCTCAGAAAAAGAAAACAAAAATATATGAATAGGGCAATTTCCTCTAGATGTGTAGCTTAGCGTACTCATCTTATATGGAAAAAATATCAGCTTTACTCTTCATCCACTAGAGAACTAGCAAAAGAATGCATTCCTATGGGAGTTTGTACTCTAAGAAGTCTTTCCATATGCGACAGAAGGGGAAGAAATATCCTTTCACACACGTGCCACTGAGCAGTCTGTTCTTTTAATTTGGCCAAATGTTGTCTAGGCTCTTCTTGGAGTCTCATTCACGGAGACATTTATTCCCTCATCTTACCCTTATTTTAAGGTATATTGAGAAATTAATAGGATGTGTGAACTGTCTTTTGTAGTTCATGTTAATATAGTTCTGCCTGAGACTCCTAAGAGGAGCTGTCTGAGAGCTTTCTAATATCAGAAAAGTTATCTGAAGTTAGGAAATAGGCAAAGAAGATTAGTAAGTATTTTCTCAGTGCAGAGCTGGTTTTGCGTCCTTGATTGACTTTTTGTTGACTGAGCTATTTTACAGCTTCGTTAGGGGCAAAGTTATAGATTTTCATCAGGTAGAGATGCAAATAATTACCATCCACTGGGGGAAACCTCCTCCCAAATATGGTTTATGACCTCACAAAATATCAATCAATTGTGTCTCTCACCTAAGCAATCTTTTCCTAATATCCTCATATTAAACTGTCCATAAATATCCAGCTTCTCAAATTCTCCTTTGAACCCCTATTAACATCTTAGTGGCTTCCTCACTAATTAATGAGCTGAATAGAACTTGGACATTATGTTCATATTTGTGTGAGGGTTGTGTTTTTGAACCTTTTGAAAATTAGACAATAGCTCTAGGAAATAACATGGTCCGGGGCCTAGAAATTTTCTTTGAACATTTTACATACTTCTCTGACTAGCATTCCATTTTTGTACCTATTCTCTACCCGTGGAGCTTTTCTGAGAAGGATTCAATAACTATCACTCTTCCCAAGAAAAATGTACAACTCTCTCTGCACATGCCAGTGCCATCTGGAAGGAGATCGGACTCCACAGCAAACAGGATGAGGCAAAGGAAGTCCAGTGGATATTCCCTCATTTAGGAACTCTGACAGCAGGATGTGGAGGTGCCAATCAGAGTCAGATGCTGCTCATGACTGTGATAACAGCTGCCACTCAGAAGTCTTGCGCCCCACCCTGTGGTCCTCTCAGTCCCTCTAATCAGATCCATCCGCCTAGAATGACTTGTGTCTGCTTCATTCACAGGGGCAAGTAAAGTCTCTGCTGAGGTTTTACCTACCTGCCCCTTTCGCATTGGGAGCTTTGCCCTCCCTGTCCAGGTGCTGTCTTCGCTCCAGCCTCGTATCTGTCCCCAAGAGACCTGCTTTGTCTCAGAATGCCACAGGGCTATTAGCACAACTCTTTCTGATGGTTATTCGTGATAATTTGTACCTCTGGCCTCACCACTATCTACAAAAATGCACTTCATGCCTCATTATCTGTTCCTGTCTTCTCCGGTTTTCCTTTTCTGGGCACTGTACTCGCTCTTTGGGTACCAAGACTGCTTGGAATCCTCTCTTTTTGTATTGTTGAGTAATTCATCTCTTCTTTTCCAGTGCAAGTCTTGAGGATTTCAACTTAGAAAATAGGCCACTAAGGTATTTTGCTAAGCAAAAGAATTATAGACTCCAAGAAATGTCAATTCTCTAGGAATTCGAAATAGCCATAATCAGTGTTTCTATCAGTCTGAATGGCATGATTTTTAGTGTTCACCCTACACTAGCAAAGGAAGCTGCATGGGAGGTGGCACCAGCCACTGAGGAAGTATCCTGGAGAAAGAATGGGTTTAGAGGGACAGTGGGAAATTTGGTTTTGAAACAGTTCCAAGGGAATTTCCCACGGAACATCCACAGTATCATGTGATGACTTCCAAAGCTTGGAGAAGTTTGCTTCCACCCTGAAACTTTCTGTCCTTCTGCAGAGGTGAGGAAAGCCTTTTCCTCATTTTGGCTGTTAGTCATTGGGAAGCATTTGTTTCTTTCTCTCCGATCCCCTCCCATGAGGCTCCGCCATTCTGAATTACACAGAGGTAGCTCCTTTTGATGCTCAGGGTCCTGTAAAACAAGCAGAAGTTACAGACTTGGAGTGTGACCCACGCGGCAGAGCCTGGCCCCCGCCCACAGCAGCCCTCCCCAGGTCTGCACATATGCCCGTCCCAGTTCTGTGTGGTCTTGGCTGCAGCGGCCGAACATAAAGCCTCAGCTGCTGTTTCACAGCTTGGATTTTAAAGAGCTCATAAGGAGAGATTGAAAGCTGAATATCTAATGCTGTCTTCAGATGCAACATCTATCACCCAGTCTGTGTACAGCATTAGTTGCTAGAAAACTGTCCCACACATGCTTTTTATATCACCCTCAACCAAAATGAACCCCTCAAATGTACTAATCAACCAACCGGAGTGTGCAGATCTCTGTTAGGCCAGAGCAAAGCAAAATTGTTCAAGTTCTAAACTTACATGTATGGGAAGTGAAATTAACCTAAACTCTTACCTTTTGTCTTATAAAAATGATGTCCTGGAGGATCTTAGAAATTTCCTGGGAAATATTTAATTACCTATTGTAGAATCTGATAGTTAAATGTAGCTATTATGGAACAGACTTGATACCATTTTGACCAGCCATAGTCCAACCTGCCTAGGAATCTATATTGTGCCAAGAATCTTTCAGAGGTAATTTAGAGTGCACATTTTTTAAAAAACTAATTAGTAGAAAGATAACTGGATAGAAAGCTGGAGATTTAGGTTCTAATTTGGGTTTGCCTCCTAACCAGCCATGCATCCCTGGAAATACGACCCTAGCCTTTCAAGGCGCCAGTTTGATCTGTAAGGCCAAGTAGTTGGATAAAATACTTTCTAAGTGTTTTAGAAAGGTTCTTATAATAAATACTTTCTAAAGGTTCATCAACAACCTTTGCTTACTTCTATGTGTATTTCTAGTTAAGTTCCATTTAAAGAAAAGGAGAAAGATAGAGCTTCTACATTGTCCCTGTTCACTTTTTTCCCCCAATCTAAGGGATTATGGAGGTCTTGTCATCAGGTAGACACTGGCCAAAGCTATTGCTAAGAGCTTCCTCCAAACTTCCTGCTTTTTCAACAAGGTGTTTATCATAATGAATCCATCTCATATTTTTGGCTGCCAGCACCAAAGCATATATTCTCTGTTTCAAGATCTTTGCTACTTTTATGGGGGCCCTGGGAGCCTCGATGGGACGTAGAAGCTACCTCCCATCACCGAAATTTCAGATGTCAGGTACTTGGCTTTGACGACCTCCCATGCACCTTGGGTACAGACTTGGAACTCACCACCAGACAAATATGCCATGGGCTGTAAGTCCTCAGTGGGGCAGAGACCACAGAGATTCCGTGGCGTGGCCATGGTGTGGCTGTGGTGGTTGTAGTTGCTTACTTGGGAAGTGGTGCTGGTGCCAGCATACAGGGACCAGGTAAGTGGCATTGAGGTGCAAGATGCAGCCTGCTGCTGGGCCACAGGGCTGTCTTCAGCAGACCAGTTCTGTGGCCTGATTTAGGGGAACTGTTCCCAGTGAACCACCTGTAAATCTGCTGCTCAAACCCTCTCAGTGATTTTGCAAGCTAATCTGCAACATTTTCATACAATCCCTTTATGCCTAACTCAGCCACACTCAGTTTATTTGTTTTGCAAACTGAGTACTCTGACGTATATAAGTATCACTGGACAAAAAATAGAGGTTTTCTTATTTCAACTGTTTCCAGAGACCAAAGCTAGATAAAATCATAAATCTAAATTTCTGTCTCCTCCACTAATCTATTGGTTGTTTGAGATCAGGGATGGTGCCTTGTTTATTTCTACTGCTTTAGAACTCAATGCCTTATGACGTCTTTCACAGAACAAATTCTCACATGGGAACCGAGCAAAGTGTAATGGATGTTCCCAGGAGCTGCCTATGGGATTCAAGAAAACTGTATGAGAGGAGTAACATTTGGGCTGGAAGCGAAAATACAAGTAAACATATGTCAAATGGGTAAGTATGGAAAGTGCATTCCAGTAGAAAAAAGCAAGTGTAAAAATACAAAATAAGCCATTTAGAGCATAGCAATTAATTTGGTGCTTGAGGACTACAGCAAGGTGTTTCTTTCCCCACCCAAAAGTCTAGCAGTAGAATTACAGTCATGAGTCACTTAATGACAGGGATACATTCTGAGAAATGCCTCTCTCTATGATTTTATCGTAGTGTGCACTTACATAAACTTAAATGGTATAGCCTACTATATACCTAGGCTATGTGGCATAGCCTGTTGCTCTTGGGCTATAAACCTGTTCAGCATGTTACCGTACTGAATACTGTCGGCAATTATAACACAATGGAAAGTATTTGTGTATCTAAATGTAGAAAAGGTACAGTAAAGGTGCAGTACTATGGACCACTGTCCCATAAGATTGTATGTGATGCATTATTGACCAAAGCGAGATATGTGTGCTGCATGACTCTATAGTACTGTCTCATGAAATCAACACAGGTCCGGAGCAGCAGACAGTCAAGAGCACGTTCACAGATCAGAATAGCTCCCACTTTGCCAATCTTAGCTTGAGCTTGAGTGAATTCATTAATTGACTGCTTTAACATATCCAGAGGCAGAATTGGCACATAAAAGTGAGTAGATCAGCCATGGATTGGCCTCTAGTTTATAAATCAGTCTTGCTTACTTGGTTAATGTGAGACTGTCATGAAAGATACAACCTTTCTATTTTGATGATGATAAATTAAGGTTTCCAAACCGGTAAGGAGCAAACTAAGGATAGAGGATAATTTACAAAGAAAATGCCACCTTGTGAGAAATGACCAGCTAGCTCTTCCCTTATGCCATGGTTTGGCTATTTGCAAAATATCCCTTTACTTTGAGTTTTTGTATTTGATGTGGCTAAAAAGTAGGATTTCTTGAATGTGGGCATGGCATGTATGAATAGTAGGGCCAGAAGAAGAGTGTGGAAGCTAGACGTTTGAGGAAAAGCAGCCCCAATTTTGCATGCTTTATATACTGGGCAGGAGTAAAGCTTCCAGGCTGTGAGTGGGGATGAAAGACAAATTAGAAAAATCACTTTGCTTCAACAAACATTATTTGTGTGGACTATGGAGATGTGGGCTCAGCAAGATGACAACAGCTTTATCATGTTCTCCAGGAGGTCACTATATAGTGGGAAAGAGGTGAGGGTCTCAGAATTGCAGGACAAGTCCAACAACAGGTACCAGCATGAGACATGGCAATCTGACTGATCATCCACATAAGAAGAGATTGGGAGGCCAACTGAACCCAATCTGACAGCCTCTCCCTGGCAGGTTGGGCAAGGAGGTGAGCTCTGTAGTTAATATCCAGTTCCACTTCTCATGCCCCTCTTGGTCCTGTGGACCCTCAGCCCAGCACCTCCAAGAGGATGTTCTGGGAGGATGAGGTTGCATCTCACCATCTCCCTGGTCCTGTGGACCCTCAGCCCGGCACCTCCAAGAGGATGTTCTGGGAGGATGAGGTTGCATCTCACCATCTCCCTGGTCCTGTGGACCCTCAGCCCGGCATCTCCAAGAGGATGTTCTGGGAGGATGAGTTTGCATCCCACCATCTCCCTGTGGGTATTCTCCACATCAGTTTCCTCTGATGGTTCAATTGTCAACGGGTGGTCCAGCCGTGTCATCTTTCAGAAGTTGACTGAAGTTCTATACTGGCTGACAGTCAATCCCTCCTCCTTCCCTTTTGGGACAATTTTGGTTTACGGATTTTTTTTTTTTTGAGTGTGAGTTCAATAGTTCTTAAGGCAGAGGAGAGGTAAGAGGGTTCGTCCAGCCTGTCATATGTTTGCATTGCTCATTTCACCCTCACTCCATCCTGGAAAGGCAGGTAATATTATTAATCTAATTTAAAAGATAAGTGTGCCTCTGTGAGTTAGGAAGCTTGCCAAGGCGGCACAGCTGTAAAAGGCAGAGCCAGGCTGGATCCCCCAGCAGCCCCCACTGTGCTTCCTTGTGCAAAGTGGGCTAAGGCCAGGGGGTGTGCAGCAGGGTGCAGCCAGTGTGAGCTCAAGGAGGTTGGTGTGGTTGGTGGGCCTCTAGAAGAACTTTGCAGGGTGAAAGTGTGTCTTAAAGCAGTGGTTCCCATACTTTGCTGAATATTAGAGCTTTTAAAAATCCCCATGCATAGCGACATGCCAGGCCAATTAAATGCGAATTTCTGGCGGCGGGATTCAGACATCCAACATTTCTAAAGCTCCCCAAGTGATTCCACTGCAGCCAGGGTAAAATGCAGATTCAGATTCAGTAGCTGTGAGCTGGGACCTGAGAGTCCACATTTCTTTCTCTCCTTTTTTTTTTTTTTTTCCTGAGAAGGAGTCTGGCTCTGTCACCCAGGCTGGAGTACAGTGGCGTGATCTCGGCTCACCGCAACCTCCACCTCCTGGGTTGGAGCGTTTCTCCTGCCTCAGCCTCCCGAGTAGCTGGGATTACAGGCTCCTGACACCACACCTAGCAAATTTTTGTATTTTTCATGGAGACAGGGTTTTGCCATGTTGGCCAGGCTGGTCTCGAACTCCTGACCTGAGGTAATCCAATCTCCTTGGCCTCCCAAAGTGCTGAGATTACAGGCGTGAGCCGCCGTGCCCGGTGGAGTCTACATTTCTAACAGGCTCCAGCGGATGTGGATACAGCCGGCCCCCAGCCCACATGCTGGAGAGTAAAACCTTAGACATGTGCAAGACCCTTTATTTCAGAGTTAATTTTCGGAAAAACAAGCCTGGTTTCCTTGGAGGAGTCCTTGCTGGGAACGAGTCCGTCCTCAGGTGATGCTGCCTTGCCAGGCCACATCCCTGGTATTGCAGCCACTCTGCCAGATCGGTGGCAGTTGGAGCAGCACCTTCTGCCTGCCCCACCGTTCCTGCCAGGCTCAGCTGAAGTTTTGCCCTACAGTTGGGGGAAGTAAGTATCAGACGTGTGTGCGGTAAGGAAAAATCATTTTACGGGGAAATCTACTTTGACTGAGAGTTAACAAAATCAAGTTGGAAGAGGGGCATTTCAGTTGGAAACTAGGGAACATTTTTCCCCGTGGCACTTTATTAGACAGCGGAATGAGTTTCCCGGGCAGTAGCGGCCCCTTGTTTCATTTAAAAAGACCAATATACAAGAGGTGCTGGCAGAGGGATAGATGAAGTGACCTAAGAGGGTTTCTATTGCTCCAGCTTCTGTCGCCAAATGAAACTCAAACAGCTTTTTCATATCTTAAACAGACCTACATAGAGCAACTATGAAAATTCCATCCATTATAAATACCTCTTTTAGCAGCAGTTCAGAAATATGCCTCTTGGGTCCCATTCATCCTCAGTAGATGGGATTTGGATGGCCAGGTGGGAGAGGACTTGTGGCTGGGGAGAAGGAAGGTAAGGTCTCCCCGCCGCATCTCCGGATCCCCGCCCAAGGAAGTGGGCCTGGAGAAGCAGAGGTAGGGCGGGCAATCACTTCTTCAACTTTTCTTACGGTGTTTTACAAAATGATGCTGCCCTACCTCTCACCAAGTAAACAATGCAAAGCAGGTGACCATTTGCAAACAGGTTTTCCAGGGGCAGCTGAATTCCTCACAAGGCTTCGAGTTGATCACATCCATTTTGTGTCTGATGACCCTGGCCACGCGGGAGGAGCAGGCAGGTGTTTTCTGTCTGGCTAATCCGTGGAACAGGCCGCTTGGAGACAGGCGTGTGTGAAATTGCTTTTCACACCGTTAGGGAGCTGGGATGATCTCTCAACAGCGTCACTGCACGTGAACACTGGCTGGAATATTTTCATTTTAGAAAGGATCGGAGCAAAGTTCTCATTTTTCATCAGAGATACACTGGAGTAGGCGGAAGTCTTTCTGTTCCCCTTAACAAGGTGAGTGAAGAATGCAGGAACAGTGCAAGAAACAGATTAGACTTAAGAAGTAAAGCAACTTCCCTGACCGACTCAGATTTATGGCTTTAATTAGGAAGGCCAACCAGGGTCATAGGAAAAGCAGAGGAATGACAGACCTGGGTTCAAATCTCATTTCTACAACTTGTTAATTGTGATATTTGGGGCAAGAACCTCGAACAGACTTCGTCCAGTGGGAACAGTCATACCATCAAAACCAGTTGGAGTTCAGTGTCGCAGAACTTGTAACAAAGCCTGTTTACTCTCTACAAATGAGTCATTATTCCTCACTGACATGGTTTGGATCTGTGTCCTTGCCCAAATCTCAAGTGGAATTGTAATCCCCAGTGTTAAAGTTGGGGCCTGGTGAGAGGCAAGTGGATCATGGGGGTGGA
This sequence comes from Homo sapiens, assembly GCF_000001405.40. NCBI lineage: Eukaryota > Metazoa > Chordata > Mammalia > Primates > Hominidae > Homo > Homo sapiens. The sequence continues at coordinate 7,963,849 of NC_000002.12, read as the reverse complement.
TTTTCCTCTTGGTGCCGTTCTGGTGGTACTGAGTTCTCATGAGATCTGGTTGTTTAAAAGTGTGTGGCCCCTCCCTGCTGTCTCTTGTTCCTGCTCCTCCATGTAAGACACCTGCTCCTGCTTTGCCTTCCACCACGATTGGAAGTTCCCTGAGGCCACCCCAGAAAGAGAAGCCTCTATGCTTCCTGTACAGCCTGCAGAACGATGAGCCAATTAAACTTCTTTATAAAGTACCCACTCTCAGGTATGTCTTTATAGCAGTGTGAGAACAGGTTAATACATTCACTATATGTCCTTTCTTAGCTGAATTCCTAGGGAAAACACCACTGATGAATTATAAAGCTTACCACAAGTTTTGATTCCATGATTAATGCTCATTCTATAGTAGCTGGAGAAATAGCTTAAGATACCAACAAGGCACCCCAAGGTGCCATCAAATTAAGCCTCAGTGAAAATAGTTAAGATGAAGAATAAGAAATATTAGTTATTATCATTTAATCACTTACTATGTAACGTAAGTTCTGAATTAAAGGGTTCTTGGTGGATGTGTTTGTGAAGACAAGGCTGCTTTGATTCTGTGGGAGTTTTAATATTTACATCCATTTCATTATGTAAGATAAAAATCCCTCTAAATTATTACCAAGAAAAATAAATTATGAAGTAATGTATGCAGCAGAAATTCTCACCTCATCCTTGACCTTTAACCTCTGGTTAATGGGGTGAGGGTGGGCCTTTAGGAATGGCCAAGAATGACATGATAATGAGAGACTGGGGCAGGAAACAATTTAAAAACAATTGAATTTACATATAGTTAATGAGTATACATTTTAGAATATCCAAGGAACATCTGTTACTATACTCATGGTATATATACACTGGAAAATTAATTTAAAAATAAATCAGAATGGTTTGTTTTTGGATTTAAAATAGATAAACTTGTCCCAATGCCCACTGTGTTAAACATCCAACAGTCTTTCAGGATGCCATGTGATCCCAGCAGGGCCACAGAGATGATTCACACATGAAATCTACCCTCAGCTCCTTCCAGACCATCGAGGTTAGACGATGGGAGTGTGAGTCCACTGTGATGTTAGACACACAGTGACCAGGGCCGCAGACCGGTTGAGCCCATTTCTGTGGAAGGGAAGAGGAGAACGGCTCATTTAGAACTACAGAGGAAAGCCAAGGTTCAAGGAGAAGAGGCATTTGAACTGTATCTTCATCTTTTATTAGGATTCGAATCCAGAATGAAAAGAAAGGAAATGTTTAGCCTGAGCTAAGGATTGGGGCAAGAGTGTAAGCTGCCAGAAGGGGAAACAGTAGGAACTTGAGTTAGGATGAGTTGTGAACAGGTGTTGGCTTTCAATGCCTAGCTGGAGAGCTAGGCCGTTACTTCCTGGGTCCTGGGGAGCAGGTGAAGTACAGGAGGGTAAGGACGGTGTTGACAGAAATCTGAGTCTGTTAGCATTTAGTGGGGCACAATGGAACGTCCTGCAGCAGGGAGGCTGGGAGAAGTATTGTGACTGTCCCCATGGAGTAACAGCTCTCTACCCTGACTCAGACAACAGATGCTGAATAACAAGGGTAGTGGGTAGGCTTCTTAGACCTGCTAGAACCAGATCCTGTTATTGGTATGGATCATTCAGCACATGCAGAGCCAGTCCTAGAAAGGGCCTCAGATAGTTCTCCACATTGAAAGGGACACATTTTACCCCCTGAAACTGAACAGGCCATGCTTTCTGTAACAGCGTCATCAAAAAGATATTCGGTAAAAAATGCACTCAGCAGGTTTAGATGCATTTGTCAAGTCTGGAGTTTTTCAGGTGCAATACAATCTAAGAATAAAAGCAGGATCAACAAATCCAATAAGAATGCTTCTTTAAGGTCTCAGGAGGTGAATGATGAGACTAGGTTTGAGTCTTCAGGAAATTCAGAAAACAGAAAGAAGGAGACTAGTGATTATCAATCTACCTACACATCAGTGCATTGAATATATTATCTCTAATCTTCATAAAAATGCAAAATCAATTATGACTCATTCTACAGTTGTGGAAATTGTAGTTTAGAGTAAACAATTAGTCAAAGGCCACAGGACTCACAAATGTTGAAACTGAAGCTTGACTTTTGGTCAGACTGACTCTTAAAAATCTCTCCACTGGAACCCCTTATTTCAAGGAGATTAGAATGTTCCTCAACTTCTGTTTATGGAGATCATTAGGACACGCAAAAATATAAAATTCATGACAGTGCAGTCTACACAAGAGCATTGAGGGTAGTATTTGAAATAAAGTTCTGCGATTTTAAAATTCCTTCTTTCCATGTTTCTCCCCTGCTCCTACTAGCAGTGTTCTTATTAGAGAAAGTCAGAGAGAAAAGCATTAGTCATAGCTTAGTTTTGCATTTCAAAATTTAGCTGTGATTATCAGGAGCCAAAATTTGGAGAAATTAGCATCCAGTTTATCTCCAAATTACAGGATTTCATAGACCGTGAGCCGAACTGGTCCCCTTTGTCTTCTATATACCAATTCTATCCCAGGGAAGGGAAATCAAAAGTCTTCATGGATTAGTTGTACATGTAAGATTTGTTCCAAAGAGTTGGAGAGAAGCAAGTGTTAGATGTGGGTGTGGGTTTCCTGATCCCAATGCTAACTTCCAACTCTTCCTAGAAAGGGAGAAGTTGGAGAAGTTAGGGATAGAAACTTCCTTAATGTGAAGAAGTCCAAAAGCCAGAGAACTTATGCTGGCTTTTTTAAGCACCTAGCCTAGAGATTATTAGGGACTACTTGAAATCTTGTTGAGATTAACATCTGCCTTCCCTTTCTCTTAATGCTAGGAGAAATATTTTGATTTCACAGAAACCTCTAAATGGATACAATGAGAAATAAGAGAATAGGGCTGGGGGTTTCAGGTAGCTCTTCACAAAGTCTAATTGTTGGTCAGGTACATTTTCTGGGAGGAAGAAACATTTGCATGTGGTGTAAATAAAATTGTCCTAGCCCACCTGGGTTATTAGATTTCTTAGATTTCTTTTTTTGTTTCTTTTTTTTCTTTTTTTCTTTTTTTTAAATTGAGATAGAATCTCACACTGTCGCCCTGGCTGGAGTGCAATGGTGTGATCTCGGCTCACTGCAACCTCCTCCTCCTGGGTTCAAGGGATTCTCCTGCCTCAGCCTCCCAAGTAGCTGGGATTACAGGCACCTGCCACCATACCCAATTAATTTTTTTTTGTATTTTTAGTAGAGATGGGGTTTCCCCACATTGGCCAGGCTGGTCTCGAACTCCTGACCTCGTGATTCACCTGCCTCGACCTCTCAAAGTGCTGGGATTACAGGGGTGAGCCACCGCTCCTGGCCAGTTATTAGATTTCTTAGACAAACAATCTTGACTTCTCTGGGTCTCAGGTGACTTACCCATGTGCTACTGGGCAGCTACGTGAAGATAGGAGTCTTGTTCCAAGTTTTGTCTGAAGTTATTTCCCTATCTAGGATCCTGTGAGAAGGGTCTAAAAGAAATATGAATATGTACCAGAGTGGAGAGTGAGTATCCCTCTGTTATGGTTCTGTTTTTCAGTTTACCTGAAGGGAGAATGGTAAGGTCAATCAAGGGATGGGGATGGTCGAGGGAAAACCTGCATGGTAGTTCCCTAAAAAACTCCGCATCCTTCAGTAGCATCCTCCCTCACCTGGGGCAGCGGGCTGTAACCACGGACCTTAACAGATCCACCTTGAGCCCCAGGCCTGTCTTCTCACGCCTTGAGTCTCTCCCCTGCTTTGAATGGCCTCCATGTCCATCTCTTTTCTGCCCCAAGGCCTCCCCCGGCTGCTTTCTTTCCTCCTTCCCCCAGGCCTCACACATTGCTGGATGGTCACTTCCCAGTGTGTCCAAGGTCCCGGCTCTGGTCATCCTCGTTCAGCCTTCACAGTGAGGCCCAGGGCCTGGTTCCAACCAAAGTGGCAGGTTCTCATCTTGTTGAAAGGAGCGTCAGAAATTTAGCTCCAAAGGATGGAGACGAAATTTGGATTTCTATAGTCCAGATATTAGAATGACTTTGTGATTACCTCAGGGAGGTTGTTGGACCTGACTGGAAACAGTTGTTTCTCGCCTCATCATGAGCTACTCCCCTTGCTAAATCCTCAATGGCAGACCTTCTTCTGGTTCAGTCCCAGGCTGCGTGCCCTGCGTGTGGGCTCTCATGCTGCCTGACACTTAACGTTCTGCCCAACCTGCTGTTCCTTGTGAGGTCAAACGTGATTATTTCAGTGCAGGCAGTGCTGAAATTCCTCTTTGAAATTCCTGATCCTCATCACATGATCACTGAATGCAGAGCTCCTGTGAGTCTACCCACAGAGGACGTCAGGGGAAGCCAGCACCTTCTCCTGTGCGAGACAGCACTGACCTGTGATGGGTGGGGGGAGAAGGAGGGCATGTGAGCAAACGTGCACAGCAGAGCTCCAGGATCCTTTGAGAAAGCAGGACTCGAAAGCCCAACCTTACTCCCAAGGCTCAGTTATTAAAACTTAACTGACTGTCTTAGCATGGTGCTTGGTACAGTGAAAGTCAGCCCAGAGTGGCTCTGACCAAGGCTTCCTGGAAGAAGAGTCTGATGAGCCTCCCGAAATAAAAGCATCATGGGATATAGAGAGACAACCAGTGGGCCAATCCCACGGAGAATCTGCCATTACAAGGACAATGTAGATTGCCATCTAGGAGGAGGTAAGTGCCCAAACCTTCTCAGAAGCAGCTCTCCTGGGAGCCCAGGCTGGTGTTGGTGTGGTATGCATGTGGAGGTAGCTTCTGTGGGCAAGATTGTTCTCTGTCTCTACTTGAAGAGAACCACAGTGTCTGGTCCCATAAAGTATGGCTTAGAGCAGGAGTTTGGGGTTCAGATGCATCCACCCCCTGATGCCTTGGAAGGAACTGGCTTTGGAGGTCAGGACGATTCCTCTACTGCACGGGGTGTTTCTGGTTTCCAGCCCCAACAATGAGATGGGAGCTTCCAGAGCGAACTTTGAACACTAAAAATCACCCACGAGCTTCTGGAGATTTTGCTAGGAAAGGTGGCCCTGCAGAAGCGGCGCTGCGTCCTAGAGTCTCACGGTATTTGATAACAATGTTCAAAGTGGCTGTGATTTATTTCCATGCTGGTTTGGAGCCAGCAGGACACATTGTTTACACGCACGTTGTTCTTGAGCTTCTGAAGTATCTTCAGGGACAGCCTCATTGCTCTCCCGTGCAGAGGAGGCCTGCAAACACGGGGACTAAGCCATTATCATTTTCCCACCTCTGCATTCTAGAACATATCTGATGATCAGAAACACAAATTTCATTCTGCTTGCTCCATAAACACCTGCCTGTTAACTTTTTCCTTCTGGCATCTTTGGAAAAAGCTCATCTGAGATCATCTACACTTTGCCCCTTGATGTCCCAGGCTTTCAGAGACCACCTGGATTTTCTGTATATCATGTTCTATTCACATGATTATCAGTGTACATCTCAGATAATCTGCCTTAATTTTAATTTTAACATCCCACAACTTTCTGTGTGCAATCTGTAATCAATGTGGTACCTCTCTGAGACCTTTGTGCTAAAGTACATTTGCAGGTGTTATTCGACCAAGAGGTTATATACATTTACATGATATATTTTACTGTATATGTTCACATATATATGATATTTGTGTTTTTTATTGTAAAGATTTCGAACATGCCTATTAAACATAGACACCATAGATCTTCATTTCAGAAATATCATCTTTGGCCTAAAAGTAAAAATTTAAGGTATACTGATTTAAAGAACATAGTTCTTTTTATATGTAGTGGCTTTGAATATATCATATTTAGTGGATTGGGTGATAATGATCAAATTTTTAAAATAGGGAAACTGAGGCCTAAAGCAATGAAGGGACTGGGTCAACGTCATATCCCTAAAGCAGTACAGAGCCCGAATTTGAATCCAGCTCTCAGATTTCTTCATTAGACTCTTTCCAAGAAATAACACTTCTAACCTAATAAGTGAACATTTAGGTGGTAGGCAGCACTTCCCAGTTTACTTGGCGTTCCTGAAATCCTCCTTTAAGCTTAACAACAAAGTGAACAGTGCTGTTCTTAATCCCGACAAGGAGGAACTTTTTGCTGAGGGCCACACAGCCAGGAACCAGGACAGCCAAGACTAGCGTCCATTTATTTTGACCACATGCACTTTGGTTTGGTTTGATGTTTGTTTATTGCTTTTTTCTTTGTTATTTTCCTCACTGTCTCTCTCTTCCCTCCTCATGCCCTTCCTCTCTCGGAGGTCACTTGTTTACCTCATCCCAGTATCCTCCAGAAAATGAGGAGGAGATACACGTTTTCCCACTCCATGTCCACAGGAGGATCTTTTTCCAATAGCATAATAATTATGACTTAATTCTTTCTTCCCCAATTGTAAAAGTAATATGTGCTCATTTTGTAGGAAATTTAGAAAATACCAAAAAGTCTAAAGAAGAAAATACAAATCCCATTATCTCATCATCCCCAAATAACCACTAGTAATCTCTATACATTCGCTTATTTATATATGTCCGTGTCTCTTGTCATCTGTTTCTATCTATCTAGCCATCCTATCCTCTATTTACGTATCTTTTATTCATGTTTCTACATCTCCATAATTGTTTTTACAAATCTCAGATCATAATAAATATGTGTTTTATTCATAAATGTGTAACGAATAGTGGCCTGTGTAAAAAATAGTTTTCAGAATAGCTACTGATATGATTTACTCAATCAATTCTTTTGTTGGCTGTGTCTGTTGTGTCCATTTTTTTTCCTTCTGTGATAAATAACATTGCAATGAACAACCTTACAAGATGCCCTTTCTACTCCCTCAAGACTCAGGTATCTTCTCAGGTGGCTTATGAGTTAGCTTTTCTTTCTAACACAGGGGAAGTATGTGTGGTGCTGGGGCCTCGGTGAGGGCTTCAAGGGCAGCGTTGGCGGCAGAGAGACCATTGGATGCTCTGCGGCCCACAGCTTTGCTGGTTTTGATGAGCTCTTGCCCCATCAACTTCCTAAAAGCAGTTACCAAAGTCCCTGTTAGAATACCAAATGGGCAAGGACTTGGTGTTAGGGAATGAGTTCCTCTGCTTTTGACTCCAGTTAGATAAAAGGGCAGGTTCTGATTCCCCCGGGGGCATAAGCGTCAGAAGCTGAAAGCTGGAGACCAGAATCCAGAGCCTTTTGGACAGTATCGATTCACCCTTGGGAAGGCAATATAACTGATACTTCAAGTTTATTTATTGTGTGCTTAGCCTAGTGTGATAAGTCTTGTTTCCTCATTCAACAAATATTTCTAAGTACCTGCCTCTGCGAGGCATCCTGCTGGTTGCCTGATATTGTACTAAGCCCTCCCTGACTTTCGTTATGTCCTCTATCATTCACAGCAATTCTGACAGAGAAGTTCTCTAACACTCAGTGTTTTCAGGGTAAGAAAACAGAGGCTTAGCAATGTCAAGGAATGTGCTCCCCTGATGACACAGCTCATAAGGAGTAAAGCTGGGATATGAACCAGGCTTATCTTCCTAGAGGCTTCTCAAGTTAGCACTGTTCATTTTGGGCTGGATGATTCTTTGGGGGGTGTGTGCATGTGTGTGTGTGTGTGTGTGTGTGTATGCGTGAGAGAGAGAGAGAGAGATAAAAAGAGAGAGAGGGAGCTGCTCTGTGCCTTGTAGGGTATGTAACAGTCTTCTTGGCCTCTACTCACTGGATATCTGCAGGAGCTTGTCCCCGTCCCCGGTTGTGACAACCAAAAACATCCCTGGGGGCTGAACCACCCCAGTTGAGAACCACTGGTCCAACTCTTTATCCCTGCTTTAACCACCATGCAGTGTTTCATCTCATGGGCAAACAAATTTTATCTAATACATGCAGTTTGGTAGAAAATAGTTTCTTGTTGTCTTCCTGGGAGGAGGAGTGGCAGAAGGTGGAAACATGTTTACTGGCCTACCTTACCCACAGCAGGGAAGGCAGTTTTTCTTCTCAGTGTGGGTAATTTCATTCCATTTTTCAGAGAAAGCACTTTTTTTTTCTCCCATCAAGTAACATGCTCATCAAAATAAGAATCTTTTTATTAACATTCTGATCATCAGATAATGTATGCGTGCCCATCTCTACGCAACAGATTTCTCCCTTTTCCTTTCCCAAGCTGCCTCCGTGTTTCCCAATCACTTCCTACCTGGCACTAGGGGAAGACAGCAGTGTGTGAAAATGCCGACTCTTACTTCCAAGTTAGTGTGAAGAAGAAGGAAAGTTTACAAGAGTTGAAAAAGTCAATCCCTGAAATTAAATGGCAATTGCTTCTCCTTAGTTGTCCAGAGAAGAACCAGAAGTTGCCAAGATTTCTGTCCAAATTGGTCATTAAGGAGGTCTGATGCCACTCGAATATTACCACCAGAAACTGCAAATTTCATTGCTACGTGGGCCTGAAAGCCCCTGTTCTGCATTCAAATATAGCTGCAAGCAGCTGTGATAGAAAATTGGTCATTTACCAGTGCTTAATGACTAATGCCCTACCCAATCTGAATTACCAAGATTTATGACAGAATTGCATTGTGCGGCTGAACTCTCTGCTGTTCTCAAAGAAATCATAAGCATCCGACGTGAGGGAGAGATAGTGTTGTCTGCGCCTGATGGTCGAGGACAAGCATTTACTCTCTACCTTAGAGGGACAGGGCCTGGGCAACCTTCCATCTCCTGACCCGTTTTAGAATGAAGCTGCACATCTCCAGTATTGACCCAAGCAATCATTCCTGAGGGTCATCCTAAACAACCCTGGTTGAAAGGTATCTATGGTCAACTCCAACTTGAGCTTGCCAAGGCAAAGAGATTCACTTTCCTTATTCAGGCCAGATTCCAGCTCATTTCCAGCCACCATCATCATCAGCATCTTCATCTTCCATAAATGAAAGACATATTTTTAAAGGATAATAGTCTTTTAAACATGTAGACCTGAATGTTTTATTGATTCACTTGTATGTCTCTTTATCTACTCTTTTAATCATCCACTGACATAGTCACTTAGTCTTTATTCCTTATTCGTCAATGAATACGTTCCCCACACTGAATTAGGCTCTGCAGAAGCAGAGATAAGAAAGAGACATTGCCTTCGCATCGCTCAGGGACTGCTGAGAAAATCAGCATGAGCCAGGTGGGCTGCAGTGCATTGTGTGAGGAGCTGATGTGAAGGCGTGTGTGGCCCTCCCTGAACAGTGGGGTTGGGACGGTGGCAGTGTTTTATGGCAACACTGGTGGAAACACTCTTTGGCACCAGAAAATTGAGCTATGTTATTTAACTCATGGTAACAGACCTGTGAAGGACATTTTCTTATCTCAATTTTACTGAGGAGGAAGGTGAGGCTCAAAGTCTACATGCCACCTACTAGTGGTAGAGCTATGGTCAAACCTAGACTTGGCTGCAAGCCAAGGACAGTCCAGCTCACTGTAACTCTGGATGAATGGGGAGGGGTAGAAATTCAACACAGAGTTCCCCAAATCAGAGACTCGTATTCCTTTTGCTTCGTAATCTCACTTTAATGAGCCAAGCATCCATGCCATCATCTAGTAACAATTTTCAATATGCACATTATATTATACTGGAAACAAAGAATACGGATTGTGTAGGGAAGAGCATAGAGGACCACCATCAGCAACCCTCTTGATTCCCTTCTCTACCCAGGACTGACTTCTGCTCGCAGTGCATTCTGTGTTCTTTTAGGTCTTTTTTGTGCACTTACAAAACAGACATGAATATACTTATATATACACACTTCACCTATGTCTTCTTTAATCACACAATGACCTTTGGGGGCTTATAAATGGACAGACAAGGCAATGTTTCTCTCCATTTTTTAAACCAACTTAACTTTCCCACATGGCCGAAAATTATTTCTATATTTCTAGGGCAAAAGCTTCCTCCATCAAAACAGCAGGAGACTATCCTAACCTGAGGGCATGGCCAGGGTGAGCTGTGAGTGAGGGGAGGCCACATTGTTGCCCCATGAGACAGGTTCATCCATCTTGAGCTCACATCTCCTGGGAGCAAAGGACGCCCCCTGTGCAAGTGTCTGCTCTTGTGGAATCGGTGAATAATGAATGCAATGCTTCTTTTTGATGCCACACACCCCCGAGCCAGGTGGCAAGCTCATGACAGGCAGTTTTTTGCTCCTGGAATGCTCTGGTCCCAAGCCACAGGAGGTGGTCCACTGGGGGACCTGCACCTGTCAGATTTCAGGCATTGTCATTGATTAGACCACTCCTCCAGGCTGGCTGGAGCCATACGTGCATCTCAGAGAGAAATGGACAAAGGCTTCCCAGAACAGATGTTGCTGCTGGAAGCGAGGAAATTTCCCTCACTGCCTAGCGCTGCTGGGGCCCAGCTGGGCACAAGAGCCAGGCTTCAGCTACACACACACCCTGGGCTCCAGGCCCCTTGCAGGTAGCCAGACGTGCAGAGGCTGACAGATAAAAGGCTGCTCTCCAGATGTCCCCTGCCGAGGGTGAGGTGGCCTGTCCAGAAATGTCGTGTTTGGCAGCTGCTGAAAGCCCCCTCTCCCTGCTGTTGGCTCATAGCTCCTGCATGGATAGGAGAGAGGCTAGCATTAAAGTCTAAAGAGACAGCATTAAAGAGAATTTAAAGGGAATTTTTGCCCTCACTCATATAGATACAAAACTGATAATGGGATGCACCTTCTTGGTATCTCATTAATGACATTTTATAACATAATGAGAGCCACAGGATTCTGCTAACCTGTACTTCTGATAATGCCACCCATCCATGGCTTCCCAGCGATGCCAAGACAGAATTCAACTTGTTCAGATGGCTTCAGCTTCAAGATGGACAATTCCACACACCCTCAGCTCACATGTGTAAATAGAACGTGGTTTTTTGATTTTTCTGTCACTTCCAGAACCTACTTTATGAGTGCTCACCCTTCTGGGCAGCAGAAAAATATGGAGTTCCCAGATGAGGAGTTTGTAGCCTCTTTTAGTTCGAATGCATACTTTTACTTTGAATATTGACTATGAACAAAATTCAGCTGTTTCTCATGATTTCAGTGGCTGTTTTTAGCTATTGTAGTATCTTGTAAATGCTAAGTGACTGTGCATCCCCGGGGTCACCCACCCACACCGTGGTGGCGTTGTCTGTGTAACGTCCCTATTGGCTGCATGGATAACTTAGCTTGTTGCCTCTGCATTGCCACATCTGGGAAGTGGTGACCTGGGAAGAGATGGATAAATAAACAAAAGAAGAAATGAAAGCGCTGTTGTGAGCCAGGGATTTGTGGCAGCGAGGGGTCGCTGGGCTGTGTGAGTGGCTTGACTTCAGTGGAGGTTCATCAGGAGGGGTGCCAAGGAAATGAGGATCCCAGGCTCTCGCTGGGGTTAGAGCCCAAAGACCTTGAACAACTGCATTCTTGACATTTTGATATCATTTTTTCCTTCTTGTTTTCTTTTTTTCCCCCCATTTTTTGTTTGTTCCTAGAAACGTGGCCAGGAAGTATGCAGTCACTGTTAGCTACCTCACCCCACCAGGGCTGAGCCTCACAGGGCTCTCAGCCACAGCAGTGGAGGCTCCTCTGAGAAGCCTGTGCAGGGCTGAAATCTGGCGGGGAGCAGGGAAGGGGTGGGAGGTGTGGGCCGAGGTCGTGATTTCGCAGTGCACGGAGTTGGAAAGTTCAGGACTCTCATCTCCTGCTTTGTGAATCCGCACAGCTGACTTTGACCAAGGTCCACCTAGACAATTGTTTCTGCAAAATGTAATTTGGAATAATAAGTTCGGTGTCCACTATTTCCATGGCAATGGGCAACAGGAAGGAGGCTGGGCTGCCTTCTCCTTACTACATTATCCCTTGTTGTCATAATGCTTTTCTTAATAAAATACGCTCACATCAACTTGATAAGAAAGAAAAACTTCAATCCAGGGTTATTTGTCCCTGCAGTTTTCTCTGAAATTAAATAAATAAACATACTAATAGCCAACATTTGCTTTATGTTATTCGCTCTCCTAAGTACCTTACATTCATTCATTTGCTTAATTTCCATAACAACCCTATGAGATAGACCTTCTTATTGTGCCATTTACAGAGGACACAGAGGCACAGAGAGGTTAAGCTACTTTCCTGAGGTCACACAGCTAATAAATGGCAAAATCATGCTTCCAACCTGTTGTTCTGGCTCAGAGTCCATGCTCCTAACAGCTTTGCTATATTGTCTTTCAAGAGAAAATGGAGTTGTGCCATTTCCAGGACAGTGACCATGATGGCAGGTGGCTTTGCTGGCAGTGAGCTGAAGGAGGAACAGGGTGGCCCTCTCTCCCTGCCCTGGGAGGGAAGTAGCTCCACCTTGCAGGATTTGCAGGAAACCTGGAGGCTCTTGGAAGCAGCCCCTAGGAGAAGCTTTATAAACTGACTTTCACCAGTCCCATGAAGGCCTGGCTTCCCTAAAAACAGCTCCAGAGAAGGCTTCCTTGTCTTTTTGGGCACAAGCCACTGCTGGTGACCAGGAAGGATGCTCTACAGTGGGACAGAGGCCATGCCACTCAGGTTAGCTCAACCAGAGTCAACTCTGAAGTGTGAACAAAGGCACATGTGGTACAGGCCACACGGCGGGGGCTGGGCCCGCTGCGCCAGCAGAGCTGGGCTTCCTGTGAATGGTGTCCACCTGCTCACAGGCCCTGTGGCTCCCTGAGGGCATCTGTTCTGTCCAGCTATGGCACCCCCTGCTATAATAAGAGGTCTAAACAGAGAGCAGTCAGCATTCCTGATGGGCACAGCACCCACATGTATACAAAGACGTGCCTGTGTATTCCACTACCTCTCACATACATGGAGAAAAGGGTAAGGAACACAGTATGTGTTCAGTTCCACCCTTACCAGGTGTCACATGGCCCGGGAGATGCTCTCACATAAGTGGCCACGTTCGTTCTCATCACCGCCCTGGGAGGTGGCGTCCTCAGCTTCATTGCCTCCAAGAAAGGATCTTCAAGACCTAGGATTGCCTCTGAGTTACCCAGCTGATAGATATGGGAAACAGGGTAAGATTTCAGGTACCAGAGACCCCAAAGCCCTGGCTTCTCCCCACTATCATATTGATGTCCTGGGAACCTTGAGGAACCCCTGAGTACAGAGGGTGATTTAGAGAGGTTTTACCTTCCTCTTTCAGTGGGACATCAGAGCTCCCCAAAGCAGAACAATAAGGCTGATAAGGCTCCTTCTCCCGTGGGGAGGGAAAAAAAAAGAAACTTGATTTCCACTGGGCCTATTAATTTTCCACCTCTGCTTTATAGAGAAATATGACACAATGGGAGAAAAATTTAAAAGAAAATAAGTGCTCACACCCTCTGTGGCTGACTCAAAAATGTCTCCGAGTGCCCTGTATTTATAGCTGGAAAGAGCGGAGAGGAGCAGCTGCTCGCTGTTATTTCGAAGAACTTCAGGCTTCCGACCAAAATAGTCTCTGAACTTTTGAAACTCATTCTAATAGTCTCAAGGAGGAGTGAACCAATATCCTAGAATTTGAGAAGATATTTTTAGTCTTGAAATGAACGGTGCCCTTCCCTCCCTCCATCACTCTTTCTCACGCTGCCGGTTGAGCTATGTGCTTTACCAAGGGCGGGGCGGTGGGTGGCGGCACACAGAGGGCTGGTGCCCAGGGAAATTGGATTAGGGCTCCATTAAGTAGAAAAAAAAAAGAGAGAGAAAGAAAAGAAGACCTCAAAATACGTACAAATTAAAAAATGTTCCATTGAGTCAAGAAATAATTTAAAATTTGTTCATCAAACTAAAAAAATATATAAGAAGGCTGTTTTTAAGCTTAATAAAAGTGCTTATTAAAATAGATTTGCAGATGCTATGGCCCATATGCATCGTGCATATCTGTGTTCCCTATATGCATATATTAAGCTCAGCATGTTCTATGCCATATGCATCTATTCTTTCCTTTAATAAGGCAGTCCTGGTGATAGATGAGGATGAATCGCAGATCATCGAGCCCATTGAGTGCCATCCTCAACCTGAAAGCTTCGTTCTTCCCCTCTTCTTAACCCTGACACGGACCCCATCAGCAAGTGCTGCGGTTCTACATGTAAACTCGATTTCAGGTCTCTCCTTATGTCCTTCCCTGCACTGCTGTGTCTGGTCCAGGCCACCTTTGGCTCCTGCCTGGGTCGCTGCAGCCATTTCCAACTAATCTCATCTCTTCCACTCTTGATTCCCCCAAACCAGTAACTGTGGTGGAGCTGGAGTTCCTTTGAGGATCAAAGTCCTGATTTTGGTGAAGACATCATCATCGTCCCTTGAGAACAGTTTTTCTTCCATTGCATTAGCCTTGGTGGGGCTATATGTTGAGGATCCACCCCTGACCCCACACTTCTGCCAAGGGGTTTGTGTGTGATCCAAGCTAAGCACTCAGATGCTGACTCCCAAATTGGAATCTTGAGCAAGTATGACAAGAATTGGGACTATTGGAGGCTGAGGATCAGCTCCTTCCTGCTGTTGAGATGCTTGGAGAGCCTTTCTAAGAGCAAGTTTTTCAGAGGTTTTATCCTTTCAGATTTCTTCATTTAGCCAGAATTAAATCCTTTTGTTTTTAATCAGAAATACTTAACCAATCCAGCAGTCTATTGAGAATGTAGTGGGGAGACATTATTTTTCTGCTTATGAGTTCAGTGGTGTCCCAGTGTGCTAAGAATAAAATCCAAGCATTGCAGGGTGCTGGACAATCTGGCCCTGTCTATGTATCCAATGTGAGATTTGATGAACACCTAGTAGGCTCATTTTATAGAACAGGAAGGAAATTGAGGCTCAGCTGGGTTAAATAATTTGCACTAAATAACAAAATTATAAGCAATGAAGCAGAGACTGAAATCTTTCTGACTACATAAATCTTTGCTCTTTCCTTCATTTCATAGGATGTATGGTTTCTTTTCTCACTAACTTATTCCCTACAATCAGAGCACAGAAACCCATATACACAATTTTTCTTATGGCAAGATCATTTTCAGAGACCCTGGAAGAGTGTGTATATCTTTCTTCCATCCAACTCAGTGGGTGTCAAATGACCCCAAACTCCAAATTCCTTGAAAGTTTACCTTAATATCAAGTTAATTGTTTAGTTTGTGTAACATCTTTGAAGATGCTGTGCAAGTCTTTTTAATTACATGGAAAATTATGTTTGCAACAGAGCAATTAGGGAGGAATTAGTTCAATATGGTAGCATTTGGGGGCATGTAATAGGCATGGCGGGATCTTGTTGTAGATCATCAAATATTTGTCCCTTTGGGTGAAAGGGCATTGTGAAATTCTCCCACATTTGTAATCCCTAGTTTTCCTTTCTCTGTTACATTATTTGCATAAAATGGAAAGAAGACTTTACAGGAACCAGGGCTGAGAACAAAATGGGCCATGTCTCACTCTTTTAGCTCCTGCCAAATAATCTGTAAATTATAGTCCATTGCCGTTTTTTCATTAATTGCACATATTCTTTTTCATTTGGCTGCAAATTCCATCACTTTGGCCAAAAATGTGTACTTCTGTGACAGCACAAAGTAAGCACTTTGAAAGGACAGGCAGTTCAGAAAGAGTAAGTAATTATACCAAGAAAACCAAATGCAAGAGGACAATAAAGCCCCAAGATTGAAATGAGAGAAAAAGATAAAATAAAATGAAGTCACCTTATCATGTTTTATGTGAATAGATTGATAAATGGTGCAAGCATGAAAGGCCAGATGTGCTGGCTAGCTCTTCTTCCCCCTCATTCCGTCACGTGTCCATGTCTGAGTGGTCGGATTCTTTCCTTTCATCCTCCTTTCCAGATGCAATGGAGGCATCCAGACTTGAGGATGCAGGATTCAATTCACCCCTGGTAAACACTGGACTCACCAGGGATAAGTCTTGAGTGCCAGAGGTATCACTGACTCCGTGCCTTCTACATGTGAAACACCTCACTCTGCATTTACTGCTCTCAGTAGCACTGTGTCATATGCATCATTGTGCCCATCATGTTTTTCAGAAGAGAAAACTAAGAATTAGTAACTCCAGTGGATTTTCCCAAGAACTCACTGGGCAATTTGGTAGGATCAGGTGTAGACCCTGGCCTGTGTGACTCCAGGGCTGGGCAGACACACGTGCTGGAATTCCTAATGTCATCCATTTGTCTTCCTTCATTGGAAACCTTGAGAGACTGCTGGACGGGATGGGGAAGTGCCTCAGCACACTCTTCCAAAGCTGCCTTTGGATTTATGTTTCAGATCCACCTATTAAAGTCCTTGGGTTTATTTGCAAGGGCGGGGGGCCAAGTATGGTGGAGCTACTGTCTTTATTGTGCTGTACTGTCCAAATGTACAAACTCTACATTGGAAGGGGGAATTTCACTATACATAAATTATATCTTAATTATAAAAATAGAAACAAGTATCTCATAATTTCTATGTCTTGAGAAACAAAAACCAGAGATTGTGATGATTGACCTCATGGCTTAGCAGAGTTCGGGCTCCCAACAGGGGAAGGCGAATCATCATTAGAGGGACAGGATCATCAGTTGCTCTGTCTCTCATCCCCTGAGCTGGGTACCTTTGAAAACCCAATCTTATTGGGAAAAAGTCAGACTTAGAGGTGATTAAAAACAAACAAAAATCCTCTGATCTATGATCTTAGTCCATCCTAGAGAGGAGGACTATGTTTGTGTGTTTGTTTTTTTAAACAAACCATTTGCTTATGGTTAGTAGACTGTAAATATTTTGCAGGACATTACTTCCCCATATTTAATCACTTAATTATATGTATTTTAATGGGGATCTAATTTGTAATTTTGAAATAATCAACATCCTGCTGTGTCAGGGCTTTGAGAATAGTGGAACAGTTTCCTTGACATGGTATACGTTCCCAGTGTATTTCAGAGCCCATTCCAGAGCTCGAACAATACCATTAGAGGGAGTGAAGAGCAATTTTTTTTTTGTTTCTACTTAACATCTCACCTGTTTTCAGAATGATCAGAGTAGAGAAAGACCAACAATATCTGTACTTTTCAAGCTTGTTGGATCTTTACAGCTTACAAAAACAGAAAACTTGTGTGGCGGGTGGAAACTTGTACACAAACTTCCAAATGCCCAATGCTAGTAGACCTGCTATCATGAGGGATTTTCCCAGAATTATTTTCTAAGGCAATATTGTTTTGCATCTCACTGGTATTGACCTCTTTGACTATGCCGAGGGCCTTCCCTCCTTAAGACTTTCCCATGCCATGTCAACATGAGTTTGTATAGAAAAATTGAGTTATGGTGAGTATTCTGGGAAAACGGGGCTTACTATGAGCATTAGGCTTTCATGAACACTGGGAGAACGTGGGAGAAAACGTCAGGTGCACTCCAGTTGAAAGATGAGAACAGACACTGGGACCTTAGCCTGAAACGCCAATGGTGGTTGTTTCCACAGGCTTGCCAGGAAACTGCTACAATTTTCAAGAGCGCCTTTGAAAGCTCCCACCAACTGCCGCAGTCTGCATCAGCCAGGCATGTGTACCCACACAGCCCGCCCAGCACCCTGTGTGAAGCCCATCTCCACTTCCAGGTCTGGCTGTGTCCAGCTCTAGAGAGCTGTGGAGTCAGCGCCACTTCTGCTTCAAGATCCATGTAGGTTTCTCTTGTTGGCAAACCGGGAATCTCACGGGAAAAAGGATCCTAAGATACAGCATCATTCCCAGCTTCTGCTCCCACTGTAGAGAGTGGGGAGTGGGGCAGTGCCTTGACAACAGAGCATTATCACACACCTGCTGTTCCTTCCTCTGGGAACACTGTTCCTTCCTCTGGGAACACTGTTCCTTCCTCTGGGAACACTGTTCCTCTCACTCTATCCTTCAGGTCTTACCGTAAGTGTCGTAGACTTGGTGCAGTCTTCCTGGACAACGAAATCTAAAGTTTGAGCTTCCTAATTAATCTTTTGTAATACTCCAATTTTTCCTTCATAGAGCTCATTATGATTCATAGCATGCATTTGTTGGTTTTATTGTTTATTGTCTAGCTTCATCCTAGAAAGTAAGTTTCCATGAGGGTAGGTACCAGATCTACTCAGTTTGCTACTATAGGTCTAATTTCTAGCATAGTACTTAAAAACAAATATATTTTGATTACATTTCTGAATTTTAATTTTTTTCTCAGATATTCGGAATTGTAAATTTTTTCTCAGACATTTCTCAGATTTTCAGATATTCTGAATTTAATTTTTTTCTCAGATATTCTGCCACTCTTTATCATACACAAGGTATATATGCTGATCTAAATAATAAAATAAGAAAAACCATGGAACATCAGTTATTTGCAAGGCAGTCTTCTAGAGTCTTAAGGAGGGGCCTACAGATATTAAACAGAATGAGGTTCATGGCTCTGCTTTTAAATAATTTAGTCTTGAACACATGGGTTCCAACATCACTAAAAATCTCACCTGAAGAGAGCCTTTTACTTGTTTCTACTTAAGTCTGATATGGCCCCTATGTCTCATAAAAAAATACAAGCCTCTTTTATTTATGTAGTTTATGCAGTGGTTTAGAGTAGAGGAGCTTATATTAGCTTTCAAGGTTGTAAACAGGATATATGAGCTGAGAAATTTGGAATTAGTCTGCATAGCCAGGGTTTCTGACCAACACAAATACTATTGCCCCAAAACAGCAGGAAAACTGCTTATGACAAGCAGCCTGTGGCGCCAGTGCTGTGGGACATGAAGCTCTATATTACCATTTCAAACAGTTTCAGACAAGTTTAGGGCAAAAATAAAAGTATGTGAACCTCCTTTGGCTTTGGATGACACAGAAATACTATAACTTCAAGATCTCTATTTTTTTTTCTGTAGGAGGGAGAAGATTCTTTAAAAAAATTGTCTTCATTTAGATGTAGTATTACAGCATCTACCCACCAGGTTAGATGTCTATCTAGTTAAGAGGGGGATTTTAATTAAAGAACATAAAATTTAAATGGTTTGGAAAATGTCAACATGGTTTCCTATTTTGAGCCCAACACAGATGATAGAACAAGAGGGTATAAATGAAAATTAAAGAAAAACAAATTCAGAACAGATGTCAGGAAGTGTTTCTTCTTCTTCTTCTTCTATTTTTTTTTTTTCCGTGCAGAGAATCATGAATATGTGGAATAGCTTACCAGGCAATAGTTAAGGCAAAAAGAGAGAGGTCATTAAATCAACAATTAGATTTCAAAAACAATGCGATGTGGTGAAGCGAATGGTCTTTCTCTTTCCTCACGTTTATATTGTTTCAGGATGAGTGCCATCTCTGGACATCCCTCAAGCCTTCAGTCTGTAGACCCTGCAGAGAGAACTTGCAGATATTGTAATGTCTGTGTTCCTACACTTCAAATGTGAGCTTGTGGGGTGTCATCTTGGAGATTTTCGTGTTGGAAATCTTCCACTCAAACACATGTGCTTCAGGAGAAACACGAAGTGTGAAAATGTTAAGTTCCAAGAAAGCACAGACGTGCGTCTAATGAATAGATTTGGAAATGATGGGTAGACACGGACAAGGATCTCATCTACTGCATTTGCTAAATAATCAGACCTGATCTTAACATTTTAGCTCGTTCTACTCGTGGTTGTCCATGTGGCAAGGAGTCATGAAGTAATAACATATCCTCTGTAGTCGGTGCCTATGAAGGGGTGACAGACATCTGCATGTACAGGATATGCTGTGAATTTAATGAGTTTTGTCTTGTGTCCTATATTGACTTTATCAGGAAGCCCTAAATGTCCCAGACTCAGCCTTTACCAATACATTACAACAACTGGCACATAGAGCTATTTTTCTGCCACGGTAATTGGTGCTTCAGTCATTAACCTAGCTGACAATCATACCTCTACACACAAAAATCTGGACAACCTCTTCTGGTCTTTCCCATAGGGTCAGCTGAGGGAAGACCAAAAGAGGGGACTGAGAAGAATTAAAAGTACATCTTTTCACCCTCAAGAAAGGAAAAGATCACTCTCTGGCCTGAGTCCCAAGGAGTGAACAAGTGCCCAGCGTTAATGAGAGATAACTTCGCATCAGTGCACATGCTCTGAAAATCAGCCAATCCCTGATAGCCTCACTTGTGTTGTGCTTCTGAAAAGGAGCCAGTCAGCAACAGCCTCGCTCCAGTAACTACGCTTCTGAAGATCAGCCAACCGATGACAGCTCCAGCTCCTGAAAGTCAGCCTGTCAGTGACAGCCCCTCACTTACAGACAACAGCCAATCTGCCGGTCTTCACCCCGGTGACAGTGCTTCTGAAAGTCAGCTAACTCCAGTGACCAGGGGCACAGCTGACGTGCTGAGTCCCCCACACTCTCACCTCTGGAACCCACCAGCCTCTCCAGGATGGGCTTCTTCAAACCTCATCCAAGATCAGCTCAGGCTTGATTTGGGAGAGACCGTTCCTCCCTTACAATTTCAACTCTTCCTTGGAGGAAAATGAGAAGTTTTCCTCCATAACAGATATTGAGTGTAATTCATCATTAGCTTACATATTTGCAACCATTGTGACAGTTCATTCAGCCCCTATTCACAGTTCAGACTTGCCAAAGATGGACATTAAGATGCTCAAATTTAATCTTTTCCATTTTTGTGACGGTTGCTATTATCCATTTTTATTTGTGTACTTTTGAGTGCCCAAAATGTTAAAAGGCAAATGTGAATATCACGATAAATTTTATGAGCAGTAGACATTTACCAAACAAGTGTATGTCTTTTTGAAGCTCTTTGTGTAGTATGCAATTGTGCATTCAATACGAAAAATGGTGGAAAGTAAGATATAAGTCAGCAAATACTAATAGCTAAGCATGGGAGATGCATGATATCCTTTATCAGTGCCATAGAAAATAATAATACATTTTTTTGTGTAAGAGAAATTCAAATGAAACTGATATATGAGTGGCAGCAGATCTTGTGATGGCCTTCCACATTGTCTGTCAGTCATCCATCTTTCAGCTTAAACCACTCTGTGTCCTTCTACCATTCAGAAGCACTGTCTAATTCCAAATTTGCAAATTTGCAAATAAATTTTTTAAGTGCCAGGTGAAAATTTACTTGCATAATTTAAAAATGTAATAGTTCCACTAACTATTATAGAGATTATCAAAGATATAAATGCCCCACCTTTTATGGCAACTGCAGGTACAAGTAATCAAAACGCAGATCAAATTTCCCTTTGCTTTTGTAATATTTTTTTTCTCATGTGAAGACCCTTCCAAAGGCGATTTCAGAAACAAAAGCAAATTTTAGGAAACTCATATGTAGGGTTGAAGAAGATGATAAAATCTGATGACAACATGGTTTGTTTGTTTGTTTGTTTGCTTGTTTGTTTTGGCCAGAAAATAATATTTCAAGAAGCTGATCAGGAAATTCAATATAATCCTGAAGTGTGGAAAAAATAAGTTATACCATGAAACATGGTTTGTACTTGAACAAATCAAATTTGAAGAGCAATTCTCAGAGTGCCAATGTTTAGTCAATAAACTTGTCTGTAATGCTAATATTGAGCATAATTTTCAATTAACAAAGAACAGAATAAGTTAGATGTGCAGAAGCTATGTTTTGAGGTAAAGAAACAGAGACTTTAACTGTAAGGAATTGTGTAAGGAAGTTCTGTAAAGCAAGGAACTATTAAGAAGAGCCAAATCACATGTAATAAATATAGTTAAACAAGTATAAAACATAATTATTTCAGATTAGCCACAATTAATGTTTTAGTAGTCATATGTCTCATGCAACAGTTTCTTTTATTTCAGTGTACATATGTACAGGCAATTAGAAATAACTCAAATTTAACTGGGTGTTCTATATTTTTATTTGCTAACTCTGGCAACTCTACCTCACTGATACTTAAGGCCTATAAATGTTACTGATATAAAGGACAAGTTATCTGATTTCTTTTCTCTATTAGCCATGAAAGAACATGTCATACTGCTTCTGACAACCCAATTCAGTGCAAAACATGCACTTTAATGGCTAGAGAAGTGGAGAGGAGGGATGGTTGATTCTTTTGAATTCTAAGCTTTCCTGGTAATGAACGAGTTGACTGGGAGGAAGTTAGTTCTCCTTTCCAAGTTTAGAAATACTACAGTGAAAACAACGTATTTTTAATACTTCACTGCTTAAAACAACAACCACAAAAAATGGCTGTCTGAGCTGTATGGGAAAAGGAAGGAAAGAAGGAAGGAAGGAAGGAAGGAAGGGAGGGAGGGAAGGAGGGAGAGAAGAGAGGGAAAAGAGGCAGCAAAGCTCTGCCTTCTCAGATCTCATATCAAGTTTTTTGTTTGTGTCTTTCTTTTATGTTATTAATTTCAAATACGTAAAGTTACTTAAACTGACATAAGAAACCATACTCTAGTAGATGTAACCAGGTTAATAATTAAATCAGAGTAATTTTAGTAAAATACATCATTTTTAGTTATGAGTATTGAAATGCACTTCAAGCTGCCCATTAAAATATAATATGCTCTTATAGGATTTCAAATGTTTTTCAATCAATATAGTTCTAATAAGTGGGTCTGAAACAATTGTAAATTTCAGCCAGCCCACTTTAATATTGGTTCTGGTATCATACTTTCTTACATAGAGAAGTCCCAACTGATGATTCTAAAATCATAGACTATATTTTATCTTTGGTACCAATAAGCATTTTTTCTTGCCATATGAATATATTCATTATCTGATAATGATGCTAATTTTTGTTTTTATTTGTTGTGGAGGAATGTCAAATTAATGAACCGGTTACCCTTCTCAAAGACTCTCAACACATGTTCCTTACAATTGTCAAAGTCAGAAAAGGTTCTTTAGATGTCACATGCAAACACTTCCTAGATTTCTTTTGTGTATGTGAGATTATCCCCTTGCTTTAACCTGCCCGTCATCTTTGATGACATTGAGCATGAGCTGTTTTCCCTGGATAGAGTAGTTTTCTGTTTATCTTGTAGAGCTTAGGTCTCTATTGGGACCACTAAGGACTTATAATGGCCTGGCTTTCAGGCACAGAGGGACAGACTAAAACATAATTCTGTCAGATAAAAACAAATCCGCATTTAGGTAAGAAAAGATATTTTTCAGAAGGATTTTTGCAATAAGCGGGGAAGAGACTACTGCTGTAGAGAGAATGCTCCAACCATAATATCTACAAGTCAGAAATGAATTTTCTTTTATAGCGGGATGTAAGTAAGGCTAGAAAGAAACAGGTACAGGGGATAGGTGTGAGCAGGTGGCGTGGTGGTTCCAGCGCTTGGGGATGGACCAAATTTAGGGTCCTGTAGGGGAGGAGGGAAGCTTAAATAGTTTGATTAAGGCAAGTTAGCAGGTGTCTTGTCCAGATTGGTCAATGGGTACAAATAATTCAGTTAATCATTTATGGGGCAATGAATGGAATTTGGAGGGTCTATGTCTGGCTGTGTCATAAGCAAATAAATAGGCACCTATGAGTCTTCTCTAAGTCACAGGAGGAGAAGTGCTTCTTTGCAAAAAGCCTTTCCCAGAAGACAAAACGTGAGGAGATTTCTTTACTCTTTCCTGTTTTCTAGTATCACAGGGCTTGGGTAAATCGTCAATCTCATCTTGCAGTAAAATAACTAAGTAATAATTAACCAACTAATCTATACATCCATGTGAGCTAGAATGCAGAAATATAATGTACTTCCTGTAAAAATGAAGCTAAGCTATTTCATGTCCAAGCCTTAGCATACTGACTTGCAGTAAGCTCTAACCTCACTCCCTGGCCCTCCAAGCACACTCTGCACTCTGGCTACATGGACACAATCATAAGACCTTTCTCTACCTCAGGATTTGTCTTCATCCTGTTCTCCATGAACAGCCCTCTCCTATTTCTCTGACTATCCAAATTCCACCCATTCTTCAATATCCAGCTCAAATGCCACTTTTCCCCCTAAATTTTCTTGGTAGCTCATTTTCTCCCTCCTTCCTCAATCAGACCATCTAGCACACTTTTGTATTGAGCACCTACCATGTAGAGGGGCCAATGCTAGTTGGGCTTTCTTTTTATGCTCATTGTTTTACTCGTCATTTGAGTATTACTCACAGTTCATGGTTTATGATTCAACTTTTGTTGTCACATAACCAGTGGCATGCTGGTTAATGTTTAGTAATAGCCTCTGTGGGGCGTGTGTGTGTGTGTGTGTGTGTGTGTGTGTGTGTGTGTGTGTGTCTTCTGATTTGTAGCATTTTCTAATTTCAGTGGTGTAAGCTACTCTAAATTTGGAAAGGAATACGTAGAATTGGTTCTCAGGAGCCTGTATGAGCCAGCCCCAGCATACCACTATACTTGACTGTGTAAACGATGTTTAAATAAGAATGTGAATGCCTTGTTTACCTCACCAGATGACAAGACTCTGTAGGACAGGTAGTAGTTTACCAACTAACAATAGTAATAAGGACACTACTATTTACTGCATGGATATTCATTGAGTAAATGAATGAAAAAATAAGTGAATTGAAACATGTTCAATATAATGTATAATTGATCATGTTTTCCCCAGTGGCTTGCTGAGAGTCTTGCATTCCATAGGTACTGAAGAATATCTGCTCATTTGCTGAATGAGGCACTGCTTTTATGGGGTTAATTTCTGTTCACTGGCTTTAGGCTTCATCATGAAATACATATGTAGCATGATTCTGTTAAAGCAGATAGGTAGCATCTGGATCCACTCCCTTGCCCTTCCGTCTTTCTTGTAGAGGCTACCTGTGTTTGATGTCCTCCATTTTAGCCACTTGCTTCAGGAGAGTGCCCAGTCTCATGTGTGTCGTGATTGGTTCAAGCCCATCACAGTAAATGTTTTGCCCTCACTGCTGATTGATTGGCTGAGGCATGCCCATATGCTGGCAATATGGCCAATGACACTGACAGAATGCAAGCCAGGGGGCTTGTGGGAATTTTCTCTCATTTCTCTCATTTAAAAATTGAAGTCAAGGAGAGAATTTGCCTCCTCTGACTTTATTTGCTGTATAGGGATGTGTGCTGCAGGGGTCCGTCCTGTGATCACAAAGGAAGGGAGCTTGAGGACAAAAATCAGCACATTAAGTATGGGGAGCAGACAGGAGGAATGAACCTGAGTTCTTGGCAATGCAGTTGAGCAGGAGAATGGACTAGCCAAGGAATTCTCCTGTCCCTGAGTATCTTATGCAGATAATGAATGCTTTTATTGCTCAAGTCACTTTTACCTACAATGTATCCTGGACATATTAGTATTGCTATGATGATGATGATGATGATGATGATGATGAACACCATTGTTATTATTTTGTTAAAAGCTGGCCTTGTTGCCTTATTAGGAGCAAGGAATGCAGACAGATGCTTGAGTAGGTGAGAGCTGGTAGTGCATCCTCAACATGGTTTACAAGTGAGGTGGGAGTATTACTGACTGATAGTTGGATTTGAAATGGACTGTCTCAGCATTGTAGAATGGAGTCCTAAGTGCAGAATCTTCAGGGCTGTATTTGACATTTTTAACTAAGCAGTCTGATTAAGAGAGAGAGCAGATATGCAGATATGCAAACAGGAAGGCAGAGCTGCCCCTTATAAAATTCTGCCCTGGTGATATCAAGTCCAGAGCAATTTGAGAAACAGATGAAGAACACAATCGTAAGATATCTAGTAAGTCTGCTCTTGGAGGGTTATGCACCAGAAGGTAAGATATATTCCACTAGTGTAATGCCAAGTGTAAGAATATTTCTGTACCCAAATCAGCATGCCCACTGTATTACTCAGAATTCTCTAGAGGGACAGAACTAATAGGATAGGTAGATAGACAGATAGATAGATAGATAGATAGATAGATAGATAGATAGATAACAGATAGATAGATAGATAGATAGATAGATAGATAGATAGATAGAGCATAATAAGTATTAACTCACAAGATCCCACAATAGGCCATCTGCAAGCTGAAGAGCAAGGAGAGCCAGTCCGAGTCCCAAAACTGAAGAACCTGGAGTCCGATGTTCAAGAGCAGGAAGCATCCAGCAGGGGAGAATGATGTAGGCTAGGGCCACAAACCCCCTAACTGTCACCAGAATTGGTGGGTGGAGAAGTAGTAAGGACTTCTTTTGCACAGTCAAATCATGGATATAGGAACAGAGACTCAAATCATCCATCCTTTGTAAAGTCACCTTGCATTTCTGTCCCACCATTTCAAGCACAGATTTAGCACCATCATTTGTGGCAGCTTCTGGTTTCTAGATCAGTATTGTAAAATTACAGGTTATCCAGGAACGTAAAAGATATATTTTTTAAAAGTTGTAAAAGAGCTTACCACTCCTATTTAAAGTCAATTAACTTTATCTAGAGATCTTTATGAGCCAGACCAGGAACAATTAGGAAATGAAAGATTTAAATAAGATGAAGGTAGTTGTTCATTCCTGCTCATATCTTCCAAATATTTCAGCATTTCTGGGATTGTTTTTAAAAGAAATTTTTTTGAGAGTTGGTTTTTAGGGGAATGTTTTAAACATTGCTTCTCATGTTATCATTCTCCTGATGCAGTCTGCCAGGATGTTCCATTCAGCTGCCACAATCTGCTCATCCCTGTCTTATAAAGGAAAACTATTCTCAAATGAAAATCTCTCTCTCTTTTTTGCACCAGTATATTTCACAAAAGAATAAAGGTGTCAAATTTCAGAATTTTTAAAAATTTTAAAATATGGGCATTTCCTGAAACCTGTCTTTAGATGATCACATTCAAGGTGTTCACTTACGTATTTGCTACTCTTTCTTGGGTATCACTGAGCTTCACCATATACTGTTTATTAATTCTGTGTATTAATTATTTAGAGATACAGGGCATTCACTGAATGCCTAGCAAAGGTAATATCTAAATACCAGGAGCTGAGATCTACAGAACATATATTCCCTGTCTCATATAACTCAGGGTCAAGCGGGAAAATATGTATTTTGTTTATTCTCATCAGAAAATGAGTCCAGTGAGACAGAAATTCAGAAGAGCAGTTTAGCACCAGAGCATGCAAAAACACAACCTTCTCCCACCTCAATGCTCGCCAAGACTAAGCAAAAGGGGTTTTTGAAACATATATGGATTTGAACCCTTCTGCAACTTATTAGGCAGCCACATCCTTATAGTCACGTATTTGATTTCTTGCAGCCCAGGATTCTGCAACCGTAATTTAGCCACCTTGCTGTATTGTTATAAGAGATAAGAGAGACGTCACACAGCAGTTACCATCTTAGGTGATCAATACATATCAGTGGCCTTTCTCTTCCCATCTTCTCCGAGAACTCCAAGCCTGTCTCTGTATGCTATTTTATCCTTTTCATACTTCTAATTTGGCCTATCAGTACAATAATTTTGTCATGGTATTAAGTGGGTAAATAACTTCAAAATATTGATAATCAAAATGGGGAGCAAGAAATATATCAATGGAATATTTAAGCAATTCAATAGGGTATAATTTAATGTCAGTGTGCATTCATATGACTAAAAGAACTGTAGGATGCCGTGTTTTTTCTACCATTAGCAAGTTTTGATCTTCTTGAGAACAGAGTACAGGCACAGGAGATGTCTCCACCCATGAAAATATCTTCATTTATTCATTTGTCCATTCAACACACACTCACAGAAAGCTTATTTTGATATATTTAAAAATATGTTATGAAACTTTACTGGTCTAGATATATTTGATAAGTGCTTGAAAAGAGAAGGAGCAGTGAATCCTCCCATTCCCCCTTTGAGAGGGAGGTGCTAGATTTATCCTTCTTGAGCTAAATCCCTCCACCTCCCCTTAAAGAGGAAGGTGCTAGATTTATCCTTGTTGGGCCAAATACACCAGGGCTCAGCTGGCACAGCTGCTGCACCCTCCACTCCATGTAGTCTGAGCAGGGAGAAGCTGATGGATATTGAAGAGGCAGAACGTGGTAGCCTTGGCTGTGATATGGAGCTTCCCCTGGGCTATGCGGATGCTGAAGAAAGTAGCCAAACTTGGGATGCTTTGACGAGACCAAGACCAAGAGAGCAGCCAGCATCACAAGGCTGTGGGGTGGAGTTGCAGGTGCAGGAGCTGGCAATGAGAGGGAGGGCACCAAAAGGGGGTTGACAAGCTCACCATGTGTTTCTGGGAAGCATGTAGTATTCATGTTGCCCATGGCTTCTGAAAAACTTGTACATCTGCCTCCAAGTAAAACTCCAGTATTGGAATGTCAGTCACAAGAAGGACTTCAGTGAACATCTCATAACAAAAGCAATCCAGTTAAGACTTCTGTATGTTTTCTTAGGTCATCTTCTACTTTACTCTGTCCTGTGTGGTGTTAGTCTCAGGAGTAAGAGCAGGTAACTAAACCAGACAAGAACATGAATATCACAGCACTATTCACAATAGCAAGGACATGGAATCAATCTAGATGCTCATCAATGGTGGACTGGATAAAGAAAATATGGTACAAATACACCATGGAACACTATGCAGCCACGAAAGAGAATATCATGCCCTTTGCAGCAACATGGATGGAGCCGGAGGACATTATTCTAAGTGAACTAATGAGGAAAGAGAAAATTAAATTGCCATGTGATCTCACTTATATGTGGGAGCTGTACATTGAGCACCCGTGGAAGGAAATGACAGACACCAGGACCTAATTAAGGATGGAAGTTGGGAAGAGAGTGAGGATAGAAAAACTACCATCAGGTACCATGCTTATTACCTGGGTGATGAAATAATCTGTACACCCAACCCCCACAGCACGTAATTTATCTGTAGAACACATTCTGCACATTTACCCCTGGAATTAAAATAAAAGTTAAAAAAAAAAAAAGAAAAAAAAGAGCAGACCAAATCCCCTTCTGCACTGAAGGCCCTCTAGCTATGGGTCGGGCCTGAACTGGGAATGGGGTGAAAATTTGAATCAGGTGAAATGGACTTTTCTAAGCCTTAAAGTAAGTCCTAATTACCAAATTAGAAGATCATAGAAGAGACTGGCCAGAAGATAGTGTAAACATGAACAGGAAGGGTACTGCTCCAAAGCGTGTTTGAAAGCAGTAATTGGAGGAAAAATAAAGCTCTTTTCCTATTGCACCCAACCAAGTTCCAGCCCCCTCCATACACTGCTTAGACAGCAGTGAACTCTGAACATTCATCACATGGGGCCCGATCTGCAGATGCTACTGGATGGGGCCTGATCAAGAGTAAGAAAAGTCATGCTCCCAACTCAGTTCACACTTTCACTACCTGTATAGTCCTGGACCAGTCTTTGAAAATCTCTGACTGGAATGCAAAGCTCATCGCTTTCTTCAAAGATAATCAGACTTGTATTATTTTTCTACTTTACTTTAGCCCAGACTTGAACTCGCACAAATTGAGTAATGAGAGCCTACTTAATTGAATATACACTTATTATTAAAAAGATGAAGAGAATAGGAAAAACCAACCGTACCTCCTCGCTCCTTCCATTCACTATACTCATGGAGCCTTAGATGCCTCTTGAAGGTGCTTTGGGGGCTATGAACTGATATCTGTAATTCAAGGGACCCATTCCCTCCAGGTAGTGACCATAAATATGGATCCATTAATACTCATTGATGTGCAAGTAAAGAATATCTCAGGGAATAGCTTGGACCCAGAGGTGGCAGAAATCTGGGATGAGACTGATAAAATCACTAATTGTATGACCCTACAACATGGGCCTTCACTCAACTCTTTTGGATGAGGGGCTCCGGGAATACCAATTACATATTATAGCTTTAGGCTCTAGAAGCAAAAAATCTAGGTTAGTAGTAATGTATTTTTAAATAATTCACAAACATACTTTATAAAGGAGTAAAATGGAGGGTAAAAATATTCCTGGTAATAAAACACTGAGAAAAATACTTTTCCATTTTATTATCATAAGCATAGTAACTACTATGTACAAAACAAACATAGACCTTGCACTTTGCAAGCCTGATTTCACTTCACAAGTATTATGCCCAGGAAGAAGACTCTAAAATTTAGTGTCCTTTAGTTAGTCAGTGGTAAAGACTGGATTCTGTCCCAACTATGGCTGTTTCCAAAGTGAATGCTCTTAACTGCTGGGTTATACTGCCCTTCCTTCACGTTTGAGTGGAGTTTGGGACAAGACTTCTCCAATTAAACCTCAGAATGATGCCTTGTCATTATTTCTCAGAACAGTTTGACTTCAATTGACAAACATTCATTGGACACTTACTATTTTAATAATTCACCATCCCTTGCAATCCATTTCCTTAGTAAGAAAAAGTATTGGAACTCCTTTTTATCCACTGAAAGAATGTTGGCTCCTGGTGGCTAGAGTTGCACATCATCTGTATTGGGAATAATTGCAAAAAAAGAGGGACGAAGACGTCATCAAGAGAAAAAACAAACAGAATGGAGGACATTAAAAAACGTGATTTGTGCAATGAGGTCTTGAGAGAGAGAAGGAAGGAAAGATGGAGTGATGGCAGCCTAGATGTGGCACTGCATGGCTGGGTTCCTCAGAGCTGGGCACCCCACAGGGACCTCATGGCCCACACTCTAACATGGGCTTACATGGAGAAAGCTAGTAAAATCTAGGAAAATGGTGAAAAATACTTACAAACATTTTTATGTCTCACAAATCCACAAATCTTTGCTTGTTATGGCATAACCTAGGGTGCAAAAGGAAGGACATTTTCATACATAAGACCAAACATTTATTAAGTATTTTGATGAAGGACCAGATGAAGGCAAAATAAATCACCTCTAGTCTGTTTATAATCTACAACGAAGTTAGGTGAATTTCACAGCCATCTTAATGACACCACAGAAATGATTATTGAGACTGTCTAAAGAGTGATAAAAGGAAATTAATTTGCAAAACACATTATTACTCACCTAGCATTCTTAGAATGACAGTATTGATTTGTTTGTTGTAGGTAGCTTTAATATTGTATTTATTTTTTATTCTGGTAAAATATAGATATCATATAATTTGTCATTTTAACAGTTTTTAAGTGTCAAGTTCATTGCTATTACTGTGTAACCATCACCACCATCCAGATTTAGAATTTTCCATCTTCTCAAAGTGAAATTCTGTACCCATCAAACACTAACTCCTCATTTCCACTCCCTTCAACCCCTGGTAACTTCCTTTTTGCTTTCTGTCTTTATGAATTTGACTATTCTGGATACCTCACATATAATGTTTATCCTTTTGTGTCTGGCTTGTTTCACTTAGCATAATGTCAAGGGTCATTCATGTGGTAGCACATGTCAGATTTTCCTTCCTTTTTAAGGCTGAATAATATCCCATTATATGTATTTACCACATTTTGTTTATCCATTCATCTGTCAATGGACATTTGGATTGTTTTCACGTTTTGGCTATTGTAAATGAAGCTGCTAAGAACATTGGAGTACAAATATTGTTCAAGTCCTCACTTTGCATTCTTTTGAGTAAACACTCAGAAGAGGAATTGCTGGATTTTATTGTAACTCTGTGGTTAAAATCTTGAGGAACGGCCACACTGTTTTGTACAGAACCTGAACCATTTTACATGTCTACCAGCAAAGCACAAGGGTTGCTATCTTATATTCTATTGACTGTGAAAACACTTACTTCCTAAGAGTTTGCACACCCCCTCCCCACTACATTTTCTCCACATAGATTCAGTTCTAGCCTTTTTTACTGGTCCATTCTCAAGCTGCCAATAAAGACGTACCCAAGTCTGGGTAATTTATAAAGAAAAGGTTTAACTGACTCACAGTTCCACAGTGCTGAGGAGGCCTCAGGAAACTTACAATCACGGTGGAAGGAAAAGCAAACACATCCTTCTTCACATGGTGTCATGAGGGAGAAGTGCTGAGTGAAGCAGGGAAAAGCCCATTATAAACCCATCAGATCTTGTGAGAACTCACTTACTATCACAAGAAGAGCGTGAGGGTAACCACCCCCATGATTAAATTACCTCCCACTGAGTCCCTCCCACAACATGTGGGGATCATGGGAAATACAATTCAAGATGAGAAGTGGGTAGGGACACAGCCAAACCGTATCACCCTTAAACTACAAACTCACCTTGGCAGGTTGCCGAGTGGAGGGATATTCTAAATGGGATTTCTGTGAGACGGTAGAAAATAATAACAGAGCATCTACACTTTTTCAAACATTTTTTTTACAAATATTATTTCATTTAATCATCACAATACTGTGAAGCAGGCATCATTATCATCACGATTCTCAATTGACAGGTAGGTTATTGGAGGCTGATTGGCTTACGTGACTTCCAATGTGCTATGGAGGTGCCCAGGGTGTAAAGTTCAACAGATCTATCTTGCTCTGCCGCTCTGAGCAGGCCTTTAGCAAATACTGTGATAATTTGCTAAGGTAAGTACCTGCTTGTCCCCTGCAGCTGGGGTCCATGACTGAGCCCCCCTACTGTGACAGCTGACTCACGCCTGGGTGGCTCGGAGTGTCTCTGTTTGCTGTATATGCAGCTATTTGTATTCAATTACTAAAAATTTAGTTCGTCTGTGAAATAATTGTCCATCTCTCCCCCCAAAAAAGGCCAACTGCTAGTGCAGATGATGAAAATGATGAAAAAGTGAGACAAGCTAAGGCACGTAGGTTTCTTCGCCAGAATATAAAAGTGAGTAAACTAAAGAGAGAAATGAATTCAGCAGTGGCTGAGATCTGAGGAATGAACAAGTTCACCAATTTCTCTCTACAGAAATGAGAAAAAGACATTTGTGAAACTGTTGCAAATGATCCAGCCAGTGAAAAAATTGCTCATCAAGTGAGAGATAAGACTTAAGTGAAAACTGAAAAGGGGGTTAATGTGTGGAGTGAGAACATGCACAGGAAACACACGACTTATGATGGAAACGGGGCTCGGCAGGAAGCCCAGATCCTGTACAAACATTTCCATGAAGCAGCAGATGGGAAGGCTCCAGAGTGGCTCCTCAACCAACCTTTGCTGTGAGTGCAATTGACTGGAAAACTTGAAGAAGCATTTCTTTTTTTTTTTGGATGATGCAAAGTAACGAGGAGAAATGGCACCCGTTAACCTCTTGGTTGATGTCCAGTTTTCTTCTGCACTCAGAAGGATCCTCAAGAGGAACGTGGTAGACCAGAAGAAGAGTCAGGCACTGCTTTAGACACCTCTATTGGGGCCAAAGTGTCTTCTGAACACAGGTATCCAGGAGGAAAACGAACTCTAAGATTAAAGGCAGCCAAAGACAGAGTCTTCTAGACTTTGGGGACATGGTGGGCTTTAAGGGGGAGCCACGTTTGCTGAACCATTCTTTAAACCCCCAGACATTTAGGAGTAAGGCTAAAAACTTCATAGCCATGTAGTAACAATGTAGGAAAACAATGTTGGGATCATGGCACATTTCCTTTTGCCCAGGACAACTATGTTGTCCGAGTAGAATTTGGATTTCTAAAGGTCTCAAGACCCTTGTCTCCTGCTGTAGCTGGGGATGTGGATCCTAAAAACACCCTGGTAAGAGGTGGGTGGGCCATGCTTCAAACACAGATAAACTTGACTCCAAAATCTAGGCCCTTTTGACTCTTCTCTATCAACTTTTTCAGACGTTGGTCAGGCAAACTTATTCCCCAAGACCATGGAATTGGGGCTAAGATTTATGCAAAGGTCTAGAGTTCTTTTCTGGTCCCTCAGCCCTTCCTTCCCTCTACTCTACTGCTGGGGAGTTGTGGGCAGTTTGCTAAATGGCACCTCCATCTAGGCACATCATATATAATAGAGCAAACTCTCATAATGTGATAAGCTCCATTTTGATTTTATATGTTTTAAAGATATTTTTCTATCAATACCGTTCACAATTTAATTACAATAATTAACATAGTTTTCCAATATTATTTTTGCATTTGATTATATGCCTAAAAATGTTGCAGCTGTGTTTACCTATATGCCTTTTGTCTTAGGCTTCATTTAAAATGAGAAGTAAATATCATTTTTATATATAGCTTTCCACTTGCTTTGTGAACTATTTTCATAATACCCCAATTTAGCCACAAACATCCTCTGGTGTGCTCAGATCTCTCCAATTAGGGTGAGAGGGGGACAGAAATCAGGGGACAACATCGGTTCCCTGGCCTTAGCAAGCAACGATTCCAAGTGCTAGGAAAATAAATATATTTTTCTTCATAAAAACAATGTAGATAATTTGCAGTCCTATTTGGCGATCCATATCGTTGCAGGCAAAATGGAACAAAACAAAATCCTTTTTGGCGACTCTACCTTAGAGGAGGGAAAGAAAGCGAGTTACTGACCAGAAGCCAATTTCATCTTGACTGTTTGGAAAAAAAGAAAAAGACAAAGCCTTTTAAAGACCATATGGCACAATTCAACAGCAGATCAGAGCATTAGGCTGCTTCT
Organism: Homo sapiens; assembly: GCF_000001405.40. Classification (NCBI taxonomy): domain Eukaryota; kingdom Metazoa; phylum Chordata; class Mammalia; order Primates; family Hominidae; genus Homo; species Homo sapiens. The sequence goes on along the minus strand of NC_000002.12, from coordinate 7,929,461 downwards.
CCACGTGGAGTCTGGGTTAGGGCTGGAGCACACTGTGGATGCCGCAGGGAGGAAGCGAGGTCGAATTGTCAACTCAGAGTCCTGCCTAGATCTAGACCATGGCAATTAGCATCTGGAACGTCAGACAGATTCTGGAGTCCAGAATGCAGAGGGTGCAAGTGGATAATTCAGATATACATAGGCAGGTCTGAGCACATTAATTGCTGACAGGGACTGATGATTTCAGTGAAGATTGAAGAGATTATTGAAACATAAATGAAGAAAACTCAATCACACACTTGGGAAACATATATAAATCATGCATCTGCCAGGAAGGCCGGGCATTAGAATGGTTTGTTTGTTTGTTTGTTTGTTTGAGGCGGAGTCTTGCTCTGTCGCCCAGGCTGGAGTGCAGTGGCATGACCTTGGCACACGCAACCTCCACCTCCTGGGTTCAAGCAATTCTCCTGCCTCAGCCTCCTGAGGAGCTGGGATTACAGGTGGGCACCACCATGCCTGGCTAATTTTTAGCAGAGACAGGGTTTCACCATGTTGGCTAGGCTGGTCTCCAACTCCTGACCTTGTGATCTGCCCGCCTTGGCCTCCCAAAATGCTGGGATTACAGGCGTGAGCCACCATGCCTGGCCCTAGAATGTTTTTGTTCTTAATGCTGTTTAGTCTTTCGGAAAGTATGTGTTTACCATGGCAATCTCAGGGTGATTTTCCATTGAACTGGGATGCAAAAAGAGACAGAGCTAGGGTTGGATTGCCTGTATGGGTGTGCAGGTTGGGAATTGAGAGGAAGAAAGGGATGGGAAAGGAAAACAGGAGATAGGAAGGGCAGCTCCTCATGGGTGACTTCTGTGCCTCCAGGCTTCTGATGTTGACATTTAACTAGCGTGCGCGCATGCACACACACACACATACACACACGCTTGGCCTCACAGGCACCCTGCTGGCCCTGGCCAACAGCTCACTTAAGGTATGACTATGGCACTTTCAACAGTGGTGCCAGGTATCCCCTTGCCTGCACATTCTAGGGGCCCTGGTGCCTGAGTAGGGATTCTCCCCTCCCCAAGATAAGGCCCCATGGTGGGGACATGAGACTGCTTGTGCTGAGGACATCCGGGTGTGTAGCTGCAGCCTCTGATTCCAATTTAGAAGTTAAGAGGACACTCTGGAATTCAACATTCTTGAGGTTCATATTTTGATTTTTATCATTACACTGCTATGTGATCCCAGGCAGGGTATTTTACCTCTTTGCACCTCTAATTCCTAACTGTATAATGGGAATTCCAGTTATGTAAGGGATTGTGAGAATTATATGAGATAATGTGTGCATGCTATTTTATAGGATGTCTCAGGGCCAGCGGTTATTATAATTGTTCATCACACTAATGCACCCAGATCCTGGGAGTGAGTCTTCTGATGAAATTCACTCATTCAGTCAAATACCTAAAACACTATTGTTTACCAACCTGGTTATAAACTCATATAGTAGCTGAAACAATTTGGAACATCATGAAAAGACAATGGAGACTTAATACACAGTATCCACGGGTGTTTCTCCAAGTCAGATGGCAACAGTGACTCGTAGACATTGCTATTTCTCTTCTTTTGGGATATTGCCATGCAAACACATAAACAAACATATTCAGCAGAAGAAGTGACTCTGTAGAGTGTTTCAGAAGTAACAGTTTATTAGGTAACTCAATTATTTTAGAATAACAATTAAATCTCAGTATTTAACAGTGTCAGAGAAGGTAATTTACCCTTTTCAACCAAATGTAAGTTAATTTGGTGCTAATTAGCTAAAACTAAAGAAACTGAATTGTCATATGAATATAGACTCCCACATGTCCAGCTACATATATCTTTTATATGACTGACCAGAAACATCTCTCTCTTCTTCATTGAGAAATTTATTTTCAGGTATTCATTTTTTAAAAAGTTTGGATTTATTATGTTTGCATTACATAATGTATCACAGTATTTAATTGCACAATTTTCTTGTAAACTGAATAACTTTTTTGCATTTAATACTGTATTTATCTTTCATTTATGTGATGGCATAAATGTTTACCAATAAATTTATTTGAGAATAAAAGTGAATCAATTTAAAAAATATGTGAATATTAGTATGAATAAATATTGCAAACTTGAGAATGACTAATTTTGCGAACAGTGTTCCAGGATATACATATGCAATTGATTGAATAGAATGCTCTGCATATAGTCTTGTTTTAATAAATTTAAGAATTCATATAGCCTAGAATTTAAAGAGCTACTTTGTATCCTTAGAGGTAACATGTGATCTCATACATGTCTCCTTTCTTTTTATATAAAAAATTGCTCTATGCTCATTTTCTTTTTCATTTATACTATATATGAGACATTCTTCCATGTCACTAAATGTCTTAACAATTTATATGTTAATACATAAATGATGTTCTTTAATATGGATGTAATATAATTTATTTTATTATTCATTTAATGACATTGTATTTCTAATTGTGGACTATTACAAACAATGTTACAAAAAACAGTATTCAAATATTCATGCACATGGGTAAATATTCCCCTGGGAGAGGTTGCTAGAGATAGAACTGGTGAGCCAAAGTATTTTTTAAATCAACATATGCAAATAAAATGTCCTTTAAAAACCTATTCTACTTACAGAAAGCAACACTTCATGATACGGTCTGATTTTTCACATTCTGTCTTTATATATTATAATTCTTTGAAAATTTTTACCAATTTAAAGAATGAAAATAATATCTTACTAATTTTCATTTGTTTTTGTCATCTGTAATATGTCAATTTATAGCCTTTATTTATTATTATTTAAAATTTACTAGGTGATTCCTTGTCCTTAATTGATATATAGAGTTTCTTTTTATATAGTTTGGATACACATCATATTGTGTATGTGTGTTTGTGTGTGTGTTTGTGTGTATGCACAGGTATATAACAAAGATGTTTCTAAAACTGAAAAATTGTTTTTTAAATCTTGAATTTGTTTTTCTTCATAAGAAACATTTACATTTTTATGTGGTCATATTTGTCATTTTTTTCTTTAATGTCTGTATTTTATACGTTGCATAAAAATGCCTGTCTTACCAAAATGTTACCTAAAATAGGCTCCATATTTTCTTTTACTTTTTTCTTATGGTGAGTCCTTTGTATCCTTGGGTTCCACATCTGCAGATTCAACCAACTATACATAAAATAATTTTTTTTAATTTACAAAATAAAAATAGTGATACAACAATTAAAAATACAAATAAAAATACAGTATAATATCTATTGACATAGCATTTACATTGTGTTAGGTTTTGTATGTAATACATGACTTCAAGTATATAGGAGAATGTCCCTGGGTTATATGCAAATACTATGCCACTTTATTTCAGCAACTTGAGCATCTGCGGGTCTTGTATCTTTGATGGTTTGGAAAGCAATTCTCCACAGATATAGAAGGACAACTCTAATTTCATTAGGGCATTATTTTTGCATTATATGAAAGAAGTCTAACTTTATCTTTCTTTAAGTGTAATGACAATTTTTTCAACACTACTCAGTTTACTCTTATTTGAGATTTAATAAATGATTGCTGTATTAGTCTGGATAGGTTAGGATACACTATGGCAATATATTAACTGCAAAATCTCAGTGGTTCCACATGGCAATGCTCTTTCTTCTTATGCATACCAATGTCCTTTGAAGGTAGCATGGGCTCAGCTCAGCACAGCTGCTTGGGAAGCCAGAGTAATGAAGGTCCCACCATCCTGAGGCTGCTCCAAAGGCAACGTGTGTTTTTCCTGGGCACAGCATTACAACATAGGTGAGGCTGAAGGATCACCAGGTTCTCTGAAGCTCAGCCTGGGAAGGGCTATCCTGGGTCCCTTCTGCTGACATTGCTTTGGCCAAAGCTAGTATGAGGGCCTTGCCTAATGTAGTAAAGACATAGAGAATAGGATGGAATGCAAGTTTTTCTCCAAATTCAATCTATTCTATTTCTAAAGTTGGAGAGTGAGAATTCGATAGCAACTTCAGATAGTGTGGAAAAAACTGTTCTCCAAATCTCTTTGATCCTGAGTTTTGAATAGCAAGTAGGGAGAATTCATATAACATGGGGTAATCCAAAAATTGGTTAAATCTATTCAGTGTCTGAATTTAGAAAGCAAGAATTGGAAAAGCAAAGGATACCTGTATTTGGTGAGTGTTGCTTTTTCTGCCAGAGCTATCTATAAAAATAAGTAAATGTATGCAACGAAAACCAAATAGAGTGATTTGCAAATATAATCATCAACGGTGTCCACACTTGATAAAATCTTTTTATTTAAAAACTTTAATTATGAATTTAAATTTCCAATAGTTTTCAATTACCTATTTGCAAATTCTTAAATTATACTTGAACCTGTATCTTTCATTCAATTGATAAAGAACTTTAACTGTATGGCAATGTGAAAATTGTTAAACTTCTTTGTGTGTTGGTTGCTTCATCTATAAAATGAGGATAATAATAATATGTCTACACTGGAGGAATGTTGTGCATATTCAATGAGTAAATATATACATATACATGGACCTGGCATATAGTAAGTTCTATTTAAGTATGAGCTATTATAATAGTCTCATAGGTGGTTATTTAAAAAGCTCTAGGTGGAAAATGATAGTTTTCAAAATTAAGCACCCCCTCTTCTCAACTTATATTCTATGTCTGATTGGATTTCCTAGAAGCTGAGCCTGAGACAGGATTCTTGGGCCAGTGGTTTCCAGGAAAATGTGTTCTCAGGTGAAACCTGTCAGAGACTGAGGACAGCAGGCCAGGGCAGGGGGAAAGCTGTGCAGCTGTGGCCTCAGCTGTGGCCCAACCTCAGCCTGACCCCACAGGGCCTTCTGGCTTGCGAATAGCATCGTAGAGTTATGCTACTTTGAAGCAAGAGGGCTGCCTTCAATATCAGTCAGTCATTGCCCTGTATCAGTCAGTCACTGGCTACAGGCTGTATTAGGTGATATAAGTAATATAGAGATGATTTCAAGTATGTGCGAGAATGTGCCTGGGTTATATGCAGATACTACACCATTTTATAGCAGGAACTTTAGCATCTGTGGATCTTGTATCTTCCAGGGTCTGGAAAGCAATCCTCCACAGAAAGAAAGCAGAATCTTCTGGGCATTTCTGAGCAAGTGGACTTCCTTCAGCTGAGCACAGTCCTCAGGAGAAGCGGACAGGTGCAAAGTGTTGGAAGCCAACACTCACAGCAGTTGGGGGTTGGAGTGCTCTGGCTTCCAACAGCATTGAAACCAACAGCATTGACTACAGCGAGTTTCTCAATCTTCAGAACACATCCCAGCCTCCCTGGGGGCTGCTAATGCACAGATTGCCGTTTCCCACTCCAAGAGTTTCTGATTCCAGAGGTCTGGGGTAGGGCTCGATAATTTGTTCTTCTAACCACCTAATGCTGTTGGTCCAGTGACCACACTTTGAGAAATGCTGTACTATGTTTTCTCATATATTTAAAAATTCTCACCTCATTTATGGTTTAAAACTTCTAGAACAATTCTGAATAGTTTTTGTAATAGTGAGCCTCACTTTCCTGTCTCTGCCCTTAATGGGAATGTCTCTAATGATTCACCTTTCATACGGGGACTTGTTGTGGTTTACTGGGCAATTCCTTTTGGCAGGTTAAAAAAATTCCCTCTGTTTCAAGCTAAAGCCATTTACCAGGAAGAGACGCTAAGTTTTATCAGAGGGTTTTTCCAGTAACTATTGTGATAATCATGGTTTTTTTTCCTATTTATTACGATATCAAACATGAAACTTATTTGAAGTCCTGGATTAAACGGTGCTTGTTTTCTATAATGTTTTGTTCCTTAAATGTACTGACAAATTTAATTTATTATTTTTTTAGGATTTGAGGTACAAGTTCATACGTGATAATGACTTACTGTTTTGTTTTCATTATTTCCTCCTTCCATCCTTTCTTGATATCCTTTTTATCTCTTGGTTTCAAAATTACACTAGCGTCATAGAATGAGTTGGAAATTAGCCCATTATTCTCCATGCCATGGAGTGTTTTGCAAAACATAAGAATGATCAGTTCCTTACATATTTGGTAGAATTTACCTTATAAAACACAGTAGGTTTTGTGTCTCTTCTGGAGTCCAGATACTGCTATGGACTGAATGTTTGTACCCTCTAAGATTCATTAGGTTGAAATCCTAGCCTCAAAGTGGTGGTATTAGGAGGTGGGACTTTTGGGAGGTGATCAGGCCAAGAGGGTGGAGCCCTCATGAATGGGATTAGTGCCCTTATCAAATAAGGCAAAAGGAGCTCTTTAACCTCTCCCACCATGTGAGGACAAAGTGAAAAGACACCATCTATGAACCAGGAAGCAGGGCCTCACCGGATGCCAAACCTGCCAGCACCTGGCCCTTGGACTTCCAGCCACCAGAACTGTGAAGAAGAAATTTCTATTGCTTATAAATACCCAGTTTACGGCATTCTGTTATAGAAGTGCCTAATAGGCTAAGGCAAATACTATATGGTATTTAGGATTGCTTCTGTATATTTTTAAGACTTTTTTATTTTGGAATAATAATAATTCACAGAAAATTTACAGAGAAAGTCTCCACATGCCCCTCACCCCACTTCCCCTAATGTTAACATAACCGTGGTCCATTTGTCAAAACTAAGAAATGAGGATTGGTACCATACTATTGACTGAATTACAGACATTACTTGGATTTTGTCAATTGTTTTACTAATATTCTATTATTTCTGTGTCAGATTCCAATCTGGATAACATGTTGCATTTGTTCATCACGTCTCCTTTGTTTTTCCTGGGCTGTGACAGTTTCTTATTCTTTTCTTGTATTGCCTGGCTTTGAATTTTGAGGAATTCTGGTTAAGTATTTTGTAAACTGTCACTAAATTTTGCTTGTCAGATGTTTTCTCCTGGGTTAGACTGGGCTTACAGGTTTTGGGGAAGAACTCTACAAAAGGGAAATGTCTTTCTCATCTCATCTAATAAATGGATATAGGATATCAACTTAACTTATTCCTGGCAATGGTAATCTTGACATCATGGTTAAGGGAGTACCTGCCAAGTTACCACAAGGAAAGTTTCTATTTTTTCATTCTTATACTCAATTCTTTGGAAGCAAGTCACGAAGTCCAGCTCACACTCAAAAATAGGGAAATTAAACCTTACCTTTTTGCATAGGGGATACGAACTTTAAAAAAAACAATCTTCTGAAAGGAGTCTTGTCTCTTGTAGTTCCATGTTTAATGCTATCATGTATTTGTTTTTATTAATATGAACTCATAAATACTCATTTTATTGGAATAATCCATTATCATATATTTTGTTGCTCAGAGTATTCCAGCTTTGACCACTGGGCTTTTTCAGGTTGACTTCTGTGTCCTTTTGACTTGCCCCCATCTATTATTATGTATTTTTTTTTAGCAGTTTCTTACTTTTGTCACTTCAAGATGTTCCAGACTTAGTTTGTATTTTTCTTACTCCATCTTTAGAATCAGCCATTTCTTTAAGGAGCTTTGGGTTCTTTTATTGGAGAGTGGTATTTGGAAACCAAGATCTGGGCATTAGGTATGCTCATTGCTACCGGGATGTCACTGCTTCTAGGCCCTCTCAGCTGGACAGAGGTATGACATACATGTGTGTAAATTAATCTACATATATCGACATATCTATAATTAGCTCTGTCATATTCACTATTTAATTTACAACCTCTTTTTTTGGTAGATGTTTGCAATCCATATTTTACTTACTGATTAACAGTTTTAATTTTTGGTAACAATTCATAAAATAGAAAATTGCAATTTTAATAGAGCTTTTCCAAATCTGGAATTATATACTCTCTCTGGAGTATACATTATTCATCAATGTCGTTTCTTCTTATATGTTCATTGGATTTACCAAAGGCTTATGTATTTAATCGAATTGTTTCAAATATAGTTTGGTTTTACTGATATAGCCTAATCTTTGTTTTTGTATATTTAGAATGTATCTTGCTACTTTTCCAAAACAACCATTAGTTCTAGTAATTGTTATATTCCTTGGGATTTTCTACATACATAATTCTGCCATCTAAAGAAAAAGGATTTTTACTTCTTTCTTTCTTTCTAAACTTCATAATTTTTGTTTCTTTTCATTTGTTTGTTTTAGTGCACTGGCTAGAACCTCCAGTATAATGTTTAAAAAGAAGTAATGAGAGTAAGCATCCTTGTCTTGACTCCAACATATTGATTAATTTTTGAATATCACAAAAAACTTCTTACTCCAAAACTAAATCTCACTTGGTCATAATGTAGTCATTTTATATATGTGTGTGTGTGTATGTGTATGTGTGTATATATATATGTATATGTGTGTATATATATGAATATACATGTATATGTATATGTGTGTATATATATGAATATACACGTATACGTATATGTGTATATGAATATACACATATATGTATGTGTATAAATATATACACGTACATATACATATATACACACATACATATACATGTATACATATACGTATACATATGTATGACTACATTACATACATGCACGCATATGTATACATATGCATGTGTGTGTGTGTGTGTGTATTTGGATTTAATTTGCCAATATTTTGTTGAAGAACTTTGAGTCGATGTTTATATGGGATATTTGTCTGTAATGTCTTTTGTAACACCGCAGTCAGGTTTTCACATCACATTTACTTATCTCATCCATTTGTTATTTCTCAGTCTGGATTCTAAAGCACTCATTGGCCTTTAGCACTGAGGAATTTCTTTGCTGCTTGCCTCCCCAGATGGAGACTTTCAGCTGACTCTGGCGTTAGTGTTCAGCTTCATCATTCCATGTGAGTCCTGAAGTACTCACCAAGCTCCTAGTATGCATCAGGCACTGTTCCTGGGCACTGGGTAGGAAGAGCAGAAAAACTGTCAAAATGAACATCAAACCCAAGCAGCCCTCAAGTTTAAATTTCAATATTTTCAAAGGCTCTTGGCCAGAATACTTGGTGCTCCCCTAACTGACGCATTTGGTGTTCTGCTGAACCTTTGTAATCCTTATTCATGTGACCTGTGTTATTCCACATCTCCAGTTCCATTTGAACCTCCAGCTTGGAAACAAGTATGACTTTATGGCTACTCAGGACTGTGTGTATTCACCCCTGCTGCCTGTACCACTTCCATACCTCTCTCATCCCAGGACTCAGTGCTAAGACATTATCCAATCATTATACCTAGAGAGAACACATACAAGCACTCAGATGAGTTAGGAAAGGATTTCCCCAACCCTGACAGCTGTGTAATTCATAATGACTTATTGATTGATTTAATAAATATTTATTGAGTGCCAACCACATGCTAAATACAATTATATATTGTATTAGATCCTGTGGAACCAATGATAAGTAAGAAAGAAAATATTCATGTTCTCCTAAAGTCTATATCCCATGGAACAAATTGCAGCTTCTAGTACTGCCCAGTGACATGAAGAAAGTACACAGACTGGTTGTGCTGGAGAGTGCTAGGTACTGGGGCCCACATGTGTAGATTCTCATGGAAAACCTCTAGGAGATACTTTACTTGAGACCTGAACAATCAAGAGCATATAAAATTACTCAAGTACCCGGGGAGAGATTCCTGATAAAGTGGAAAAGCTTTGATGTGGGAACAAGCATGGCGTGAAGGAGGGTGGGAAAGAAAGCCAGTGGGCCAGGGCACAGTGAGCACAGCAGGGAGTCTGTGATGTCAGGACAGTGGAGCAGAGGGCGGGGTCATCACACAGAGCTCCCAGTCAAGGGGCGGGGCTTGGTATGTATTCTGATTGAAAACCATTGGAGGGGATTAAGCAAGGATCTCAGATGAGCCTCTCCTTAGACATTTTAAAAGATCATTCTGGCCGGGCGCGGTGGCTCACGCCTGCAATCCCAGCACTTTGGGAGGCCAAGGCAGGCAGATCACGAGGTCAGGAATTCAAGACCAGCCTTATTGAACCCGTCTCTACAAACATACAAAAAAATTAGCCAGGCATGGTGGCATGCACCTGTAATCCCAGCTACTCAGGAGGCTGAGGCAGAAGAATCGCTTGAATCCAGGAGGCGGAGGTTGTAGTGAGCCAGGATCGTTCCACTGCACTCCAGTTTGGGTGACAGAGCGAGACTCTGTCTCAAAAAAAAAAAAAAAAAAAAAAAAAAAAACCATTCTGATTATGGTACAGAGTGAATTAAAGGAGAATTCCAGAACTGAAATCAGAGAAACCAGTTAGTAGCAACAACAGCAGTCCAGGTGAGGCAGCAACATGGCTTGGTCTGGATTTATTTCAGTGACTACAAAGGTCAACACTCTCTATTTTGGACATAGAACCAATAGAATCAAATGATGACTACACTTGGAGTACGGAGAATAGTAAATAATTAAAAATGACTCCTAAGTTGTTAGTTTGAGCAACTACATTGATGGTGGTACCATTTATTGCAATGTGGAAAACTCCAGAAGAAACAGATTTGGTGGTGGTGGGAGGCAGAAATTAGGAGTTCTGCCTTGAAAATGTTAAGTTTTAAGACCCATTAGACACTCAAGTGCATAGTGTATGTCAAGTAGGCAATTATATGCACAAATCTCGAATTCAGGGGACAAGTCAGAGCTGGGATGTAATTTCGAGTTATCCAGGAAGATAATATTAATTACTAGACTTGCCCTTGCACTCCCAAAGTCTAATCAAAATTGCTCTTGAAATTCATTTTGAAAAATGCCTTGCATGGGACTGACATACCACCTCTAACTAGTCCAGCACAGCCGTATTCTCCACTGATGTTCGAACATTTAACCATTTTTTTAATCTGTTTCTTTGATGAGGCCACACTGGCTTGTACTTAGCAGTCATATTGAAGGGAATATACATTTTAAGGCATTATAATCACATCCAGCATAAAAGTGTGATAATAGACATTTCAAACTAAAGATTTCCAAAACAGATGTCATGGTTTCTTTCTGAAAACTCTATCAAATTTATTTCTACCCGGTAACCCCATCTCAGTACATGGTATCCTTATTCACCTTGTTGCTCAAACAACCTAAGAATAATTGTCTCTGTGAGAGGTTTACAAAATGGTAAGATTGAAGGAGTGAAAGATTTTATTTCCTCTCCCATTTGTTTGGCGAGTGTGGTATCTGGCCTGCAATGTGGCTCCTGATGCCCCCATCCCAGTCATTCATACCCTTGTGCTGTCCCTTCCCACACTGTACCAGGGTTGGTCTGTAGGACAAAGAGGACATGGAGAGCTGATGGTATGTTACAAGATTAGATGTGAAAGGCCTGAACTTCCATCTAGGGTTCTTTCTCTTGGATCACCTGCTCTGAGGGAACCTGGCTGCCATGTCTTGAAGACACCCAGGAGGCTTCATATGGAGAGGCCCACGTGAGGAGGAACTGAGACCCCCACCCCCCCTGCACAAATACAACAGCCAGGAAGAACTGAGGACTCTAGCCGCCAGCCATGCGAGTGTGCCATTTTGGAAATGGATCCTCGGCCCTTCCAGGATGTTCATCATACAGATCTGACCGACAGCCTGACTGCAGCCTCATGGGAGACCCCAAGGCAGAGCCACCCAGCTAAGCCAGGCTTCCGACCCTCAGAAGCTGTGTAAGATCATAAATGCTTGTGGTTTTAAACCACTGAGTTTTAGAGCAATTTGCTATGCAGTGATATATAACTAATAGAGCAAGAGAATATGTCCATTCTACGTAAGCTGTGATCTCCAGCTCTGAAGGCGGCTTGATCTCCTTCCTCCCTCTCTCTCTCCCTCTCCCTCTTCATTAACAGTGAATTCACCACATTTCCACTAGTGTCACTGCTCCACTCTAACAGTGCCTCTCTCTACATGCATCCTTTTAAATCTGCAAAAGAGATAAGCATGTTACCGAGCTTCAGCTGAAAGGCACCACACTTGGGCTAGAAAGCAAACCACTCATCATGTTTACTCACCAGGCTCAATACCTAAGTTGCTTTCTATCCTTTTGATAAAAGGGAGAGTGATAAATGAATTCTGTTGACTTTTAAAATTAAAGACTATATGGGTTCCTTGAAATTTTTGGTAATTTCTGAAAATTAGCCCTATACTTCCAAAAGAAAGCATAGAATACACCAATTGGAAAGGAAATTGGAGATTATTTACTCTAGAGTGCTGGTTTCTTTCTTCAGGGAGAACCACTGTGGTCCACAGTGAGGGAGTCAGAGACCAACATGTCTTCGCCGATTGAGTGACAACTTGGATGAGACCTCAGGTGTTTCAATTCAGTGCCTTCACTATACCTCCCTGTGTACTGAGCACCACGGCAATGACCCATTGTCACTCACGACAGAGCTGACACTCCCAGAGCTCACCATGGGCCAGCGCCTTTCTACATTTGTTATATTCACAAATTCCCTCTCTTCTCATAGGCTGGTTAGGTCAGTACTAGTATTATTCCCATTTTGCAGGCAAGATAATGAGATACAGCGAGGTTAAGGGGCTTGCCAACATTTGCTCTTAGTTATTGGCAAGCCTGGGATTTGAATTCAGGCAGTCTGATTCCAAAGTCTGTCTTCCTGTATTTATTTTGTTACCTATGTACTTTCAGATAACTTCCTTTTCTTCTCCACATTCACACTACAGCAATATATTACAATCTATTCTCAAATACTCATCAGCAGTAAAGTCCTGAGTCTAGGGCAACTTTTCTCTTCATCATTAATACTATTATATTATTTGAAGTTGGAAACTGCCAAATTTTGCCTCAAACTTTTTTCCAGTGGGAATGAGACATTTATACATTTTTTATTGCAGGAAAAACAGTACATGTTATAGAAATACTATTAAAATATCTTATGGGAATTATTTTTAACTTCTTTCATATAGATGGGAATAGCTCCTGTTTTTTGGTTTTTGATGAGTACATCTCGAAGTGTGCAGAAATGCTTGTAGAGCCAGATTAACGCCAATTATAAAACACCTCTTAGGGCTGGTTCTTAAGCCAAAATCTGGATGTGATTTCATTACTACACCTTCATCTCCACTTAAAACTCTGCGCTCACCCATCAAAACACATTTTTGATACCAAGTTCTAATTATAATATGGTACTAATGGCCTTAAAAGAGGCTGAAATGACGTAAGTAAACTTGCTTCACTTTAAATTCAGGTCCGGGGGGCTCTGAGGCTAGTCTATAAATTCACAAGCCATCTGGACACGGTGATCATTTTGTTTCTACCTTCAGCTCCTTTGTGTCTCATTTAGTCATGAGCTTGGAGATTATTTTTTACTATTGGCTGAAGAACCGTCTACTTTGTAGTCCAGAGAGAATAAAGATGATTTCAGATTGCCTGAAGAACAGGAGTTAGTGGAAAGAGGCAACTCAGTTTCACTTTTGAACACATGGGAAAGATTAAGCCCTTTCTTTTCAAGAGGACTTGGTGTTGTTCCCTGACTCCAGCCTGATAAGCCAGGTTCCCAGGGACTTAAGATACTGTTGCTCTGAATATGCCTTTGAAAGAAAGCTTGGATTGAGTGGAGGTTTTCTTATGGAACTAATGTTTACGGAGAGTATCTCCGAGCCAGGTAACTTGTTAGGCACCAGGGAAACAACCGTGAAAACAAACCATTTCCTATATCCTCGAAGAGTTCACAGGGTAATCTCAGAAACTGCCATGGTACGCACTCCCTGGACCTTCCAGGACACTTTCTATAGGCAGGAATCCCAGCTGCGTTTCATATGCATATAAGATGTGGTCCCTGCTCTTAGGCAGCTTACGATCTTGCTGAGGAAATGAGCAAATGCAACCAAGTTAAATCCAACAAGAACTTGATTGTCTACATTGTGTGAAAGTAAAACTGGTCAATTTCATCTTCACACGCATGTGTGGGGTATTGAGCACTACATGGCGGACCTACGCAAGGCGTTGCAGGGAACTAGAGAGGGGACGCAGCCGATGCATGCTGGAACACAGCTGCAAAGGAGTTCTCAGTAAAGCGGAGGTGGGGAGTGGAGGAAGGAGGATGGGCTTTATCTGGAAAATTAGAGAAAGATTTGCACCAGGCTCAACAGTTGCCTAAAGAGTAATCACAAATGAGCAGGATTTGAGAAAATGATCAGCCAGTGAGCTAACAAGCCGATTTTCTAATTTGCCAAATTTTGCCTCAAACTTTTTTCCCATTAGAATAAGACACTTATGTATTTTTTTTGGCCAGGCGCCGTGGCTCACGCCTGTAATCCCAACACTTTGGGAGGCCAAGGCAGGTGGATCACCTGAGGTCAGGTGTTCGAGACCAGCCTGGCCAATGTGGTGAAACCCTGTTTCTACCAAAAATACGAAAATCAGCCAGGCATGGTGGCACACGCCTATAATCCCAGCTACTCGGGAGGCTGAGGCAAGCGAATCGCTTGAACCTGGGAAATGGATGTTGTGGTGAACTGAGATCACACCACTGTACCCCAGTCTGGGTAACAGACTGAGACCCTGTTTCAAAAAAAAAAAAAAAAAAAAAAAAAGAATGTGACATTTATACATTTTTTATTGCAGGAAAAATAGTAACTGTCTCTGTTCGTTTGATAGAAGGGTAATATATCACTTCTCAAATATATCTCTTTAAAATTTCATGTTTATTTATAAAATAGAAAACTGCTATTCTTATGTCCTCAATAGTTTTATATGAGGCATTTCTGTTTTGACATCCTTAAATTATAATATTTGTGTGCATATATCTGCTAACTATAATAATAGCATAATGAAATATCTCCTACTTGTTTACTATAAATAATAATTTCCTTGAAGTTAAGGACCATATTTTATACGTTATCATTTTTAATGGTGCCCTGGTATTAAATAAATGTATATCAAATTGAAATGACAATGGAAATAATAAGAATAATGACGATGAAAATAGCAGCTGGTAAATATTAGCCTGAAACAGCTGGATGAGATTATTTCCACTAAAAACTTGAGTAGATATTAACCTCCCTAAAAGTTTGATAGCCTCTAGGGTGACATGTGGAAGTCCAGGAGCAAGTTCCTAGAAGTATTGTTCTTGATAACATTATAAGTTTTTTGCACGGATGTGAGAATCCACCAAGGGAAGCAGAGTGGGGAACCTGGTGGGGAAGGAAAAGGGTCCAAGGCGTGAGATATGGGAAGCAGGCAGTGGTTCTTTCGGATTCTCTAAGGAGCACTGCGCTAACAAGACTAGACAAGATTAACGATCCCTAAGCAGAGGTTAAGTGTGCCGCTGACAGGCTCTGTCAGAAAAGCTGAGGGTAGGCTGGAGCGGGGATGTTGGAATGCATGTTCCATGCACTCTGATGACACTAAAGGAATTATGGTCGAACATGCAACATTGCTGAGGCCTGTTGACTAGGACCCGGATTATGACCCAGATGATTAGCGTTCAGTAGCTGGGCAAAGGAAGGGAGAACACCAGAAAAGACTCAGAGGAGATAGACTTCAAAATTAGCAAAGTGCATTCTTTCTTTGAAATAGTTTTAACAAGAACTACATCAATAATGCTATGAATGAAGGGAAGGCATACCATGGTTTTAGTTGTCACTAATGTTATAGCTTATCCCCTTTTCTTTACTGACCGGTTTGCATGGCTCAACAGTCTGTTTTTCTTTTCTGAGTTGAATGAATGGCTGACTGTCTGAACAAACCGACAAGAGAGTTAGTGTAATTTTTTCCATTGTCTTTACTGAGCACCAGACCATGCCAGTCTGCAGTGCTAGGTTTGGCAAAAAGTAGATTCACAATAAACACAGTTATATCACTATTCATATTTATCACTATTAGTTTTTTAGTACATGAGTTTGTAACTTATACTACTACTAGTATGTTTACTGTAAAGCATTTTGAAAATAAATAAAAGTAAAACATAAATAAAAGCAGAAAGGAAAAGAAATACAAATTCCCTATAATCCATCAGCCCAGAGATATCACTGCTCCTACTTGGAGGATCTTTTTGGAGGCATGTGTGTGTCTTTTTTCTTTCTTTAATAAAAAACACATAAAACAAATTTTTATTTTATTTATTTATTTATTTATTTATTTATTCATTCATTTATTTATTTATTTAGAGATGTAGTCTTGCTCTGTCGCCCAGGCTGGAATGCAGTGGCATGATCTCGGCTCACTGCAAGCTCCGCCTCCCGGGTTCTCGCCATTCTCCTGCCTCAGCCTCCCGAGTAGCTCATTCTACAGGCACCCGCCACCACGCCCAGCTAATTTTTTGTATTTTTAGTAGAGACGGGGTTTCACCGTGTTAGTCAGGATGGTCTCTATCTCCCGACCTTGTGATCCGCCCGCCTCAGCCTCCCAAAGTGCTGGGATTACAGGCGTGAGCCACCGTGCCCGGCCTAGGTTATATTATTTACTTAGATGGCTTCAAAGTCTGCTCTTATAGTCTTACGTTATAACTTCTAAGTTTTAGAATCTTGTCAGGTTCAGCAGAGCAACTGCCAAACCAAGAAAAATAGAGAATTGACCTCTCAGGGACTCAAGACAAATGTTTTGAGAAGCAAAGTCCTAGAGTCCCAGGGAGGCGGGAAGAGCCAAGTAAAATACTAGATTTAGGGAAAGAAAGAGTTTTCTTGTTAAATGAAAAGTGTTTTCTTTGCTAAGAATGGTGCTACTTCCTTACCTTTTTGGGTTTTCCCATTTCCTCTGGGCTTAGCTTAAATTCTATCATCTCAGAGAAAACTTAGCAGACAAGTCATTTCTGAATTGAGTTCTCGCCTTTAAACTCATAGCACCATGCCCAGGCCCAGCAGGCAGCTCAGCAGATCTCATCCATGTTTACTGGTGAAGAAGAAGGAAGGCACTGAAATTGACGTCTGCTGTGGTCGGAGGCTGCACTGCCTATTTTACATACGCTTGCTGTGGCCTGAATCTTTTTGTTCCCCGGAAATTTACACGTTGAAACCTAATTCCCAATGTGATGGTTTTCAGAGGTTGGGTTTCCTGAGGGAAGTGATCAGGCCATAATCGGGGAGCCCTCAGGAATGGGATAAGTGCTCTTATCAAACAGGCTCAAGGAAGCTCCTCTGTCCTTCGGCCATGTGAGGCTACAGTGAGAAGGTGCAGTCTATGGTGCAGCCAATGGACCCTTGCCAGACACTGAAACTGCTGGAGCCTCGACCTTAGACTTCTCAGCCTGCAGAACTGTAAAAAATACATTTCTGTTGTCCACCCAGTTTATGGTATTTTGTTCCAGCAAACTGAGCAGACTAAGACAACCCTAATGATATATCTGTGGAAAATATTTCATAAATAGGAAAATGAAAATTTAGCAATTATATCAGGAAGTAGCTACATTTTTGTGCCTTCTCTTAGCTGGACAAATAAATTCACTTATTCAAATAAACTATTTCATTGTTATCTCTTGTATTATTGTTTTTCAGTGGAATCCTTATGCCAGTTCTTAACTTCTCCTGTTAAGAGAAGTTAAGATGGGTCCACATCTGATTCCCATCTGCATTGCCCCTAATGGATTGAAAAGAAATGATAGGTATGACCATAGGGCTGCAGTTCAGGTGTTCCAATTATCCTTTAATGTTGTATAACAATTTGGCCTTTGAGTTTCTGCCTAGCTGTCGGAAAACATAACTTCATCATCCTAGGAGTCCCTTTCTTTCTTGATAGTCCCACCTCTTGGGTATAGGTCAAAATTTTAGGATCTTAAGAGGTGATAAATATCAGCTGCTCCTCTGGTCTTTCTCCCTATGGCAGAAGTCGCCATTGTCCTTATCTGCATGGTGCCTATGGTGCCCTTAGATTTGGTGGCCAGGGCTGGATACGAAACTTGCAGAGCCCTATGCAAAATAAAAATGTGGGCCCCTTGTTCAAAAAGCAGAAGACATGGGGCCACTAAGGGTCCTAAAACATAAAGCTTCTTTCTTCTGGTGTCTCCCTTTCATCTTTTTGTGGTGTTTTTTATTTGCCATTCAATATCTTTCTAAGTAAAGAAAAATAAAAAATCTAAACAAATAGTGTGAATTCTACCACTCATCTTTATATTGCGTAATACCAGTTTTAAATACAAACATAATAGCATTTAATTTGTATGTAGGATCACCAAAATTATACAATATGTATTTTGTAGTTTGTAGGTGCATATATATTTTGTTCTTACCAAAACAGTGAAAGCTCCACACAAAAGTCACTCAAGTGTTTTTATATCACTCGTGATGCATCCACCTCTACCAATATCCTCTCCCTTTGGCTTACTGATGAGGAAGAAGGAAAGGAAGTGTGGGTTGCCTTATTTTTCCCTTTCCTTGTATGTCATCGTTTTCTGTAAAAGTGGATGTAAGGGAAGTAATCTGAGTAAGAAAGGAAATAATTGGGTTCTTTAATTGTTTGTGTTTCTTAGTACACTATTGCCTCTTTTTTTGTTTTTAAAACAAGCTCTGGTTCAGTCAGAAAGTATGATATCTCTGGGCCACAGGCCTCTTGCTGACTCAGCAGTGGACCTAACAGGCTTACCTGGTGTCACCGTGAGTCTCCCTGACCTCCCAGGCATTGTGGAGCCCCCAACATTCTGTCTTTACGGGGCATTATGGGCTCTGTATGTAAATGGGTCCCAGGAAGCACCTTGTGGATAGACACATTGTGAGTATCATTGTGGGACAGGCACATCTCCACTGTCCCATCAGATTTTACTTACAAAGCACAAATTCAAAGATAGAAACATTAAGAATTCCAAGATGGCGCCACCAGAGCATCAGCCAAGCGTGGCCCCTTCCAAGTGCAGAGCTTGTGTGGCTGCACAGACCACACACCCTCTGAGCTGGCCCTGCCAGCAGCTTTCTGCCACGCTAGGGTGCAGAAATTTTTGTGAAACTTCCCTTGATCCTGTCTTGCCTTGGGTAAGCTGTGCTGGCAGAAACAGCATCAGAATGCCCCTGCTCTGGGATCCACGGATGTCTCTTTTTTTCTGCCTATGGTGGCCATGAGAAAGACCTCTCAGATCTCCAGCTGCAGACAGCATGATTGACCGGGGGCCTTGCTGCTGCTATAGTTGGAGGTCCTGCAGCCCTGCCTCCCATGGGCAGCTCCCGGGCAACGAAGCAGCAGGAATACTGCAGGAGATCTGCTCCTGGGGACTTGGGATTCACTGACACTGTCACCAGGCACTGTGGCCTCCTTGTGCCAAGAAGAGTCACCAGATGGCAGGGAGAGTTGACCTGGACCAGCAGGACAGGGTAGGATTGTTTTTATACATTGTGAGCAGGGAGTAAACTTAGACCCATGTAACTGTGAGCAGACATGCACAGCAACTCTAAATGAAAATGGGTGGGATGGCTAAGGGCTCAATGTTTTGGGTGGCACTGCCAGGTAGGTAAGCCACTGAGACCTTGTGAGGTGAGAGCTGAGTGGGAGAGGAATTTCGAAAGAATAGAGAAGGGTGAGGAGGAGTCCCAGTGTGGAGTTGAAACCACCTGCAGTGACAGAGGCTGGAGTTTGTCCCACTCACCTCCCTCTTCCTAGTTTGCCCTCAGAGGCCTTGCTCTTGTGAGTCCCCATTTGATCCTCCTTTTCTTATCTCTGGATAAGGGTCATGGCCAAGATGCCTGTGGCAAGTCCCGTGATATGGTTTGGCTGTGTCCCCACCCAAATCTCATGTCAAATTGTAATTCCCAGTGTTGGAGGAGGGACCTGGTAGGAGGTGATTGGACCATGGGGGTGGATTTCCCTCTTGCTGTTCTCATGCTAGTGAGTGAGTTCTCATGAGATCAGGTTGTTTAAAAAATGTGTAGCAACTCCCCCTTCTCTCTCTCTCTCTCCTGTCACCATGTGAAGAAGGCACTTGCTTCCCCTTTGCCTTCCACCATGACTGTAAGTTTCCTGAGGCCTCCCCAGCCATGTCCTCTGTATAGCCTGCAGAACCGTGAGTCGATTAAACCTCTTTTCTTTATAAACTACCCAGTCTCGGGTAGATCTTTATAGCAATGTGAGAATGGATTACATTTATTTACATTCCGGGCTTGAAATTCTCTGGCTGCAGTTGTGTTATGGAAAGAGTTTTTGCTGTACCTCACTCAGTCACATCCTCCTTCCTCACTGGAGTTCTGTTGTTTTTGGATTTCACTTGTTGGAATGACATAGCCTCTTTTTCGGAAGATTAAAACTGCAGATAAGTAAATGAGGTGTATTTGCCTATCTACCTTTTCCTTCCTTTCTACCTTCTCCTGTCTCCATCTAAGCTACAGTCTTCATTGCCCACACCCTCAGAGTTGTCTGATGACACCTTCCATTCCTGTAATTTCAAGTACTCTCTCTATGTCTCATGCTCAGCAGCGTCTAAATATGGGCAATATGTCCTGCATCTTATAAAACCCTTGCTCGGCCTCACCCTATTCCAGCTACTACCCTTGTGCTTACCTTCCCTTCATGCTCAAACCTCTAAAAGCATTGTCCATACTCCCTTCTCTCTCTCACTCTACACACACATGCAGGCACGTAGACACACACACACACACACACACACACACACAAATAAATAAACCACATGTATGTAACACAAAAGGTTCGAATGGTGCACAGGAATTCAGTGAAAAGTGAGTGCTTCCCCCAGTATAGGCCACTAGACTCTCAGCTGCCTTCCTAAGTGAAACCACCGATATGAATTTTTTTTGTATATTTCCCAATATATACAAGTATATATATAGTGTGTGTGTGTATATGTATATATAATATATATATACATATATATAGTTTCTTTCTATATATATTATATATTGTTTTCATTTTGGGATATGTTTAAGAGAAACTGTTTCATTTCTGTGTGAATAGAACTTCTCCATTCTTTTTCATGACTGCATATTATTCCATCATAGAAATGAGCTACAATATACTTCACAAGTTAAGTATTGAGAGGCATTTCATTTATCTCTAGTCTTGTTTTATTATGATAATACTGCAATTTATCTCCGTGTGTGTGCATTTGTGTGTGTATGTGTGTGCAATTATATATCAAGGATAAATTACGAAGAATAAAGTTGCTGGATCAAAGAATACATGCATATAGAGTTGACGCATATTATGAAGTTACCAGTTTCTTCTGTTTCTTTGTTACTGCAATAGAGAAAGTGATTATTTTCCCTGTACCATTACTAGTAAAAATTCACCTTTTTCAACTTTTGCTACTCTGACAAGCAAAAAATTGTATCATATTTTGTTGTTAATTTGTCTGTCTCTTATTATAAATAACACTGAATATCTTTTAAAATGTTTAAGAGCCATTTGTGCTTGTGCGAGTGTGTGTGTGCAAGTCTGTGTGTGCACCTGCCTATCTTGTTCTTTGCCTATTTTTTTTATTGAGTTGTTTGACTTTTTTGACTACTTTAAAGTGTCTTTATAGTTTAAGAAAATCAGTACTTTTTAATTTTCCAAGCGTGTATTTTATCTTTTGATTTTGTTTAGTGTGATCTTGTCCGCAGAAATATTTTTATATGACCTACTTTATCAAACTTTTCTTTATGGTTTCTGTTTCTGTTCCTGTTCTGAACTTTGAGATGTCCTTCTCATTATTTTAATGGATATTTGATATAATCAGATTTTCATCTTGAAAAGATTATTCTAGTTACAGTTTAAAAATTAGATGAGGTGATAACAATTAGAAGGCAATTGTAGAAGTTCATGTGAGTGAAATTAACAGCCAAGCTTATGATGATGGCAGTGAAAGTGGAAAAACAGGGATGAATTCAAGATCCATTTAGGAGGCAAAATAGACAGGCAGTAGATTGGATATGGGAGAAGGTTTTTTTGTTGTTGTTTGAGCAAGTATTTAGAGGATATCATTTACTGAGCTAATATTACTTTTTGTGTGGGGGATCATGAGTGTGGTGTAATACACATTTTCTTTAGGTGGATTTGAGATTTCCTAAGGAAGCCATTGAGTACAACATCTCAGACTGTGTACCGGGGGATGCATGCATGAGGAGTGGCGAAATAGTCATGGGCATTTGATGGCATGGGCCCAGATGAGATTTCTTATGAAGACAACATGAAGAGAGCTGGGAGCCAGGAAGGCCTTTGAAGAGGTCCAGCCTTTCCTTGATGAGTATAAGAAGGTGATGCCGCTGAAGGCAGGGCTCATGAGCAAGCCCTGGATGCTGCCTGGCTTCCGGATGTATGATGGGACGGACCTCGAGCAGAGTGGGGCTGCGGGGTCACCCGGCCGGCTGGGCACAGGCGAGTATCTGCGAAGGTCGCTGCGGAGAATTCACTGGGCTGGGCTGCTTTGTCTCCCAGGGAACTCTGGGACCCCCATATTTTGCTTTGTATGGTTTTCTTTCTGCCTTTGTTACCATTTCCACATTATGAGAGGAGATTCAAGAAACAGATTTCTCTAACTATGCCCCAACATTGACACCAAGTGTTTTCTCTCCACGTTGACTCGTTAGTGATGCAAAAAGATTTCTTCAAGAGAAATATGCTACATTCTTTCCAGGCAAGATGGCAGAATATATTAAAGAAACCACATTTGTACCTCAAAATCAGGAGATGAAAAACATGGGAAAAGGGTTTTTCAGCAGTTCTACCTAAATGCCTGTTACCATCTGCCTTGTTATTAGTGTGGTGTCATAGAAACAGCTTGGATTTTAAAAGTATATGGACCTTGGTTCAAATCCCAGCACTGTCTCCTGCTGCAGCTGTGGCTCTGAACGAATGGCTTAACCTTTTTAAACTTCAGTTTTCTCATCTACGAGGTGAGGATAATTGTGTTATTTCCCAAAATTGAATCAAATGAGATGGCACGGATGAGGGCCAGGCAGAGACTCTGTCACACAGCAGGTGCTTAATGATCTCTGGTGAGTCCCTTTCTTCTCCATCCACAGCCCGGATCTTTAGCAAGCTCGTTCAGTTCTGTGCAAGTATAGTGCGTTTTTCCTCCTGTCAAAAAAAAAAAAAAAAAAAAAAAAAAAAAAAACAGCAAAATCCTCTGAATTTCATTCTAAGCAACAAAGGAGTTTTCAGGTAAAAAGGTCCATTTGTATTCTAACTAACATTGCCACTGGTTTCTGGGTAACTGTAGTTGGTGAACAAAATAGTTACAGAGAAGGTAGAGGACAGGATCCATGGTCTTGCAAATTCATCTGTTCAGAGCAAGAAGACAGCCAGTGAGAAGTGTGGTGGCAAAGGGATATGATGATTAGAGAAAAGTGTAGCCTAATTTGAAGCCTAGAGGCTGGAACTAGGGCTTCTTATGGCATTACAGTCACAATCTATTCATCTTTTGAGAGGCTTAAAAAAATCCCTTGTTGACATCACCTAAGCCGCCCCATACAGGAAAGATTGTGACATTTCTGAACCAAAGACTAATTTATGTACATCTCATTTTAAAGCACCTGGGCACGATATTCCACCTGACGCAAACATTCAAAGCTTACCATGTTTTGAGAGAGAAGAGCACACCTGTGTCGACAGGTGGAACTGTCCTGGCACCGGGCCAGTGTGCTCGCACCGTGTTCAAATCTCTGGCACTTGTTTGCTGGTGCATCGGGCCGTACAAGGTATTTGCCTTCTCTCGCCCTCAGAATCCTCACCTTTAAAACGACAATATAATGTGCCCTTTGACCTCTATGATCCTTTGCAGTCTGGCAAACTATGACACAAAAGGCCTGGAGATCTTTGTAACTTCACCGGGGCTGATATTGGTATTACAATCCCAGGAAGGACTCCATCTCTCATATGAGCAAATTTTACACTTTTATTATCTGCATCTCATTGTGCAGCAAAGCATGTATCATTGGTTAATTAATGCTGCCAGCATGGCACTCTGCTAAACGATTGTTTAGCCTAGAGTGGAATAAAATGCTACAGTGACCAGTACTGTAGCATTATGTAACACAAAATTAAAAATCTGATAATTTGATTGGAAGTCTCAGGTGAGTTTTTTGTATAAAAATGTTAACCTCAAGTAGCTATAAGCAGGTAAATGTTTTATTCATCCCACTGATATGAAATAAATGCTTATGATATAAATTATGTATAATTAATGCTCCTGGGATAAAAAAATGTATGCTAATAGGTTGTCAGTTAATTAAGAAAGGAATATGAGGTAAACAAAGGTGATTATAATTTATCTTGGGACCATAAACAGAAATCGTGCCTTAAATAATCTCTTTGAAAAAATACATTATACAGCAAATCCTTCATTTTCCTCCAGAGCGGCCGCCTAATGGTATAGAGCAAGTGTTCAGTGGCGATGTTAAACGAGGAAACAGCTAAGGAGAGCAGAGCAGGCTGCGGGCTTACTAACAACAGCTCAGCTGAGGTGGTCTCGTATGAGCAGTCCTGGTCTCCTTAGGAACATTTTCCGAAATACAGTTTTTTGGAAGCTAGAAGCTACATTACAAGAGAGGGGAAAATGCATTAACTGATGAAAACTTGAAAAAGTGTGCCTATACTAAAGGCAGTCTTCGGCATTCTGGCTAATTTCATCTGCTTTGAAACTGCCCATCAGATGAACTACACTTCCCTGTATGTGGCTGGGGAAAGTCACAGTGATGGCAGACAGGGACCAGGAAAAGGTATCCTCTGAGTATTTCCGAGCTCACTTGGCTATACATGTATTCATTCACTCATTCATTCATTCAACAAACATTTCTTAACTACATAGCGTGCTCAGCATGGAGGATAGAAACGTGCTGTGGGTATTGCCATCTCGTCTCTTTTCTCCTCTCGCATGGTCGTCTTCATTGATCTATGGGATCTGGGTATTCAGGCGAAAATATCCAGCTAAGAGATGGATATAGAAGCTTAAAGGTCTGGGGGGAAAATAAAGGCTTAGGTTATTTGAGCTGTGTGAGCAGGGGACAGAGGGGAGTGGCCAGGGATGATGAGCATTCAGGGGCAGGAAGTGGCGAAGTCCAGCAGGGAAAGGCACTCCACTCCAATCATCTGGTCAGAAGGGCACTTAGAGGAGCCTCTGGAAAGGCAGAGTCACCCACTGTGTCACTGCAGCAGAGAGGGTGAGCCAGGAAAAAAAAATAACAAGTTTCAGGTAGATTTTGAAATTACGCAAGTTTGGTGGAAGCAGATACAGCAAAGTGGAGGGTGCAGGCTCCACCACACCCACTCAAAAGGGTGTCCAGAAGCAGGCAGAAGATCACGGTGGCCTCGCCAGAGACTAGTTTAGATGAGAAGTTAGTAGGGGAGAGGTTTTGGATGGTAAGCCAACATAGCAGGAGTCAGTTTGGAGGGTAATTCAGGCTCAAGACCGAGACATGAAAAAGTGGCTCAGTTTGGGGGATTGAAGAGATGCACTTTTTTGTAAACTGCTTGAAAGAGTCCTTAAAGGAAGATGGGAGGATTGAGGGCATGGAGAATGGTTCTGTATGAAGAACCCAAGGCCATCCTCTGCCCCTGAGGCAGGAGAAAAGGGATGAGGATGGTGAGGCATATGGGCAGAAGGGCTGGGATGGCCTATTGGCTTCAGCTTCTTCTAAAGTAGAAGTTCAAGATCGAATGCTGGAACAGATGAAGGAGGTCCAGTGAGGAACTACAATCTTGGTGAATATTGAGAATTGTCATCAAGAGAAACAAGAGAGTAAATTCACCAGGGACGAGAAAAAGCCAAATTGCCTCCTTCAAAGTGCCGTTTCCTTCCATCTGCAGTTCATTCTTTCTGTTATGCAGAGGAGATGGGGGACTGCCAGGAGATGGAGGACTCTGTGAGATGGGGGACTCTGTGAGGAGATGGGGGACTCTGTGAGATGGGAGACTTTGTGAGGAGATGGGGGACTCTGTGAGGAGATGGGGGACTCTGTGAGGAGATGGAGGACTCCGTGAGATGGGGGACTCTGTGAGGAGATGGAGGACTGTGTGAGGAGATGGAGGACCCTGTGAGGAGATGGAGGACTTTGTGAGATGGGGGACTCTGTGAGGAGATGGAGGACTCTGTGAGGAGATGGAAGACTCTGTGAGATGGGGGACTCTGTGAGGAGATGGAGGACTCTGTGAGGAGATGGAGGACCCTGTGAGGAGATGGAGGACTCTGTGAGATGGGAGACTCTGTGAGGAGATGGAGGACTGTGTGAGGAGATGGAGGACTCTGTGAGATGGGGGACTCTGTGGGATGGAGGACTCTGTGAAATGGGGGACTCTGTGGGATGGAGGACTCTGTGAGATGGAGGACTCTGTGAGATGGGGGACCCTGTGAGTAGATGGAGGACTGTGAGATGGAAGACTCTGTGGGATGGGGAACTCTGTGAGATGGGGGACTCTGTGAGGAGATGGAGGACTCTGTGAGATGGAGGACTCCTCTTCCTGCGAGGAGGACTTTCCATCTTCCTTTCTTTTATGCAGAGGAGATGGAGGCCCCTGAAGGGAAATTCTCTTCTTTGGTATTCCACATACTCCTTGAGGTGGGGGTTTAAAATGCTCATTTTACCAAACCCTCTCCTACAGCTTTATGAGACATTAAATGTTCTCCATTTTTACCAAATGAGAAAATAACATTTTATCTGATTCTAGAGATTCGCAATCTCCAATTTAACAGGATGAAAAGAAGAGAAGACATTTCTGTAGATGAGACCCTGACAGGCAACTGCCAGCCCCACAGGCTGTTCTCATCCCTGCCCAGTACCAGGGATGTGAGAAAGTTCTTCCTACAAAAGATGGGAAGAGCTGCTTAGAATTGGCAGATCCTGCATCTCTTATGTACTTTGATGAGGGTTGTTACAAAGCACCACAAATGCATGAGGGACCCTACACAGTGGGGGCAGAAATCCCATCAGCATTGATCTCTGCCTCATTCAGACAGACAGAACTCCCAGCACTTTCGTGTCACTGTGGATAGGGGCGTCAGTTTGAGTGACTCAGTATTTACAAACTGAGAAGGGATTCTGAGTTACAGATGAAAAATCGTGCCATTCTTTGGTGAAGTGGGAAATCTGCATAGAATCAATAGATTCTGTCCAAGAGTCAAGTTTGACCCTGACAGGAGCTGGGCGACTGAACAAATTAGCTACCTTCAATTTCCCAATCCGTGCAACAGGAATTCCAATTCCTGCTTCCCAGGACAGTGTCAGGTTATCAAAAAGTCACCAACATATTGTCTGTCACCTAATAAACAGTAGTGCTATTTTCACTGTAGTTGAAGATATTTGTCATTGTTGTCATAATTATCACCACCATCTTCATAACCATGGCCCTGAAACCTATTAACTATAAATTTTAAATAATTTACTCTGTCAGTCAGGAAAATAGAAGACACTCCAGGTATCCCCAGGCTGAATTTTTTTAATGTAACATTTTAATTAAAGTATAAAATTTATTTAAAAGTGCACAAATATTAACAGTGAATTTCAATGAAATTTTACAAACTGAACATGCCATGTAACAAGAATCCAGACTAAGGAGTTCGACATTAACAAGAAGTCCCCCTCCTTCTAATCATTACCTCCCAAAAAGTAACCACTATTTTGAGTTCTAAAGCCATGGATTTTTTTTTTTTCTGATTTTTAAAACTTTATGTAAATGGGATTATCCAGCATGTATTCTTTTGTATCCAGGCTATTTTGATTGTGAGTCATCAAAATTATGATTTGTTGGGAAAATGTATAGTTATTTCATTTTCGTTGCTTTATAGTGGCACATGTATGAATACATCACAGCCTATCTATTCTATGGATTGATCGATGGGTTGTGATATGAACTACTCAAATATTGCTGCTATAAATAGTCGTATGTCTTTTGTAAACATGTGTGTACATTTCTATTAATATACATGTAGAGGTAGAATTGCTAGGATGTAGGAGGGATGGATGTTCAGTTTGAGTAGATAATTTCAGTTTTCCAGTGTTTTCCAATGACATACAAGCATAGTTGTACCAACTTACTCTTAAAAGTAGGTGAGTTCCAGTTGCTCCAAACACAATACTTTGTCTGTCTGTCATTTAAATTATAGACTTTCTCTTGTGTATATCGTGGTTTTAATTTGCATTTATCTAATAGTTACTTAATTTGAGAAGTTTTTAACATGCTTTCATCCACTTAGATATTCTTTTTGAGGTACCTACTTCGAGACGTCTGTCTTTTTTATTGATTTGTGTAAATTTTTATATATTCTGGGTAGTCTTCTCAGATATGTGTTGTGCAAATATCCTTTCTTATTCTGTGGCTTGACTTTTCCTAATGGTGTCTTTTGATATGCAGAGAATACTAAATTTCTAAATTTATTGGAGTTCTATTTATCATTTTGTGTGTTATGACTAGCAATTTTTTGTGTCTTGTATAAGGTCTGCCTACCCCAAGGTTATGAAGATGCTTTTGTATGTTTTCTTTAAAACATTATTGTTTTACTTTTCACATGTAGATCTGAACTGTCCGGATTTTGTTTTTATGAGGGAGGGGTCAGGATTTATCCTCCACCTCAACTCTGTGTATCTAACTGACCCAGCACCATGCATTAAAAAGATGACTCTTTCGTCATGGGAAGATTTTAATGCAAGGAAATAAAACCTAGCAAAATTTTGGAAAAGCCAGGGAACAAAGGACAGTGAAGTTATTGCTAAAGTTTTCAGCTTGCAACACTACAGCAGGAGCTGTGGAGGAGCTTGCCTGGGAGCTGCTGAGACCATCCCATCTGCTTCCTCCCCACACTGGTCTATGAGTCACCTGTGCTTCTTCCCGCCACAGCTGCTGGAGAACGTGGCCTCCTAACATGGCCTCCTTCCTTTTCATGGAAGCCTATGGGGAAGGGATTCTAAGAAATGCCGTCCTAGGCTTTGTCTCTGAGACAAAGTGGTAGAGAAGACTCCAGGAGGTGGAATTGATGCCAAAGTGCAAACATAGTTCGCAGAGTCACTGAACATTCTTGCACCTGTGATGCAGAAATTAATTTTGAAGTTGGGTTAGATGGTCTCTAAGAACTTTGTATCTCCAACATTCATTCAAACATTAGATATTATAAATGCTCTCTTAATGAATTTTATTCATTCACCGAGGTATTGAACTAGGCCAAAAATATAAAAAGAAAAAGAAGGAAAAGCACTTTTATCAGAGGCACTTCGAATACCACTGAAATAGGAGCAGGCAAACAGATGACACAGTGCAGGAAAATAGTGGCTATGGCTGTAAGAATATACAGTGCAGCAGGTTATAGGCAAAGGTGTACCCAGACCACCTGAGGGACACTCCTGCAGTGTTACTGGAAAGCTGTGTAGAATCCTGCCTGGAGGAGCAGAGCAGGAATTGGGAGCCCCAGAGAAAGAACAGCAGGTGTACCCAGGGATGCCATTGTAGTACCTGGGAAAATGTAAACTCAAGCTTTGTTTTCTTTTATCTTGAATTTCTTGAGGAAAACCACAGGTGCCTTCAAGGAAACAGATGGAAGTTGTAATCTGTTTTGTGTAACCAAAGCGTTAGGCAGTGTTTGTATGGCATTGGGCAAGTTACTTCCTCTCTGTGCTATGATCTCTTCTCTCAGTTAATCTCCAGGAAGAATCTCCAGGATTCTTCCTGCATCTTGCAGTTTGGGCCCTGGAGGTTTCTTGAGTTTGTTCTTCCTCTGCACTTTATTTGCAATTGCAAAAATTCAGGCATGCCGGGCTTACAAGTTAGAGACAAATGGCATCTAAACTGGCTTTCTCTTCTCTACAGGTTTCTTTCCAGAATCTTTGGACAATAGGTGGAGTGATGGCAGAAAGGGGAAGAATGGACGTGGTGGGTATCAGCCAATCACAGCATATTCAATGATTCCACATGGATTGGAGAGTGTTGAATCATGAGGAGGCTGGCAAAAGGGCCCTCTCCTCATGAGGTCTGGTTAATATCAGGAATTATTGCCTCAAACGCTGCAGGTGTGGATCGATCTCTTTCAGTCCCAGTAAATGGGGCTGCAACTGCCTTTGACAACCTCAAAGCTGCACAGTGCTCATGCCCTGGGGCAGACAATGATGTGGGGGAGTTGCTGATTTTAGGATAGAAAATTACAATGCTTATATAGTAAACAGCACCTGGAAGTTTACTAATGATTTTTACAATTAACAGCAGCAGTGCGGTCTGATTATTCATGCGTGCTTTCTGTGAAAGAAAAGAAAGGAAGCAGATGTTGAAAAAAGTCACATGGCTTAGATTTTATTGGGAGGGGAGATGCGGTGGTGAAAGAAGGGTGTATGAGTAGGAGCAGGAGGAAGGAAAGAGTGTGAGGTAGAGAATTCTGTTATTTTCTTCGGGCTATAATATGCAAATTATGCTCTTTCAAATTTCAAAATTAACCTCAAGGCATGTTCTATATCATAAGAACTCTTTTCTACAGCAGGTATGTTTAAAAGCTTATGTATTTTGCAGTAGCTAGGCAATTTCATAAGTGCATTAGGTATCAATAAAACATATATGATTGGGCATTTTAAAAGTCTTTCTTTTTCTTTTTCTTTTTTTTTTTGAAGCAGAGTCTTGCTCTGTTGCCCACGCTGGAGTGCAGTGATGCAGTCTCGGCTCACTGTAACCTACACCTGCCGGGTTCAAGAGATTTTTGTGCCTCAGCCTCCTGAGTAGCTGGGACTACAGGCGCCAGCCACCACATGCGGTTTTGTTTGTTTGTTTGTTTGTTGTTTGTATTTTTAATAGAGATGGGGTTTTGCCATGATGGCCAGGCTGGTCTTGAACTCCTGGCCTCAAGTGATCCACCTGCCCCAGCCTCCCAAAGGACTGGAATTACAGGCATGAGCCACTATGCCCAGCAGTTCCATGTAGTCTTTAAATGTACCAACATTTTCTTGGTTGTTGAAAAATCTAGCATTTTTTACATACAGTAATTAACCAATTATTGATGGGGAATTTGTATTATTTTAGATACAAGAAATGTGCTTGAATAGACTTTTGCTTCTGTTAAATTTCTCGTTAGGTAAAATTCCAAATGATGGGATCACCTGGTCACAGGAAAAGAGCAACAACAATCAAAGAAGGCTCTGGTTTCTTGTTATGCTATTGGACTGGAAAGTGCTCTCAGGAGCTGGTGCATGCTAAATTCAGCCCAGTCTCACCAATATCAGAGTGGGGGGGTCTCTGTGTGTTCACGTGCACATACACGTGTGCATGCAAATTTTTCTATCTATGCCTAGTATCACAAGATGGTTTTAAATCTATTATTTATTAGATTATTGGCCAAGAAAATTTTTTGTTTTTAAATTTATTGAATTTTCTCCCGTGTATAAAGGGACCTTTCATATTTGCCTCATTTATCTACCATTTGAATCTTAACATTTTATTGAAAATTTCCTGAGGCAGTAAATTCTACGAGGGCAAAGATGTATCTATATACACACAGAGATGAAGAGTGACTTGCCCCTCTTTTCGTCTCTCTCTCTTTCCCTCCCTTTATTCATTCTTTCTCTCTCTTTTTCTTCCTCCCTCCCTCCCTTCCTTCTCTCCTTTCTCTTTCTTCTTTCTTTTCTTTCTCCTTCCTTTCTTCCTTCCTTCCTCGCTTCCTCTTTTCTTCTTTGCTTCCTTCCTTTCCTTTTCTCTCTGCCTCTTTCTCCTTCTCCTCCTTTCTCTCTTTCTCTTCACTCTCCGCCTCTTTCTTCAATGTTTTCTGTTGCTGAGGACCTCAGTGGACAACAATGGCTGTATCTGAGATTCCTAATTAACAAACCAATATGGTTAAATTTTTCTTTAAATCTAGGTTCAACCTGGATCAGAAGCCAAGACCAATGCCGCACTTGGAAGGGACGACCAATAGTTCTGTGTTCCTGACCTGTCTTACAGTCTTTCGCTTCTATCCGCAGTGGACCATTTGGCTGATCACGTCACTCTACAGCTGTTCTGCCACATTTGAGCACCCACATTAAAGACAAAAGTATGTATGAGAAATAGAGCCACTCAGAGCCTGTCTGCTACACACAATTTCAGCACGAGGGCAAACAGCATGGTGACAATGGCTAATCACTGCCATTTACCTTTATGTCTTCCTTAACAGTTGAGACACATTAAGTCAGTGTTTACCTACGTGCTGTACCTCAGACTTGTCACCAAGAAAGCTCAGTGGAGATTTTGTAGGTAAAGAGAGAAAATAATGTCTTGTATGTCTTTAGCAACATGCACACAATGCTTCTTAGTACTGTGGGCAGTCAAATGCATCTGGGAGTCTCAGTTCTTCATCTACAGGTTATGGAAGGTATAAAACACCTCACAAAATTCTTAGGTAGTTAGTTGTGAAAATGTGTGCAAAGCACTCACCACAGTGCTGATCACACGTGCATGTCTCGGTGACCATTAGTTCTCTGTCCCTTTCTTCATGGACAGAAGGCAAGTGCAGATCTTGCACATTATGAAGTAGTAGAGTACTTCCCTTTTTTTTTTTTTTTTTGAGATAGAGTCTTGCCCTGTCACCCAGGCTGGAGTGCAGTGGCACGATCTCAGCTCACTGCAACCTCCACCTCCCGGGTTCAAGGGATTCTCCTGTCTCAGCCTCCTGAGTAGATGGATTCTCCTGCCTCAGCCTCCTGAGTAGCTGGGATTACAGGCACACGCCACCAGGCCCGGCTAATTTTTGTACTTTTAGTAGTGATGGGGTTTCACCATGTTGGTCAGGCTGGTCTCGAACTCCTGACATCAAGATCTGCCAGCCTCGGCCTCCCAAAGTGCTGGGATTACAGGCATGAGCCACCGCACCCAGCCAGTAGTAGAGTTCTTAAACATCCCCTAAGGCTCTAAACACAGGCTCTACTAAGTTCTACTTCACCTACTGAATTTCCCAGCTGATGGGAGAAGCCCTGTCTTTGTTCATTCAGAGGAGTTAACATCTGGATATTCATAGGCACATACATACTTTTATCCTCCCCAAAATGTCAAAGCTTATACAAATACAAAGATGATAATTAGAAATTGGTCTCCAGCCTTTTTGGACTTGGCTTCTCACTTGAGATAGAATCAGAAGATTCTGGAGATATTTTCTAATTTACATGAAATGCCTTTCTTATTT
The DNA here is from genome assembly GCF_000001405.40 of Homo sapiens. Classification (NCBI taxonomy): domain Eukaryota; kingdom Metazoa; phylum Chordata; class Mammalia; order Primates; family Hominidae; genus Homo; species Homo sapiens. Next base: position 7,896,483 of record NC_000002.12, on the reverse strand, counting down.
TCACTGTCCTCAATCCTGTAGGTTATAAATCTAGGCACTTCCTGTAGAGAAATGCATTGACCTCTTCTAGCAGGCTTCCAAAGTGAGCATTCATTTCTGACTAATCCATATATACTAAGTTTCCCTGGGTTTTACCAGATTATCAAGAACACAGGGACAGTATGCGCAAACAAAGAGACCAGCTGATAGCATGATAGGACATTTTCTATTTGGTTCAAATTGGCTTGTTAAACCCTGCTTCAGTCTTATCAGGTAATGGACAGTGCTTACTTCTGAGCTGACAAACAAAATGCTTCTCTTTAATCTCTCAGGTTGGGGAGATAATGAAGAGGCAAGACAGCAATATGGGATTGGCTGGAAAGATGACAGACTGCATATGCACATCAAATAAATTCCAAACGCAGCCATCTATTCCCAAGGTATCTTAACTCCACCAGATATCTCACTGCTGTCTGTCAATGATTACGCTGTCTAGTTTTAATATTGAAAGCAAGTTTTCACCTTCAGCAAAGCCATGCAATGTGACCAGCATGTGATCTAAGAATTCAAGCCTGTACCAGCTGTTCTCTAAACACTGAGTCCCACCAACCATGGCAGGAAGAGTGGGCCTTGGGTTGATATGGCTGCCAGCTCACCAATCCCTCCAAATGTTCCTCATGTGACCTCTTTTTAGGAATCTCTATTCCAGGCCCTTCATTCTGACCATCACCACCTGCATCTTGTATCCTGGATTCTTTTAAGAATTTTAAATAGTGCACTAGAGGTTGTAGAAGAGATACTTAAGATATGGGTGTCTTTACTCTATTCTTAAGAGGCCGTTCATGATACATGGAGGTCAATGACATCAGAATCTTATAAACCTGACATAAAGATTGTAGGGAGCCCTTAGCAGGAGAGAAGATCATTGAGTGCCCATGGCTGCAGCAGAAGGTAGAAGAGGAACTGGATAGCAGCCTGGAGCCAGAGAGAATCATCACCCACAGCCAGGGAGGCGTGGACTTGTTTTGCATTGGTTGTTTAGTTTTGCTTTTATTCTCCTGCTTCCCTGAATGGATCTCTGTCAGTGCTTTAACATCAACAGAGTAAGAATAAAACATGGGTCAGCCCTGTCTCGCCCAAGGTGGGTGGGTGATGTTAATTTGGAACTAGACCACAGCATGGGTGGAGTCCTCAGCAAATGGTACAGCAGACTTGGCCAGCCTGACAGAGCCCCTGAGCCCCACCTCCACCAAGTGGGACATGTAATGACAGAGAGGTTGATAACCATGGGGACAGAGCAGCGCCTGGAAAGGAAATCCTAGAAAGTTCTATGGTGGGGAGAAGGCAGTAAGGAGAGTCCAGACCCTAGAATGTAACACAGGGAACTCTGTTCCCTGGAACAGCCCCAAATTTTCCTGAAGGAAAATAAACTAAAGGCATGCTTTTACTCCATCATCCAGCACACATTGTAAACAAAGCAGCTAGTAGTCCCATGAGAATAAAAGATGATCTCACAAGAAATCCCTCTGGCCAAAGCATTATGAGAACCATCGAATAAACAGAAATATCAATACTTGAGGAATCAAAACTAACAGAATGATATAGAATAAGAATATAAAATATGTATATTGTCTTCTGAAGGTTCACTGAAAAATCATCTTGCAAAATGCAGGTTAATTGGAGATAAGACATACAAATTTACTTAATGTATATACACAGTAGCCTTCAGAATGAAGATGCAAAGATATAGAGGAAATTTGTTTTTATGCTTAGGTTCAACAAAGTATGAACAGCTGTATAGAAATATGATTGGACCAAAAGTATATGATCTAATGCTAATAGGCAGAGTGGGGACACCCAGCAAGCCCTATCTGGACTCTTCTTAGCCTCTCTGAGCCTGCATTCTTTCCTTCTGAGTATTGGGCAGGACCCTCTCTGGAATGGGGTGGTATTAGCCCATTCTCACACGGCTATGAAGAAATAGCTGAGACTGGGTAACTTATAAAGAGGTTTAATTGACTCAGAGTTCCACATGGCTGGGGAGGCCTCAGGAAACTTACAATCATGGCAGAAGGCACCTCTTCACAGGGTGGCAGGAGAGAGAATGAGTCCTGAGAGAAAGGGGAAGCCCCTTATAAAACCATCATATCTCGTGGGAAATCACTCACTATCATGAGAATAGCATGGAGGAAACTGACCCCATGATTCAATTATCTCCATCTGGTCCTGCCCTTGACATGAGGGGATTATTACAATGCAAGGAGAGATTTGGGTGGGGACACAGAGTCAAACCATATTAGGGGTCTTATGATCTACAGTCAAACAAGGTAGGTCAGATAATTTCTCTATGGCCAGTTTTTACACAAAAAAGCAGAGACAACACTTATGTAATATTTCCAGGTTTTATGATTGGCTTAGGGACAGTGGGACTTTGGTTTCTATGACCCACCTTGGGAAAGAGAGATTTTCATTTCTATGGCTGGCTAAAGACTGAGAGACAGAAGGTCAGGAGAAAGAGAAAAACTTTCACTGCTCAGCGGCCTTCTTTTTGGAGTGTCGTTTTTCTGAGCTCTAAATGTGTGTGTGTGTGTGTATATATATATACACATATACACATATTCTCAGAATAAAAAAGATATTGAAAGCAAGAACAAGCATACATGAAGTCTTTGGGCATGACAAATGAAACTGATGAAATAAAGAGCTTAATGAATGGATTTTTACAGATGAATAGATAATAGATATAGCTGAAGAATCAATTTGTAAGTTGAATTTAAATAATGTCTTCCAGCATACATTCAAAAGCAATAAAGTAATATGATGATTGAGAAAAAAGTTAAAAGATATGGAAGATAGAAGTACTAACATTAATTTAATAAAGTTCCAAAGGGGTCAGGCATGGGGGCTCATGCTTATAATCCCAGCACCTTGGGAGGCCAAGGCGGGAAGATCACCTGAGGCCCAGAATTTGAGACCAGCCTGGCCAACATGGCGATATCCCATCTCTACTAAAAATTAAAAAATTAGCCAGGTGTGGTGGCACATGCCTGTATTACAAGCTACTTGGGAGGCTGAGGCAAAATAATCACTTGAACCTGGTAAGCGGAGGTTTCAGTGAGCCAATATCGGGCCATTGCACTCCAGCCTGGGTGACAGAGCGAGACTCCGTCTAAAAAAAAAAATAAAAATTTAAAAAAGTTCCAAAGGCAAGAAATGAAAGGAAGGAAATATTGTCATTATATATTAGAATGTTTCCTATTATTTTTCACTTTTCATAGTGAGTATTTATTTGCATATTTTCTTTTAGCATCTAGTTTGTCTATATCTTACTTTCGTACAAGTCAAAAAATCTTTGCTTTAAAAAAAAAGCACACAAAAACACACACCAGATAATTAACAAATCCTTCAGCCCATGAAATGGAAATACTGAAATGTCAGCTAGATTTCTGATAAAAATGATCCCAAAGTTAGAGAGAAGATGGTAATAAATAAAATGGACTATGAAAATTGGAAAATGATAGTAAATTAAGCAAATTACTAAACTTAACGTATAGTAACACTGTAAAAACTGTCTGCCAATAAAATGGAAATCTCATTGATAATAGATGGATTTCTGAGAAGCCAAATTCGGTATATATGTGTGTATATATATATGTATGCTCAATACAAATTTATTTGTATATATGTATATATACACATATAAATATGTGTATATATGTACAGACTAGTAACCATGAAAGAAAATGAAATATTAACGATATAATTTTCTATAGGTAGCTATGTAATTTTAAACTTCCAGGAAACAGGTAATCCGTATCTGATGGAACTTGTCCCATATAATATAAAAAGTGAAGTCATCTCAAAACACTTCGTGAGGCTTCACACTTTATAAGATTGATTCTAAAATTAGACAAAGATATTATAAGAACAAAAAAATCAGTTTTACTTACATATGTAGATTTAAGATCCTAAATAAAAATTAATTTACTAATTTAACGACAGCATGAAAAATAGTATCTCATGACAAGCAGCATTTGTAACAGAGATTCAAGGAGAGTTCAGCCTCAGAAAATATAATTATTCAATATATCATATAATGAAAAGTAGAAAAAATCCAAATAATTATCTTAATGGAAATGGATACAGAAAAAAGCATAAGACAACTTCAATACCAATTTATTATTTTTAAAAAACCAGTGCCATTAGAATACTAGAAAGGGAAGATGACTCTTGCAGTTTGTTGAAAGTTATTTATTAAAACCCTACATCCAATATTATATTGAACTGGCAAATTTTAATCACATTCTTTTTAGGCACATGATAACGAAAACAACCGTTCCACATCTGTTCTGTGAATGGCAGTCAACTGAATGAGTCAAAGCAGTAAGACAAGAAAAAGAAATGCACATAGAGACTATAAGAGCAGTGACATTGTCATTAGTTGCACATAATGTGATTATTTCAACAGAGATTATCAAGAGGGGATGGGTAATCCAGAGGATTACTACTATCATATCATATCAACCTTTTCTACTATCATAAGGTTTATTACTTATCATAAGGTTTAGTGAGATTGCCAGAGAGAAAATCAATAAGTAAAAACCATCAGTGTTCTTCCACACTAGCTAGAAATTTGACCACCAGAAAATGTTAGACAAAACGGCAATAGAAGTACCATTTATAATAGCAACTAAAATATGGTATTTAAGAATAATACAACAACAATATAAAACACCTTTATTAGAATAAAACAAACTCCAAGAACAAAAAAAAAGGAGGTCTGTACAAGAGTTGACTGATTGGATGAGTTAACTTTCAGCACTTTGAATTTGGCTTTGGGTCTCCATGGTTTCTGAGGCGGAATCAGCTTTGAGTCTTATTGAGGATCTGCATAGGTGATGAGTTCTCTGGACCTAAGGCTTTGAAGCAGCTCCAATCCTGTTCTGCCTCCTGCCAGGTTTTCATTATGAGTGTGGGATGTTGGTTTTAAGTCCCCTGCAGAGATGGAGAAAGAAGGAAGGCAACTGGGCAAGTTCAAATCCTTCAAAGCTTGCTGTTCTTACTGAGATTCTGTCACTTTTCTTATACAAATGCAACCTGAATTGCTTCAAGTCTCGGGCTAATTTCCAGAGTTCTGAAAAGGTTGATTCAGACCATTTTCCCCCAGGGTTTTGTTTCCATAGAGAAAGGAATTCTCAAAAGTCCTCATTTTGCCATTTTTGCTGCTGCTACCTGTTGGATGAGTTAATTTTATGAATAATCAGTTTTGCTAAAATCCATTCATCAATTCAATACAATTCTAAGCAATTTCTTCAGTAGCAGGTTTTGGCAAATTGGAAAATCAATTCAAAATACATTCAATAGTTAAGAAACTTTGGAAATGAAGAAAAGAGATGGGGGAATAGCCCTACCAGATAAGACGACATGCTTCCAAACATTTGTCGAACAAATAGTATTTTAGAACAGAAATTGACATACAAGCCAGGAACAGATGGAGAAACCTGCAAACTTGATGTGTAGTGAAGTAGTGAAAGCACAGAGGTTTAGCAAATGTATTGGGAAACCTGGGTCTAAAGTTTTACAATTAAAGGTAGATTCCCAACTCACAACACCTCAAAAATCAACTCCAAATGGAAAAAAAAGCCTAAATGTAAAATGTAAAGATTTAAAGCTTATGAAAATGAGGAAGTACATCATTGAGATGAGGGAAGACATTCAGTAGGATTTCAAAAGCACAAACCAAAAAGGAAAACTTAAATGTAAATAAGGGATAGCTGTAAATATAATTACCTCTAAATTAAAAATATATATTTAACCAAGAATGTCAGAGACAAACATGGAAGAAGGGATACTAATGAAAAACAGTTATAAAATCTTAAATTTTCAAAAAAATTCACATCTAGAATTCATAGGAGCTCACGTAAATCAGGAAGGAAAGGGAAACACAACAGAAAAATGGGCAATGATTATGAATAGTCAATTTATAGGCCTTGAAACATTAGTGATTAATAAATATGTAAAAGAAACTCAAGTTCACAAGCAATGAGAAGGATACTAGTTTTGAAAAGCACATGAGGTCATTTATTATAGCTTCGTATAAGGTAGACATCATGACATATATGTAATATGAGATGCTATTCAATGACCTGAATATGTAAAAATTGAAAAAATGTAACATTGTATCAAAATTTTTTAAAAGACTTTTATTTTATGTTTAGGGTGAACACAAGTCTTAGTTTGGCAAGGATAGTCCCAGTTTTTGACTGTTATCGCAGAGTGAATATTACTAGGTGCCCATTTCACTCTCAACATTCCCCGGAAAATCAGTTATATGCCCACTGTACTTGCTGCACAAGACCATTAATTTAAATTTAAAAACACAAAGTCTTCGCACTCATTTTCCAAAGAATACATTGGTTTTATGTACATAAGGCTCAAAGACAAACAAATGGACAAAAAGCATGTGTCGGGGTGGAGGGGAGGTTGCAAGGGATATTTAAGAATAACGTAAGGAATCTGGGACTTGGCGCTCAGGTTAGAATTTAGGAATTTCCTACGACCCCTTCTTTCCACAGTCAACAATTAATTTCCAGATTATGTAAGGGCCACCCATGCTTTCCTGGATAAACCTGAGAAAAGCAATGCTTTTGGAGGACAAAATGGAGTCCTTCTCAGAGGAGTCAAATAAATCCCTCTGTAATGGTATGCAGCCTGTGTCCAGGACGCAAACCAATCTCAGACGTTAATAAGAAGTCTCAGCTGTATAAACCAAAGTTACAGGATGTTAAATTCAGGAAATCTCATTTTACACCAAACAAGGAAAGGGGTTCTAACTGGGCTCCTCTGCAATCAGATCCTATTGCCTTCTTGGGCTCACCAAGCTGTGCTGAGGGATGGTCTTGGGGAGCTCATGCAGCCTCGGGCCGTATGTCTCTTCCTTTACAGGTTTGGACAAAACAAAGGAACGAATGTGGAACAGAAGTTTCAAAGACCTCTACGGAAAGATAAAGTTCTCGGAGGTATCAACCTCATATGAAAGGGTCTTTTAAAAGGTCATTTTATTAAAGCTATGGAGAAGAAATAACCTTCGGAAACGGTAGTTTTTCATTAGATGGAATATTTATTTTCTTTTGATTTTGTACAGTCTACAGTGTACTTTTATTCCTTATTTGTCAGAACAGCCCTATGAGATAAGTAGGATTAACATTTCCACCCTTGTAGGAGAGCTGCTATGTCAACTCTTGTCTCTTGGACATGAAAATCCATGTTCCTAATTATTATATCAGGATTTGGTCAGGAATACAGGAGCAACTCCACGTATTTTAAGTAAGGGAAGGTGAGGCTCAAATCTTTTATCAAAAAATAGAACAGAAAATAAAGAAGCACGAGTTACAAGCAAATACCTTGTTAAATGGGATCTTTGTAAGCATTGCATCACCTCCTCTATCTTTGCAGGTGTCTGGTCTTTTGCAATAGACTGCAGGAGGGGCAACCTTGTGTTCTCTATATTGTGACTTTTCCTGGGGTCTCAGAAAAAGTACGTTTCCTAGTCTTCCTTGCAGTTAGGTTGGGGCCGTATAACTCTGTTCTGTTCAGTGGAATGAGAGGGGAAATGATGTATATCACTTTCAGGCCTGTACTTCCTCTACCATCTTTTTGTTCTACCACTGAACCCTTGGATTCCAGATTTTCCAGATGCTGTGGCTACACAATGGAG